>NC_000002.12:61705503-62008534 GCF_000001405.40 Homo sapiens
GCAGTGTCATGATCTCAGCTCACTACAACCTCTGCTTCCTGGGTTCAAGCGATTCTCCTGCCTTAGCCTCCCAAGTAGCTGGGATTACAGGCACCTGCCACCACACCCGGCTAATTTTTGTACTTTTAGTAGAGCTGCGGTTTCACCATATTGGTTAGGCTGGTCTTGAACTTTTGACCTCAAGTGATCCACCCACCTCGGCCTCCCAAAGTGCCAGGATTACAGGCGTGAGCCATTGCACCCAGCCGGCAACACTCATTTCTTAAGTTATTGCTGCTGCCAGGTGCATCTGCCATTCAGGGTATGCTTAAGTTAAATTATTGCTGTCAGGTGCATCCACCCTACAATCCAGAACATGGCAACACTGCTAAAGCCTTGGCTGTGCCTGCACACACACACATGAGCTGTCCTGAGTAGCCAAAACAGCTGACAGAAAGGTATTGAGATCCTGTGTTTCACACGTAGGAAAACCTTAGACCACACAGTGATTCCACCTCTTCACATGTAGTTCTAATAGTTTCATGCTTGACTTATAGTTCTAATAAGCTTGGTAATCTGATTTTCAATCCTTGGCTGACTTGCAGTAGAAAATTAGGAAGCCAAGAAGGGAAGCTCTAGGCAGATAAACTGACAGACCTAAAAAGACTTGAGGAAACATATTCTAGTTAATAATGTGCCTCATTTATATGATATAGTCAAGTGCAATAAACATATACTAAACCTGTGCATTTAAGTCAAAAAAAGGAAGGTGGGAAAGAAGAGGTGCTTTAAGTAAAATTCTCAAACCTTTGACCAACCACTACCTCTCTGGGCTTTTACTTATTCATATAAAAAAAGAAACATTTAAATAATTTAATGTCTAGGCTCCTGTTTACTGTAGAATTCTATGATTTTAGGTGACAACAAATAGCTTGCCAGCAAGGAGTCAATCAGGAGTATTGTGATATGTACTTTTTGTTTTTTTTGAGACAGGGTCTCATTCTGCTGCCCAGGATGGAGTGCAGCGGTGCGATCATGGCTCACTGCAGCCTCAACCTCCTGGGCTCAGGTGACGATCCTCCCACCTCAGCATCCTGGGTAGATGGGACTGCAGGTCCCATTTTTAAAATGCCTGGCTAATTTTTAAAATTTTTTGTAGAGACAGGATCTTGCCATGTTGCCCAGGCTAGTCTCGAACTCCTGGGCTCAAGTGATCCTCCCGCCTGGTTCTCTCACAATGTTGGGATTATAGGCCTGAGCCACTGAGTCTGGCCTTTGTCCTATTTCTTAAAAATTATATTTGCTACTACCATGACTACTACTCCAGTGCTTTACCAGCACTTAAATACCTCCAATGTCTGGGACAATTAGGAGTGAGGCAGACAGGGTAAGCATTTCAATCATGTCAGAGGCATCGTTTTCATAACCAGAACAATAACGAATATTTATGATGATTTAACCTAAACAGCAATTAATAAACAGCTCTTGTGTGCCAGGCACTGTGTCAGGTGCTAAGTCTTCATGGGAAATAAATTTATTCTTATATGTCTCGGGAGACAGGTGGAAAGCAATTTGGCAGTAACTACATTAAAACTTTTAAAATATGTAAATATTTTGATCCAGAATTCTTACTCCCAGAAGTTGTCCAAGTTTTTGCTGGACAATTGCAAGTGCCCAAAGATATCTTTCAAAGATGCTTACTTCTGCGTTATTTGTAAGAGTGAAACACTGGAAATGACCTAAACATCCAACATAGAGTGAGACCTATATATACCAATATGAAAAGCTGCCCAACATATACTGCTACATGACAAAAGAAAGTTGTAAGACTGTATCTTTTATTTTGTTGATATATAGATATGAGTATTTGTATACAATATCTGGAGACATATACAATAATTTTTTTTCTTTTTCTTTTTCTTTTTTTTTTTTGAGAAAGGGTCTGGCTTTGTTGCCCAGGCTGGAGTGCAGTGGTACGATCTTAGCTCACTGCAACCTCTTACCTCCTGGGCTCAAGCAATCCTCCCATCTGAGTCTCCTGAGTAGCTGGGATTACAGGTGAATGCTATCATGCCTGGCTAATTTTTGCATTTTTAGTAGAGATGGGGTTTTACCATGTTGCCCAGGCTGGTCTCGAACCCCTGGACTCAAACAATCCCTCTGCCTCAGCCTCTCAAAGTACTGGGATGACAGGTGTGAGCCACCCCGGTGGCCAACAAACTATTAACAAGGGGCAGGATTATGGAGACTTTTCTGTTTTGTTAAATGTTCATTTAAAAGTAATAAACACATTACACAAGAAAAATAACAAACGTAACAACAAAAAGAATAATACAAAATGAAAGGCAAGAAATTAAGTAATACATTTTACAAATATTTTCATGGGGAACTATTGAAAATTTATTGAAAACAACATGTTTTCCAAGAATTTAGAATGGAAAAGTTGTTCCACCTGCAGCTTTCTGATTGAGTAGCTGGATGCTGTGATCTTTCACTCAGTTACCCCCTCTTCATCCTGGTTGATTTCCAGCTTTCAATAAAGCTTTTCACCTGACGCAGGATAATAGCGAGTGCATGTGTGCTGGTTTGTTTACTGTGAGTCTCTCAGAGGAAATCATGTGCATCTGTCTGTTTACTTTTCCGTGGAACCTAGAAGGTCACCTCTAAAAATAATCTTGCTCGGTGTTAGAGTTTCTGTGACACAGAGGTACATACCTCACATGCTCTCCACAGTTAGTGCGCTAAGCCAGGCATATCTAGTTCCCAAATGACTCAGATCAGAGAAGGAGGGGAAGGCAGCTGCCAGCTAAGATGTCTAGTGACTGATTTAAGAGCAGATGCAGAGGAAGCCCTTTACAAAATGGGACACACTCATGGCTGCCTTTCTAGATCAGTGATGTTGAACTTTTAAATATGTTTATTGGCTTTTTGTATTTCTTCTTTGTAAGTTTCCAAAGGAAATATTAGGAGAATTTCTGAACCAGAGCCCATGCTATGGCTATTTGACTTTGCAGTAGACACATTTGGATGCCTTTTCACTACCTCCTTTGGCCCCGAAGCTCTTGTTAAAACAGGTGCGCCTGAGGAACTGCGTTTATGCGTGAAGAACACTCTCCATTTGCCCCTGACGTCTGCCTCACTCTTCCCAGATTGAACCTTTATTATCCCATGCTGGGCTGGGACCTCATTATGGAAGGCCTCGAAAGCCAGCCTGCGGAGGTTGAACAAGGGAGTAGGATGATGAGAGTTCTGCTGTAAGAGATTAACCCAGCATCAGTGTAAGAGACTTGAGAGGGAAGAATGGGTAGAGAAAGAGATCAGTTAGAAGTCTTTTATTGGCTGGGCATGATGGCTCACACCTGTAATCCCAGCACTTTGGGAGGCCAAGGCGGGCGGATCACCTGAGGTCAGGAGTTCAAGACCATCCTGGCCAACATGGTGGAACCCCGTCTCTACTAAAAATACAAAAATTAGCGGGGTGAGGTGGCAGGCGTCTGTGGTTGAGGTGGCGGGCGTCTGTAATCCCAGCTACTTGGGAGGCTGAGGCAGGAGAATCACTTGAACCCAGAAGGCAAAGGTTGCAGTGAGCCAAGATCATGCCATTGCATTCCAGCCTGGGCTGGAGGAAGACTCCGTCTCAAAAAAAAAAAAAAAAAAAAAAAAAGAAGTCTTTTGTCAGCTGCTCTGCCTATGGAGTAGCCATTCTTTTATTCCTTTACTTTCCTAATAAACTTGCCTTCACTTAAAAAAAAAAAAAAAAGAAGCCTGTTGTCCAAGTCAGAAACAATGAAAGCCTGAGCTAAAGCCACGAGCAGGAGAGAAGGGAATAGAAAGAGATAAATTGAAGAAGCAAATCTATGAAATTGTACAGCTGATTGGATCCAGGATACAAAGGAGTTCCGTAGGTCCCAGAAGACTCCTAGATGTGTGCTGGAAATTGTAGTGCTGCTGTGGAGATGTCACACACTGGGCTCTACCTCGTCCTCTTATGCCTCTTCGGGGATCTCATGCCAACAACTGTTTTGTCATCTATCTTCAATTATTTACTGCCATTGATTCCTTCCCATGAGGCCTATTTAAGAATCTCCACATTTTAGAACAAAATAAACCAAACCAAACCATACCAAAACAAACCTTCCCTCTTGAGAGGAAGAATAGACTACTAATGTCCTTATCGTAGAAGTAGGGAGTCAAGAGACACTATCCATGATTAATAGAACGAAGAAGGGAGCTTAAGTAGGTTGCAAAGAGGGCCAGTGGAGAGATTGAGAATGGTGATGCAACCACTTTGGAGGAGAGGGGAACGAGAGGAGTGTAAGTGAACTAAATTCTCATCCAGCATATCAGGAAGTTAATAGAGAATGTCTAAGGCGGATAAATCAAGAAATAGTTAGGCCAGGAGGTGAATTAGTGATCTGGAGGTTACTACAACACAGAAGCAGTTCAAAGTGCTTGCCTCTTCAGGGTGGCTCGGGACTGTTGCTTTTTTGAACCATTTGCGTGTATTTCTTTGATGAAATTTTTAAAGCGTTTTTTCCCTGTTTTTTAACATGTCAAAAAGAGCCTTTATTACTTTAGTAGTAGCCTCTTATGCTTCCTTGCCAGACACTTTTGGAGAAGGTGCTCCCTGGGCCAACACTTTTTGACCCTTCTGAGCTTTCTGAAGAAGTGCTGCCTTCTGGCCTGTGGCTTTCTGGGCAGGAATCTTCCGGGCTGGAGCCTTCTTGCCCGCAGTGATCATCTTTTTTGCTGGGACTTTAGCAGCAGGTGCTTTTCTGGTAGAAGCTTTCAGGAGAGCTGCCTTTCGAAGCTTCCTAAACTCATTTTTTGTTTGTTTGTTTTTTGAGACAGAGTCTCGCTCTTGTCGCCCAGGCTGAAGTGCAATGGCACAATCTCGGCTCACTGCAACCTCTGCCTCCTGGGTTCAAGTGATTCTCCTGCCTCAGTCTCCCAAGTAGCTGGGATTACAGGCACGCGCCACCACGCCCAGCAAATTTTTGTATTTTTAGTAGAGACAGGGTTTCACCATGTTGGCCAGGTTGGTCTCAAACTCCTGACCTCAGGTGATCTGCCTGCCTTGGACTCCCAAAGTGCTGGGATTACAGGCGTGAGCCTCTAACTTCATTCTTAATTATTCTTTTCCTCATTTTCTTTGCCTTCATGGCTTTAAAACAATCAAAATCTGTCATCTTGGCTTTCCTCTCTTTGGCTTCAATCTTCTTGGCTTAGTGTGGCTGCCCATTTTGCATTGAGGTCTACCTGCTGCCAGGCTTGTTGGACATACCTTTGGTGGGTGCTATGTGGGAACTTGAGGATGAAGTCAGTGAGCTGCATGCATTTGAAAGACACGGCCTGTCCCATTACCTGAGTGCAAAGTCCATCAGCCAGAGCCCTGTTTTCATCAGTAACATCTACAACTGCGACCAGCTTTCCAGCATAAGGTCCAAAGGAGACATAGGCCACCTGGCAAACCTCCAGGAAGTGCTTGAACATCATGTCGGCAGCGTTTGGCAAGAAGGAAGTTCTTTCTTTTTTTGGTATAATGGGGAGAGAAGCCTTTAAAAAGCCTCCCTAAATTCACATCTCCTTATGGCTACCATTTTTTTCTCTTCTTCCTTGAAATATATTCTTTTTTGTTGTTGTTTGTTTGTTTGTTTGTTTGTTTTTGAGATGGAGTCTTGTTCTGTTGCCCAGGCTGGATTGCAGTGGCTCGATCTTGGCTTGCTGCAAACTCCGCCTCCCGGGTTCACACCATTCTCCTGCCTCAGCCTTCCAAATAGCTGGGACTACAGGCGCCCGCCACCACACCCCGCTAATTTTTTGTATTTTTAGTAGAGACAGGGTTTCACCGTGTTAGCCAGGATAAATATATTCTTTAATATAATAATAATAGTAGTAGCTAACACTGACTGAGGTATTGTTATATGCCAGGCATTGGCACATAACATTCATTCATCATCTTATTTAATCTTTGAAGTGAGCTTATTGCAACTAGACATCTTTAATGAATTGTCTATTCTTACTGTCCTCATTTGCTCACCATCCAATCTCTTCTCAACCCACCACAAACTGGCTTTTGCCATCTAAACTCCACTTAGACTCTCCCAACAAGGGCACCAATGACCTCCCTATTGTTGAAACTGGTTACACTTGCCATGGCTTTGGTTACACTTGCGTTTTTTTTGTTTGTTTGTTTGTTTGTTTTTTTAAATCTACCTCCTGGCTTCTTCACAGTTCTCCTCTAAGGTCTTTCTTCTGCTGCCCACCTCCTAAATGTTGGTGTTCCTCAGATTTCCTGCTCTAGCCTGCATTTCCTCTCATTTTATGTCTCTTAGGATCATTTATATATTCCCCTTGCTCAAGTTATCACGGATGACACTCAGACCTCTGTGTCTATCCCAAACAGTTTTCTCCTGACTGCGAACCCACATACCACTGTCCACCTGACATCCTGATCTGGGTGTCCCACTGGTGCCTCAACTCAACAGGTCCCCAGTGAAATGCATCCTCATCCCCTGACACCTGCCCTTTCTCCTGTGTCCCTTTCTCAGTGACTCCACTACCATCCACACAATTGTCCAGCCTGCAAGTGCTTAGCTGCCCTGCATATCTAGTCAACCAACAAGTCCTGTGCCATCACCAACCCGCATAACTCTCTAGTCCTCTTCATTGAGGGGGCCTCTCCCTTCTTTTGCACCATCATCATCCTCTCTCCTCTGAACTAAGCCAGTGACTTGTTCAGTGTCTCCCCAACGCCAAGGAGCCCCTCCAGTCTGTTCTCCACACTGCAGCCAGAGTGATTATTTCTCATATGCAAATCTGCACCTGCCCCTCCTCTGCTTAAGAGCATTGAATGGTTTCTTGCACCTTCAACCTAGATTCTAGCTGGCCTCTGCTTACCTCTTTCTCAGGCTCCTTCGGCACTGGCTCCTGCCATGCTGAAACCACTTGCAGCGTCCCAACTCTCTCTCCCCAGCTTTCAGGCATTTACACTCACTGCTCACCACTTCCTCCTACCCTGTATCTTCCTGTATAATTCCTACTGGTCCTTCTTGATTCAGTATAGATGTCACTTCTCTGGAGGAGTTTTTCCTGACCCAAGACCCTATCCCAGCACTTCCACACTACTGTATTTATCCATATCTTCTCTGTCTGTCACTGAACTGCGAACCTTTCAAAGACAGACAGTATGTAATCCATCCTGGCAGAGAGCTTCAATCTGTTGAATGAATCATGGGAGGCAGACATGTGGATTGGGAAGAGCACGGAGTCTGAATTCAGATAGACCTGGATTTGGGTTTCTTTTTTATTTATGTATTTATTTTTTGAGATGGAGTCTCACTCTGTTGCCCAGGCTGGAGTGCAGTGGCATGATCTTGGCTCACTGCAACCTCCGCCTCCTGGGTTCAAGTGATTCTCCGGCCTCAGCCTCCTGAGTAGCTGGGATTACAGGCCTGCACCACCATGCCCAGCTAATTTATTTTATTTTTAGTAGAGATGGGGTTTCACCATGTTCGCCAGGCTGGTCTCGAACTCCTGACCTCAAGTGATCCACCCACCTTGGCCTCCCAAAGTGCTGGGATTACAGCTGTGAGCCACTACCCTTGGCCCTGGATTTGGGTTTCTTCCTCTTCTGAGCCTTGTCTTTTCCAGGTATAAACTGGAGACTGTTATTCCTTCCCCTCAGAGTCATTGTGAAGGTTAAATGAAGTTCTTGGCACAGGAAGGGCACATGGGCGCTTGTAGCTACTTGTGTATTCTCTTCCCCAACTCACAGCAAGTGAGAACCTGAATGGTTTGAAGGGAATAAGGATGAATTCAGAGGTGGGTCATGCAGGCGGTGAGACCAGTTGGGAGCTGTGAATTGAACCTGATGTGGGAGCTGGAGGTGCAGGTTTGTAAGCTAACAGTTTAGGGGCTCTGAGCTGAGGCCTTGGAGTAAATGAGATTGCCCAAGTGAGACTGTGGCTTGGGGAAGGCTCAGGCCTAGGGAGCAGTAAAAAGATCGGCCTTCGAAAAGGCAGGAGGAGGAAGGGTCTGTAGGGTGGCAGAGGCAGCCAGGATGAGGAGGGGAAGAAATAACAGCTCACACACTGCCAAGAGGTGGAGCAGAAAGTACCCGTGGGTTTGGAGTGAATGAGGTCATTGATGTCCTTAGAAAGAGGGTGTTGCTGATAGTTTTGTATGCTTAATCATTTGTTCTAGGTCACAAAAAAAAGAGGGGGACCGTGTGGGACTGAGAGTTCCAGAGCAAAAGCCACCTGAACTGATAAGCAGGGAAGGAAGAGCTGAAGAGAGCAGCAGCACAAATGCCCTGTAAATTAACAACCACACGGCTCACAGGGGCACCCCGGCACCCACACACCAGGCCCTCCCCTGTCCCTCCCCATCCCCACTGACTCCCGATCCCTCCAAAGGATACCAAGGAATAACCTGGCCTGGGTGGCAGGAGGATGCTGGGGAGGGATCTACAAAACATATACAAAAGAGTTTGGGGTTTTTGTCTGATAATAACTACCTTTCATTATTTTCTGTGTGAGGCATTGTGCTAATGCCTTGTACTCATTACCTCATGCACTCCTCACAACATTCCTTTAAAATACTGTCTTCTGTTTACTAATGAGAAACCCAAGTCTCAGAAAAGTTAATTAGCCTGTTGGAAGTCAAATAACTGGTACATGATGAGCTGAGATGAACCTGGGATCTCTGTGACTTCAGAGCCCTGCTCTTAACTACTTTGCTGGGGAGGTCGTTGGGGAGTGGGTGGAAGAAGGGGTTCAGAAGCCTTAGTCTGGGAGTCCAGGCAGAGGCATGGGAAGGCCTCTGGGAAGTTGAGGAACCTATTTGTTTACGTAACTCACTTCCGACCTTGCAGGGCCAAGGCTGGAACCATCTAGTGTGGCACAGTCCCAGAGCACTTTTTGTGCCGATGGAATGTTCTCTGTGCTGTCTGACGTGGTGCCACTAGCTACTGGGGCCACTGAGAACTTGAAATGTGTCTGCTGTGACCAAGGAATGGAATTTTTAATTGTGTGCATTATAATTAGTTTAAATTTAAATTTGAAAACTGATACTGGATTCAGTTATTGGAAAATTTTAAGTATATTTTGAACAACTTGCTGTATAAAACTAATTTTTCAATTTTCAATTTTATGAAGTCTAAATACAGATAAAGTATTTCTTTTCTTTTTTTTTGAGACAGTCTCACCATGTCACCCAGGCTGGAGTGCAGTAGCATGATCTTGGCTCACTGCAAACTCTGCCTCCCAGGTTCAAGTGATTCTCCTGCCTCAGCCTCTCAAGTAGCTGGGATTATAGGCCCGCCACCTCACCTGGCTAATTTTTGTATTTTTAGTAGAGATGGGGTTTCACCCTGTTGGCCAGGCTGGTCTTGAACTCCTGACCTCAAGTGATCCGCCCGCCTCAGCCTTCCAAAGTGCTGAGATTACGGGCGTGAGCCACTGCACCCAGCCAGATCAAGTATTTCTGATGAGAATTTAGCATCTGAATTGAGATTTGCCATAAGTGTAAAATAACTAGTGTTCAAAGACTTAGATGAAAAAAAAACATCAAATAGCTCACTAATAATTTTTAATTGACCACCTGTTGAAATAATATTTTTGATATACTGCATTAAGTAAACATATTATTAAAATTAGTTTCCCTTGTTTTTAGAAAAAAATGTTCAAATATGGCTATCAGAAACAATTTAATGAAATACGTGGCTCACATTATATTCTTTTGGATGGTCTTGATCTGAAGGCCGAGTTCTGGTATTAACAGAAGTTCCACTTAGTGGTGGGGTTGGAGAGGCCTTTCCCCACCTTTTACTACTCCTTTTTTTTTTTTTTTTTTTTTTGAGACATTGTCTGTTTTTTACTCCACTTCTGTCACCCAGGCTAGAGTAAAGTGGTGTAATCTTGGCTCACTGCAACCTCCACCTCTGGGGCTCTAGCAGTCCTCTCACCTCAGCCTCCCCAGTAACTGGGACCACAGGCGTGACCCACCATGCCTGGCCAATTTTTGTAGTTTTTGTAGAGATGGAGTTTCACCATGTTTCTCAGGCGGGTCTTGAACTCCTGGCCTCGAACTCCTGGCCTCAAGTGATCCTCCCACCTTGGCCTCCCAAAATGCTGGGATTACAGGTATAAGCCACCCTGACTGGCCTCAGAGATTAATTTTAAAAGAGAGCAGAGGTCATGTGGATGCTTCACATAAAGGAGTGACTCACTGACATTGGATTCCAGGCCTCTGGGAGGGAAGGATTTGGCCTTCCAGGAATCTGTATTGAGAGCTATCTATTGGTAGGTACCCCTGATACCCTTACTTCTTAGATATCTAGGATTGTCCCAATGTATATGTTCTGACCATGTAAGTACTCATGCTTGTCCAATCTTGAATCCCATTTTAAGCTTCCAAAATGCGCATATGTAGGGAATGATCAGTTCTGCTTCTGTATTATGCTGCTCTCCTTATTCCTGAAAATGGTCCTTCAACCCTCAGCAGAGGTTGCAGGATGCCTGCAGCTGCAAACCTGTCTTGCTCATGCTGCAAAACAGAGATGTCATCACCGGGTGAGAAACTAAAACACTGAAGATGGCACTTTCCAAAGTTTCTGCTTTCTGAAGCCCACATTATAAGGTCATGTGCTAAAATACCTTATGTAGTAGCCTTGATTCTAGAGCAAATTAGCCTCAGTCTCTTTATATGTAAATTGGGAGAAATAACAGAGAGAGAAGAGACTCATATTGTTGCTTGGAGGACTAAATGAATTCATATATGTAAAGTGCTTAGCCCATTATTTAGAACATAATAAACCATCAACTCACTCTATATTAACTATCAATATAAAATAGGTGTAGGATACTTCTAAATGTGTGTCAGAACTTATTTGGTCACACGTGATAGACAGCTGATTCCAATTAAAATGTTTATTGGAAACATACCGGACTTCTTACCCAATATTAGAAAAGATTAGAAAAATCAAACCCAGGAGAGCTGGGTACAGCTGGACCTTAGAGCTCTGATACTGCAGGCACTTTTTTTTTTTGAGACAGAGTTTTGCTCTTGTTGCCCAGGCTGGAGTGCAATGGTGCCACCTGGGCTTATCGCAACCTCCACCCCTCAGGTTCAAGTGATTCTCCTGCCTCAGCCTCCCAAGTAGCTGAGATTACAGGCGCCCGCCACCATGCCCAGCTAATTTTGTATTTTTAGTAGAGACAGGGTTTCTCCATGTTGGTCAGGCTGGTCTCGAACTCCCAACCTTAGGTGATCCGCCTGCCTTGGCCTCCCAAAATACTGGGATTACAGGCGTGAACCACCATGCCCAGCCACTACAGGCACTTTCTGTCTCCTCTCTGTGCATCTGTGTGTGTTGGTTTCTTTCTCATTCACTGCAGATGGGAGTCCTCATATGGCCAGAAACCAACAACTACCAAGGCTATCTCTTGCAACTTCCTGCACTAGAGAGATGTTCTTCTCGACTATAGTTTAAACAACAACAACAACAACAACAACAACAACAGCCAGGGGAAGGACTATGAGTGGCCCAGCCTGGGCATTCATCCTTATACAAGTTCAACTTTGACCATGGGAATCAGGACATATAAGAGCATGATTGCTCCTGTTGGAATCCCGTGGTTGCGGTTGGGGATTTGGGTAACAAGTTCCCAAACATAAGGGAGGGTGCTGAGTGGCCGCTTGCCGTACTCAGTCATTGGCTGGGACTGCAGGAGTGGGGAAAAGCATGGCCTCAGCTCAAATACTGCAGCGGGTCCCAAAGGTGCTGCAACTGGAGGCTGTCAGCTGACCACTCTCCTTGCAGCTGATCATTCAGTTCTTTCTTGAAGGGAAATGCAAACAGTGCACCTATCTGTGGTTGCCATGAGCCACCCCTTGTGCCCATTCATGAGAGCTCTGCCTTCATGATCTAACCACCTCCCAAAGACCATACCCCCTAACACCATCACCCTGGGGGTTGGGGTTTCAACATAGGAATTTAGGAGAACACAAACATTCAGCCTATAGCACCTGGATCCCCTGGTCAGATGCTATATTGTATGAGATTCCATGCCTGTGGATCAAGCACTCTATAAACCCCTGGATAGTGGTAATGGCTGCAGCTCTGAGGACAGAGACAGCAAATCCATACTCGAATCAGTGTCTGTTTATCTGAGAATGACACTCTGCCTCTCCAGGACAGAAGGGGCCCAATTAGTCAACGTATTGCTAGTGAGTCTCCTCCAGGAATGGAGCTGCGTCAGGGCTGAACGTTGCTCTCTGTTGCTGCGAGGTTGGATATTCAAAGGCAGCAATGGCAAGGTCAGATTTGGTCAGTGAAGTCCATGCTTTTGGGTCCACACGTAGCCTCTGTCTCTGCCACTGCGGCCACCCCCTTCACCTGCCCATTGTCCCCATTCCAATGACAAAGCTTGTATTTGTACATTGAGCTGACCCACCAGTACACGAAGCATAGGAGTTTCTTCCTCCGTCAGTTGGTCATGATGTTCCCCAGGGCCACGGGTGTGAGCTGAGGTAGGGACACTAGTGCCCTTATCAGGCCCAAATGTCCCCAGTAAAGTTATGCTGGGATTACCCCGAATTATCGAGCTGGCAGCCAGGAGAGAAAGTGGGCACAGCTTCTCAGAGGGACACCAGTTGCCTGGAGGGAAGAGGCCTCTGCAGTGTATTTTTGCACAGGGAGGGGTGGGCCACCTATGCAGATTCTGGGGGTACTGGGGAGTCTGCAGATACACCATCTTTCAGGGCATCCACCCAGATTTTCCCATCCTATGTTTCAGGGCCCCAGATGTTCCCATCCGGGGCACAACAGACCTGAATGCTCAGAAAGACATTCAGCCATTTTGGGGAACTTTGACCCTGACTCTCAGATCCTGAGTTTGTTCCTTAGTTGTGCTAGCTCTTTCACCCTGTAAACTGCTGAAGAGACCGTCTGTTTCTCACACTTAGCCATAACTGTTTGTTGACTGCCCTCTGTTTGCAATGCTTCCTCTGTAGCAGGGATCCCCAACTCCCGGGCCACGGACCCGTGGGCTGCACAGAAGGAGGTGAAGGCAGGCGAGTTATTACCGCCAGCTCTGCCTCCTGTCAGGTCAGCGGCATTAGATACTCATAGTAGTGCAAACCCTATTGTGAACCGTGCATGTGAGGGATCTAGGTTGCACAGTCCTTATGAGAATCTAACTCCTGATGATCTGTCACTGTCTCCCATCACCCCAGATGGGACAGCTAGTTGTAGGAAAACAAGCTCAGGGCTCCCACTGATTCTACATTATGGAGAGTTGTATAATTATTTCATTATATATTACAATGTAATAATAATAGAAATCAAGTGCCCAATAAATGTAATGCACTTGAATCATCCTGAAACCTTCCCCTACCCCACCCCAGTCTGTGGAGAAACGGTCTTTCACAAAACTGGTCACTGGTGCCAAAAAGGTGGGGGACTGCTGTTCTGTAGGATGTCAATGCAGCTTTTGAGCAATCAGCTCACTCCATCTTTCCTGTGTGAGGTGCCTCCCCTCCCCCAGGCCCCCATGCTTTCCAGGGCTTGAATCCTATCACTAGCCAGTGTATTCTCCACTGGGATGTCACTCTCAAGTCACTACTGATAGTATTTTTAGCAACTGGGATAGCCCTTGTGACTGGGACTATCCCTGCCCACATACCACTTGGGATGCGGTTCTCCTTGCCAGCTGGGAGCACGCGGTCCAGTCCCCAAACAGAGCTTGTTGTTTCTGACTGCCTTCAGGACCAACTGTGCTGATGGGTTCTTAGGGAGGCAGACATCAAGGCAAAGTTAGAAGGGCAAGAGATTCGTTGTGGGTAGTATCTGGTAAAGGACGAGGGAAAAGGAGTGGGAGTAGTCGGAGAAAGTCTCTAGGCCATGGTGCAGGTCTGACACCTGTAAACGCAGAGGAGAAAGGAAGGAGGGTTGAGCAGGAAGAGCCTCAGGTCGAGGTGTAGCTCTGAGAAAATCCTAGAGGAGTGCCATGCTGGGCTGTGCTCAGACACTGGCTGGGAGCTTTCTGGGAAGAAAATGGATGTGGTGTGTAGGGACTAGAAGGAGGCAGGAGATGGTTTTGGTAATGATCTGTTTCTTAATCTGGGTTTTATGTGTGTGTTCATTTTATAAATTTTTATCAAGCTCATTTTTGACATGTGAACTTTACATATGCTATATTTCAATTTTCTAAAAGTCATGAGTCTCTGCCTTTGGCTTCCAAATAGCCTTAATAAAGAAACTTAATTAGGATTTTGAAACCCAAACCCTAGGTGGGGATAGTCTCATACTGAAAAAACAAATTTGTGGCCAGGCGTGGTGGCTCACTCCTGTAATCCCAGCACTCTGGGAGGCTGAGGAGGGTGGATCACCTGAGGTCAGGAGTTCAAGACCCACCTGGCCAACATGGTGAAACCCTGTTTCTACTAAAAATACAAAAATTAGCTGGCCATGGTGGCATATGCCTGTATTCCCAGCTACTGGAGAGGCTGAGGCAGGAGAATCGGTTGAACCCAGGAGGTGGAGGTTGCAGTGAGCCAAGATCACACCACTGCACTCCAGCCTGGGCGACACAACAAGACTCCGTCTCAAAACAACAACAACAAAACAAACTGGTGATATACCCAAAGGATCTTAGAAATATATAAGCCAATTTCTGTGAATTTATTATCTGGAATAAACCACACAATGTATAACGTCTTAAGTACAAAGATGTTCATTATTACATTGCTTATAGTCGTGAACACTTGGAAATATCATAAGTTTCCATCAGTACAGAAACTACTGAATAAATCATGGGATGCAATACAGTGGGATACCATGAAACAGTTGAAAATAATGATGAGAATCTATATTTCATGGCATGGGAGTATGTTCATGATATAACATGAATAAATGAAAAGAAAGCACAAATATATGCTTAATATGATCCATTTTACTAAAAATGTTTCAAAAGCATGTTTTTATAGTTAGAAGAAAGACTGAGTATTCTACATAAAACATGAATAGTGCTTATCTTTGGACAGTATCTTAAAAATGATTATTATTTTCTGTATCCTTTTAATGTTTAATGTTTCTGTTTTTTATGATGAAAATTTAATTCAGTTGCTCCCTGACTTATGATGGGGTCATATCCTGATGAACCCATCATATGTTGAAAATAAGTCAAAAATGCAGTTAAGACACCTAACCTAGGCTGGGCGCAGTGGGTGACACCTGTAATCCCAGCACTTGGGGAGGCCGAGGGAGGTGGATCATGAGGTCAGGAGTTTGGGAGCAGCCTGGCCAACATAGTGAAACCCTGTCTCTATTCTGTACTATTAAAAGTACAGAAATTAGCCAGGTGTGGTGGTGGGCGCCTGTAGTCCCAACTACTTGGGAGGCTGAGGCATGAGAATCACTTGAACACGGGAGGTGGAGGTTGCAGTGAGTTGAGATCAGGCCACTGTACTCCAGACTGGGCGACAGAGTGAAACTCTGTCTCAAAAAAAAGAAAAGAAAAGAAAAAAAAGACACCTAACCTCCTAAACATTATAAACCAGGTTATGCGATATTTTAGGGTAGGGAATTAAAGCTTACTCATCCATGTCCACCCATTGTCTTTCACATTACCTAGGATATGAGATAGAAGTTCCATTTGTATTAGTTGGCCAAAAAGGAATTAATTCATGAATAATAAATGAATGAAAAAATGAATGCTAGGTGAGTCATTGATATGACTATTGATATTTTAACCAGCTTACCCTTTTGTATTTAAGTAATATAGTGCCTTTCACTTAAAATCCAAAGGGTAAGCTGGTTAAAATATCAATAGTCAAGACTTTGTAAAATATTTTTTTTCCTCGACTTATCATCACTCTGAAAACCCCACTGAAGGATTTTCTTTCCACCCTTGCAACTCTGGGCTCCGCACAGCTGAAGGGCCTGGTAAGGGAGTGCACTCTTGCCAGGGGACACAGTGAACTACAAATATGGCTGTCACCTTTGGAGTCCTTGGAGTGTCCTATGGATACTTTGGAGTCCTTGTGTCCAGGAGCCAGGAGACAAACAGAGGAGTCACCATCTTGGCAGAGGTCATTGTCCCTGATCAGCAGGTGGAGGCAGGGCTCCTGTTACACAGTGGGGATGAGTACAAGGTATTTGGAACCAGGGAGTAGTATGGGCTGGCTACAGAATTGGCAACGTCATTTGCAATCATGTTTCAGCTGCCATTTACAAGGTGATGATCCATGAATCCTTACCTCTTTCATGAGTTTCAGGCAAATATTTTAAACAGCAAACTTGATGGTGCGACCAAAATGGTGAAACCATGGTGAAACTCCGTCTCTACTAAAATACAAAAATTAGCCAGGTGTGATGGTGCGCACCTATAATCCCAGCTACTCAGGAGGCTGAGGCAGGAGAACTGTTTGAACCCGGGGGGCAGAGGTTGCAGTGAGCCGAGATGGCGCCATTGCACTCCAGCCTGAGTGACAGAGCGAGACTCCATCTCAAAAAAAAAAAAAGAGATTGAGCTGGAAGGATAAAATATAGATAGAAAATCTATTCTGGGTCCTTTGAACAATTATTGAGCTACTATGTTGAATTTATTAATGAAAGCGATTCCTTGTCATTTAATATTTTTATCTCCATGGGCTGCCAAGTGCTTGGTACATAGTGGGCATTCAATAAACTTTGGATTCATTAGTAAATAAGTCAGCAAATAGTATTGTATTGTATTGTATTGTATTGTATTGTATTGTATTGTATTGTATTGTATTGTATTCAGCCAAGCAAACCTTTTTTTTGTGGGGCGGGGGGATGTAATGCTAAATTAATTGCAGAGCAATTAATTTGAGGAAGAGATGAAAACTTCATTCTTTGTGAAGGGGTCACTGTGCTGGTCAGATACCTGAGCAAACAGGCCAGGCCTCCAGGCAATTAGATCAAGTACATTTCTCATTGCCCAGAATGTGGACCTGCTATTGGAGAGGACACCTGTCTTCCTGAGGTCAGTGGCTCCAGCATTGGATTGAGCTGTAACCAGATCTGGGTACAGATGCTGCCAAAACAGGGATATCCCAAGGTGCTATTACTGGATGCTAATTTTGGATAAATACCTCCTTGATGCTTTAAGTCTTTCAAAATGAAGATTGCATGCTCTAGTAAATCATAAATATTATTGAAGTTTCCATTTTCAGCGAATAGTTAAACTCTATTTTTTGTAGTTGGGATATGCAATACACATGCTGGCATTTTTATACTTACATTGAGGTTCGGAATTCAGTATTTTACAAGGCCCTGGGAACTTGTTTGCAAAGTAAAGTGTTCTGAAAAGTTACCCTGGTGCAATATGATCGCTCCCTTCGGAGAACTTGCAAGTAAATTTAGTTAGTTAAAGCCTCTGCCAGCATGCTTCTAGCCCAGAGAATAAAAACGATATCTCCAGTTGCCAGTTGCTTTTATCTGTTGCTTCTCCTGAAGCCTAATTTGAAGAAATTTCGTTTTGCTGCAGGTTTACGTTTCTGACTTATCTTACCCCTGGACTTTTCTCCAACTGTTTAAGTCTCTTGAGCTTTCGAGGAACTCAGTGGTTCATGATATAGTGCCTTACACTCAAAATACAAAAGGGTAAGCTGGTTAAAACATCTATAATCAAGACATTGCAAAGCTTTTTTTTCTTCTTCTTAACAGGAACGGTATTAATCGACCTTATTAATTAAATGGGGAGGCTAAATCTTAATAATCTTCCATTATTAAACTAAAATGTGGCCAAATGCTTTCTACTATCATGCCAACATGAAATGACTTTTCTTTTTCTTTTTTTTTTTTTTTGGTTTGAGACGGAGTTTCGCTCTTGTTGCCCAGGCTGGAGTGCAATGGCGTGATCTTGGTTCACCACAACCTCCGCCTCCCGGGTTCAAGCGATTCTCCTGCCTCAGCCTCTTGAGTAGCTGGGATTACAGGCATGCACCACCACGTCCAGCTAATTTTGTATTTTTAGTAGAGACAGGGCTTCTCCACGTTAGTCAAGCTGGTCTCGAACTCCCGACCGCAGATGGTCCGCCCACCTCGGCCTCCCAAAGTGCTGGGATTGCAGGCAGAAGCCACTGCACCTGGTCGAAGTGACTTTTCTTGCTTTCAGCTTAACTAGCTAGAAACTTCAACAAAGCTTAAGTCTTAAACTGAGATGGTTTCCTTTTGACCTGATAGGGCAGATAATGGAGAAATGAAAAGGAAGGAGGCCAATTTATTCATCCGAGTGACCAAGAGGATTGGAGCTTTAGGGAAAGATTTCCCCAGAGATGATAGGGTGCCATTTACAGCTCTCTAAAAAATTATAAGGGAATTTGATTTTTAATGCTTTTGCAATCTTAGTGTAGTGGCTTTTTATAGCCCTGAGCTGTGTGTCTAAATGAATATCCCAACGTCAAAGTGGGTTTCTATAGATCACCCCTTCCTGCTGTTTCCAAAATGGTTTCTTTCTTAGTTTGCAGACTTAGGATTTCATTTGAGAACAATGTGAAATGCCTCTGACTAGTTGTGAGCAAAGCTGGTCACCTGATGCCTTCAAAGTTAGTCAAGGGCAAGTGCAGCCTGGTTGGAGTTTGGCATCTTGGAATATCGATGAGGGGCAGGGTAGTCTGATGGTTAGAGCCTTAGCTCTGGAATCTGGTGAGGTGGGTTTTGGGTCTGGGGCACACTACTCACTAACTGTGAGACTTGGGCAAGTTGGTTAGACTCTCATCTGTGGGAAGGGAACAACAGCAGCACCTATTGAGTGTAACAGTGCCCAGCAGATAGTAAATGATTGTTAAATCTTATTAGCTAAAAAGAAAACAAGCATTGGCAGCAGTGGAACATTTTCTGAAGTAGGCCTGGTGGCTAAAACAACGTATAAAATACTTGTTTCACTCTTCCCTGGCTGGCTGGGGAGAAAGGATATATCCACACGTATGTTTATGTAAACATATATAATAAGTGATGTGGCACATGTGTGAGAGGACGAGGAGTCAAGGAAGTCCTGTCAAGGAGACAGACAGGAGCTTGGCCTTAGAGGAGAAGCAGGAGCCAGATGAGCTGACCACAGGCAGAGGGCATGCTCAGGGCTGTCATAGAAAGTCTTCTTTAATTAATTTATTTATTTTGAGATGGAGTCTCGCTCTTTTGCTCAGCCTGGAGTGCAGTGGTGCGATCTCAGCTCACCGCAACCTCTGCCTCCCAGGTTCAAGTGATTCTCATGCCTCAGCCTCCCAAATAGCTGGGATTACAGGCACATGTCACCAAGCCCTGCTAATTTTTTGTGTTTTTTAGTAGAGACTGGGTTTACCATGTTGGCCAGGCTGGTCTCAAACTCCTGACCTCAAGTGATCCGTCCGCCTTGGCCTCCCAAATTGCTGGGATTACAGGTGTGAGCCACTCTGCCTGGCTTATTATTATTTTTTTGAGATACCATCTCACTCGGTCACCCAGGCTGGAGTGCAGTGGTGTGATCATGGCTCACTGCAGCCTCAACTTCCTGGGTTCAAGCAATTCTCTCGTATCAGTCTCCTGAGTAGCTAGGACTGCAAACATGGGCCACCACAATGGCAATTTAAAAATTTTTTTTTTTTTTGTAGAGACAGGGTCTCACTATATTGCCCAGGCTGGTCTTGAACTCCTGGTCTCAAACGATCCTCCCACTCACCCTCCCAAAGTGCTGGGATTATAGGCATTAGCCACCACACCTGGCGACTGATGTTTTACCTTAACTGAATATTTTCAGTTTGGTCATTTGAAAATAAAAATTTGTTGCTAGTTTAAAAATACTTATTTTCTTTAACTGAACTAAATACTTTGTCAAGTGCAGAATGGAAATAATCTGCCACAACAAAATAAAAAACTATTTATGCACCTATATGTGCCTAGTTTTCTTTGGGGATAATATAATTAGATATGATTCTTGGCTTTAAGATCAGTAAAAACTCAGCCATCCAAGTTTATATATAGTTTAATAAATCATACTTAAGGAAAGGTGTGTGGTTCAATGTAGTCCAGGGGAAATATGATCGTAATTTCAAGTAAGGTGGTGGCAATGAAGAGAGGGAGAAGTGTATAGATTCAAGATCTTCATAGACAGTCTATTTTATACATAACATATTGTGAGAACAAGCTATTTGGTAACATTTTCCAAATAACTCTTCTCTACAGGCAATAAAGGTATTTGATGCTCTACTGTAACCAGAAACTATATCAAAAGACAGTAAAAAAGTAAAAATAAAAACCTCAAAACACTGACATACTATGAGTAGAACTACTAGAATGTCTCCTTTGGAATCCTCCTTATTCATATATTCAAAAAATTAAAATGTTTCCTGCTGTGTGCCATGTGCGATGTGTTAGGAACTGTATGTACTAAACCGTTTTGTTTCCTGCTGTCATGGAGAATGACAGATAATAAAAAAGTAAGCAAGTAGATCACTGTATAATTACACATTGATCCATTTACTCATTCACGAAATAATTATTGAGCACTTATTATGTGCGTTTTGGAATACAATAAAGAGCAAAAATACACTGGCCCCTCTCTTCATAGTGTTTACTGTCTGAGGGAAGAGATGCCTTACTCAAGGAGCCACACTAGAGAAGGTGAAGTTGCACCTAGGCTAAGAGCTATGAAGGAGTATATAACAAGGAAATGCGATCTCACAAGGAGGTCAAGGGAGGCTTCCCTGAAGACATTGAGAATCAATGGAGAACTGAAGGATGAGGAAGAGTTAGCTAGGCAAAGGGAGGGAGAAGAGACCATTCTAAACAGAGGGAACAGCATGTGGCAAAGGCCATGGTATGTCCTAGAGGCTGCAAGATGGTTAGTGTGGCTGCAAGAGGAAGATGAACCCATGGAGGAGACAGAGAGGGAGCAGCCGGAGGTGAACAAGCAAACCCAGAGAGGACTGGACATGGAGGCCATGGGAGGAGATGGTTTCAAAAAGGAGGTCATGGACAGCAGAGGCAAATGCTGCTGAGAGGTTAATACGAGAACCTAAAAATGTCTCCTGGATTTCACAACATGTAGATCATCAGTGAGCTCAGTGGAATGACAGGCCAGAAGCCAGAATGACATGGCTTGAGAGTGAGTGGAAGATGAGGAAATGTAGAGATCAAGAGCATTGATTAGGAATTGCACTTGGCCACATGTAATGGAATCTGCTGATGATAGCCTTACTATATTGGGTTATTTCTCTCACATAACAAGAATGACAGAGGTTGACAGTTCAGGCTGGTGCAGTGACTCCACAATGTCATCACTGTTCTAGAATCCTTCTGTCTTTCTGCACTGTCATCCTCAGTATGTGGCTTTTTTTTTTTTCCATTGTGAAAGCAAGAAGGCTGCTAATTCTCAAATCAGTGTTTCAGATAGGAAGAAGGAAGAAACATCAAGGGGGAAAGGTCTGGTGCTATATCAGGAAAGCAAACATTTGCTATAAATTCCCAGCTGACTTCAGCTCACACATCATTGGCCAGAACTGTGTCACATGGCCACTCCTAGCTGCAAGGGAGGCCAGGAAATGTAGTTCTTTAGCTGGACCCATTGCTGCTCCCCTCCCACAAATCAGTTTTTGTTAGAAAGAAGGGGAAGTGGATTTGGGGAAAGTAAATACAGCAGCTAAACAGCAAGTACAAATCACACATTCAAAAAGTGTGTCCATAAAGGGAAGGAGAGAGATGAGATGATAGTTGGAAGGGGATGTGGGACTGAATGACTTCTTTAAAAATGGGAATGAGGCCGGCGTGGTGCCTCATGCCTGTAATCCCAGCACTTTGGGAGGCTGAGGTGGGCAGATCACCTGAGGTCAGGAGTTTCAGACCAGCCTGGCCAACATGGTGAAACCCCATCTCTACTATAAATCCAAAATTAGCTGGCATGGTGGTGGCACCTGTAATCCCAGCTACTCAGGAGGCTGAGGTAGGAGAATCACTTGAACCCAGGAGATGGAGGTTGCAGTGAGCCGAGATTGTGCCATTGCACTCCAGCCTGGGCGACAAGAGCAAAACTCTGTCTCAAAAAAAATTAAATAAATAAATAAATAAAAATGGGAATGACTTAAATGTATTTAGAGCTCAATTAGGAGGATCTAATCAAGGTGGGTGGAGAGAGATTGAAAGTAAAAGAGCAGAAAAGGATAACTGATAAAGTAGTGCTCCTTAGAAGCAGGGAGGGAATGGACTCTAAATCAGGAAGAAAGGATTAACATTAAAGAGCAATCAGTATAAATTCTCTATTGTAACAACAGGAAGGAGGAAAGGTAGGCTTATATGTTTTATATTGAGAAGATGGGCTTCTATTTCCTCTACAATGTAGGAGGTGAGGTTAGCTCTTGCCAGTGAGAGGGTAAGAGGGGGTGGTCAGAGATTTGAGAAGTTAAAGTTGGAAATCACTGGCGTGGAGAGTGATGAGTCATTTGAACTGAGACATTTAGCAGCAGACATTTCTATGATGATAATGATATGAACTGTCATATTTCCCTAGTGGACCAGTGACTGTCATGAAAGGTCTTTAAAAGTACCTAATTGATGGAATCAAACACTTACTGAACATAATGAATTTTCCATGTTCTACCTAATAAAAGCCTAATTGTCCATGTTCCTGTTGAACAAAAGAGTTTTTTCTCTATACTGCTCAGGGAAGAACAGTTTAGTAATCTTTAACTGCTAGAGAAATGTATTCATGGAGACTAAAGTATTATGCAAAAATGAAAAGTCAGAAAATCCAGGAACAAGCTGTACCACATGTACAGAATCTTTGGATTTTTGAGAAACGGGGAAAAAATTGAAGAAGTGTGTATTTGTGTGTGAAGGGCACAAACGTAAGGACAAGTTGGAATAGAGCAAAATTATAATAATCATATATTCTGGAATACTTTTGTAAAGCCAAAATTATCTTTCAGTACTTTTTTAGTCCATCAGGAATGGATCTGGAATGTCTAAATTGGTGTGTGTGTATATAAATTACTGCATCTTCTTACATCCTAACAAATTCCAATTCAACCTGAACTTGAGATGAGAAGTCTGAAAGTACCTTATAATTAAAGCTCTAGGCATATTCAACTGTGTCTTGAGGAGATACATTATCTGAGTTTGTGGGGAGTTATGTCCCCTTGACAAAATCTACCGTGTTTCTTAAATTGAGAAATCCAATTATCTGATTGTTTTTAAATGAGTGTATTGAAGATTAAAAAGGGATAAAGAGAAAAACAGAATCAATATTTAGCTTTTACTGACAATATAAAAGATGATTGCATTAGTTTGTTCTCGCATTGCATAAAGAACTACCTGAGACTGGGTAATTTATAAAGAAAAGAGGTTTACTTGGCTCACAGTTCTTCAGGCTGTACAGGAAGCATGGCTGGGGAGGCTTCAGGAAACTTACAATCATGGTAGAAGGCGAAGGGGAAGCAGGCACATCTTACATGGCTGGAGCAGGAGAGAGAGCAGAGGGAGGTACTACACACTTATAAACAACCAGATCTCAGGCGTGGTGGCTCATGCCTGTAATCCCAGCACTTTGGGAGGCCCAGGCAGGTGGATTGCTTGAGGCCAGGAATTCAAGACCATCCTAGGCAAGATGGCAAAACCCATCTCTATTAAAAAAAAAAAATGAAGAACAACCAGATCTCATAAGAACTCACTCACTATCATGAGAACAGCAAGGAGGAAATCTGCCCCCATGATCCGATCACCTCCCAGGAGCCCCCTCCTTCAACACTGGGGATTACAATTTGACCTGAGATTTGGGCGGGTATATAAATCCAAACCATTATCAATAATGAACTTGTTTCATTTAATTATTTTTTCAGAAGTAATCTTAGGTCACTTTTTCTTGTGCTACATTAATTATTTTATAAGTACACATCTTATAGCCAAAGCAGTTATGAAAGGAGATACCAATATAGTTAAACTGTATTTGGGAGATTTTTTTAAAAGAATGTTTAAATTTTAATGTAACTGCTCCCCATTGCTGCTAAGGCAGATGCAGTAAGAAATCACTGGAAAAAGGCAGGGTTCAATCATTCCATAGCTCAAGTCCAAGCAACATGGAAAATCAGAAGGGAAAATGGGTGTGACAAACACTAGAATTTTTTAAAATGACTTTGTATTGTGCTATTTAAAATGCTTTATCTACAAAAGACCTACACCCTCCCTGTCTAATGGAGTAATTTCTACTTCATTTCTTTCATCTAAAATATTGATACCCAATTGGAACCCAGTCCATGAAACTGGACTTTTTCAAGCCCCCGACTTCAAAAAATTCTTTTGCCAAATTAATTAGTTGCATTTGATAGTGACACATAACATTCTCTTCTTCTGCTATTAGAAATGGAATTTTATCTAGATTTAATTTGTAATTTTAACCAATTCTGTCATTAGAAGTTTCCATTTGCAGCATTAAAAGCAAATTCTATTTCTGATTATATTTCAAAAGGTCAGAGCCTTCTCTTAATGTGTTTTTCTGTTTGCTGGTCTCTTTTTTTTCACATATTTGTTGTCAACTGATATGTCTGAATGTCTTTTCAGTTAAGTATTTATCCTAATAACTGATCATGACAATACATCTGGCCACAGGATTCATACTACTACAATGTTAGACCAGATTCGTCTAAGTATTGGGGTGTTGGGGTAGCTTTGCCCAACTAAGTAAATATCTAGCCTCTTGTTAGGTGTTGTTACAATCACAAAAGTAGGCCTTTATGGAAGTTCCATTCCTAGTTGGACAGATGAAAGATAAATCCCTGAAACAACTGGCAAATAATTTGAGGAAAATCAATCCATACATGTGAAACTATAGTGGGCATCAACCTATTGCTTTTGCCTGTCTAACCTTGATTCCTGCCTCTTCCACTGACAGCGCACTGATAGTCCTTTAGGAATCCATCCCTTCCCACTCTTGGTCCATTTGGCTTGGGTGGGGCTATCCCACTCCTTAGATCCAGAATGAGCGTGCAATTCATGCCTGGCTCATCTTTGCATTTCATCCACTTGGCAATAGTGATTGGCTTCAAGATGAGAACATGACTCAAGAGAGTCCAATCAGAACTCATCCCGAGACTTGCTGGAATTATTTAAAAAGCAAAACTCTCTGTCTTCTCGGGTTATTAAGCTAGAAAGGTATAATTCTGGGGCCACTGGTAGACATCTTGCCTCTACCTATAGAAAACCTGCTTGAGAGTGAAGCCAAGGATTTTATATCTAGCAAAATGGACTCAAATATAAAGGACACAGACAAACTGCTATCAGGAAATATGTTGTCCTGTGCCTTTCCTCAGGAATATATTAAAGAATGGGTTTCAGGCCATCAAAATGACTAGAAAGACATCAACATAACGACTGGGGGGTGGGGGTGAACATTAAATATACAATTACTTATAGAACTAAGACAAATGAGCATGGAAAGAGAGAGTATAGCGTGTAATGGCTACATGCTCTGTTTAGTGAAGTTAAAGAACAGATGATTTTAAGTGGGGGAAATGGAGATAGCATAGGCAAAAAGATGTAGCTTTTTTCAGGAAACACATCAGTGATGGTACTGTTAGTGTTGCTAACAGCATTGAAACTATGAGTTATTCTATCATTCCTTGTGTTCTTGAGAATCAGGATTCTTGGTGTAAAAGAAAGAAGATACAAATGTAATATAGAAGAGGGTAAGTAAAAATGCTGAGTCCTGAATTTGAATTGGAAGTGTGTGTCTGCACGAATTTTTGAGATGCTTTATCTTTAAAAACTAGATATACATTTCCAAGGCCTGTGTACTGAAAAGGCCTAAAAGCATTGATCGCCCTAGAAGCAATAAGCATCCCTAGCACCTAGATCGTTGTCTTGAAATACCATCTCTCATACTGGTTGGGAAATGGCCTCTAACCTGATCCCCTAAGGGCCCTGCTACTGCCCAGCCCTTCTCTAGAGATCCTCAAGAAACCCACACATTAAAACATTAATACGTAGTACTGTAGGGGGGCATTCAGGACCTTTCTCCAGCCCTGTGGCTGGTGTCCATTCTGACTAGTTGGTTTCCATACCCACAGCCATGTTCCTTCCAACTGAATATCCTCCCACCCTCATCATCATGAACATAAATATCATTTATTGAACAAAATGTACAGAATATCCTCTATATGCTAGATACTTACACTTGTCATGCAGCATGCTAGGATAGGTTGGGGATGGGTAGGACATAGAGCCTGGGAGAAGGCTGCAGTGGGAGAGCCATCATTGGAAAAGGCGGACTCTCTCTTAGCTGGAAAGACTAGAAGTCTTCACACCCAGTCCTAGGGAGAGTGGCCAAACTCCACACAGGCAATGGCACACAAAGGATGCGGGTGGTAGCATCTGACTTTGGGAACTCTGGGCAATTGTCATGGTAACAGGGGTCTCCCTGGAGTCTGACAAATTGGAAGTAAGGGCACCTGGAAGAGGAGTCCAGCAGTGGAGATGCCAGGTGAGAGGACAGCACAAGCTTCGGCAGGCCAGCTTCCTACTGGGTCAAGTCCTCAAAATGCCAGCTCCCGGAGGCAAAGGGAATCTTAGATGTTAGATCTTCAAAAGTCAAGGACCCTGACATGCTGCCCAAGGAAACTGTGTCTGGATAATGCTGCCCATGTCAAGAGTTAGGTTATCTTGCTTATGTCTAGCTTGGGATGCCTAGTGCAAGATAAAAATTCAATTTCTATATTTTACTTACCACCGTGAATATTTCTATGTTCTACTTATTGCTATGAATATTTCTATTGTCTACTTACCACTTTGGAGACAGTATTATTATGCTTACTGGGGCAGGCAGTAATAATAACACTACCATTTATTGCACCATACCACATGCCACATATTGTTCCAGATACTTTTTTTTTTTTTTTTTGAGATGGAGTCTTGCTCTGTCACCCAGGCTGGAGTGCAGTGGCACAATCTTGGCTCACTGCAAGCCCCGCCTCCCGGGTTCACGCCATTCTCCTGCCTCAGCCTCCCGAGTAGCTGGAACTATAGGCGCCCGCCACCATGCCCGGCTAATTTTTTGTATTTTTAGTAGAGGCGGGGTTTCACCATGTTAGGCAGGATGGTGTCAGTCTCCTGACCGTGATCCGCCCGCCTCGGCCTCCCAAAGTGCTGCGATTACAGGCGTGAGCCACCGCGCCCGGCCTGTTCTAGATACTTAATGAAATGTATTTCATCCTAGATACTTAACGAACTATATCTTATTTTATCCTTACAACAGCTCTTTCAACTAGGTATTCTTCTTTGCATTTACAGAAGAGGAAACTGAGCCTGGCTCAGTAATATTTGCCCAAAGTCACATAGTTGATAAATAACAAAGTCAGGATTCCTGCCATTATGTCACATTGTTCCAGTAAGGTGTTGAACTCTTAATGACTGTCACTTAAATAATGGCTGAGCTGGTCTGCTGCTTTTAGTTAGCAAAACTGGGATTGCAGCCCATTTCTCAGAATCTGTTGCTAGAATGACAAGACCATGCTGCCCTCTATCAGCTTCAATGACTGCAGTCACCTGTCATTGTATATCATAAACATTGTAGCCCACACATGTATACACAAAAATTGATACAAAAATATGAACCTAATTTGTGGTAGTATCAGTCACTTCTTCTATAACCTGTCTTTTAAAAACATAATTTTTCTTCTAGAGAAGTAAAAGAGTGGCTGGGTGTAGTGGCTTATGCCTGTAATCCCCACATTTTGGGAGGCCAAGGCAGGAGGATTGCTTGAGTCCAGAAATTTGAAACCAGCCCAGGCAACATACTGAGTCCCCCATCTCTAAAAAAAAAAAAAAAAAAAAAATTAGCTGGGTATGGTGGTGTGTGCCTGTAGTCCCACCTATTTGGGAGGTTGAGGTGGGAGGATTGTTTGAGCTGGGGAGGTCAAAACTTCAGTGAACCGTGATTGCATCACTACATTCCAGCCTGGGAGACAGAGGAAGACCCTGTCTCAAATATATATGTATGATACAATCATATATATAATGATACATATACAAAATACATATTTTATATATTATATATTTTATTATATGCTATATGTAATATATATAATAAAAATTCCTTCTGAACCAGTTTTGTGGAAAAAATAAAGAAATAAAATTTAAAGTTAAAAGAGTGGAAAAACCCAAATTGCTTCTTTACTTCTTCTTTTTTTACTTTTTGTAGAGACAGGAGTCTCACTATTTTGCCCTGGCTGTTCTCAAATTCCTGGCTCAGACAATCCGCCCACCTCAGCCTCCCAAAGTACTGAGATTACAGGCATGAGTCACCGCACCAGGTCAAAATGGGGTTTGAGGCTGTACCCAGTTTAATTCCACAGTCTATCCATCAATTACAGTCTATACACTCCTTCAAAAAATAAATAAAACATTTCAAGTTAAATTCTGACCCTTTTCTAAAGTCTCAAAGGATTTTAAAAGTAGATAGGATTTTAAAATGTATGTTTTGGCCAGGTATGGTGGCTCATGCCTGTAATCCCAGCACTTCGGGAGACTGAGGTGCGTGGATCACCTGAGGTCAGGAGTTCAAGACCAGCCTGGCCAACATGATGAAACCCCATCTCTACTAAAAATATAAAAATTAACCAGGCGTGGTAGTGGGCACATGTGATCCCAGCTACTCGGGAGGCTGAGGCAGGAGAATCGCTTGAGCCCCGGAGATAGAGGTTGCAAGTGCACTCTGGCCTGGGCAACAGAACAAGACTCTGTCTTGAAAAATAAATAAAATAAAATAAAATAAAATAAAATAAAATAAAATAAAATAAAATAAAATATATGTTTTTATCATTTTTTCCTCCTGGTTATAGTTGGTGGATGTCAAGTCACCAGTACTCTGGAATTGATTTAATATGATCTGATTGCACTATTTGCTCCCCACAATACTTTTTTTGTGGTCACTTACTCTAAAGTAGGATAATTTCACAGATTAAGATTTACTGAGTTGTATTTTGAGCCAGCTGGCAAATTATTCGTTTTAATTCATCTAGTTAGATAATTCGCATTTTAAAGTATTTTTTTTTTTTGTAATTGCTACTTCAAACTTTTTGGATCTTGACAGTTATTCACCTTCCTAGCAAAAAACTGTTTCACATTTTGATATATTTTAATTAAAAATACCTATATCCTATTTATAAGAGACACAAATAAAACAAAATGTCGGCTGGGGGCGGTGGCTCACGCCTGTAATCCCAGCATTTTGGGAGGCCAAGCCGGGCGGATCACTTGAGGTCAGGAGTTTGAGACCAGCCTGGATAACGTGGTGAAACCCTGTCTCTACTAAAAATACAAAAATTTTAGCCCGGCGTGGTGGCACATGCCTATAATCCCAGCTACTTGACAGGCTGAGGCAGGAGAATTGCTTGAACTCTGGAAGCGGAGGTTGCAGTGGGCTGAGATAGCGCCATTGCACTCCAGCGTGGGTGACAGACCGAGACTCTGTCTCAAAAACAAAACAAAAAAAAACAACAAGAAAAAACAAAAATTAGCCAGGCGTGGTGGTGGGCGCCCAAAATCCCAGCTACTCAGGGGGCTGAGGCAGGAGAATTGCTTGAACTCTGGAAGCAGAGGTTGCAGTGGGCTGAGATAGTGCAATTGCACTCCAGCCGGAGTGACAGACCAAGACTCTGTCTCAAAAACAAAACAAAACAAAACAAACAAACAAACAAACAAAAAATTAGCCGGGCGTGGTAGCGGGCACCCCAAATCCCAGCTACTCGGGAGGCTGAGGCAGAAGAATCACTTGAACCCGGGAGGCGGAGGTTGCAGTGAGCCGATCGTGCCATTGCACTGTAGCCTGGGTGACAAAGCGAGAGTCGGTTTCAAAAAAAAGAAAAAAAAATCAAGGAAAAAGTTAAAAATAAAGGGATGGAAAAAGATTCAGTAGGAAAATACTAACGAAAAGGCAGATATAGCACTTTTATACTTATTAGTCTATTTGGATAATATTCAATATAGCAGCATTACAGTATCACCCATAGATAGCTGTTTTATGGACTAAGTAATCCGAGAAAAAAAAAACAGGTAATAGAGAGGATTTTCTAAGCCCACTCTATGACCCTTGCCTTATTCCTACCCCATTGGCTATTGCATCCTGCACAATTCAATAGGCTCTCACTTCCAGTTTCCCCAGTACTTTTACATACACTTCCAATAGACGCTGGACACATCCAGAGTCCATTCTTCAAGTCTTTCCTTCAAAATCCAGCACTGAATAAAACCAACTACACCTGCAACTTGGGCTCAACGCACCTTAAAGTCAATACCTTAATCTTCGCCCATGCCCAGTGATACCTCAGCTTGGCCTTGGCCCCTCGCAAGCCTACCCACATGAACTCCAGGTGGATTCCATCACAGACCTGAACTCAGGCTGAATCTCCATCTAGTGAGAGGCTTCTCAGGATCCTGGATCTCAACAGTCTGTTGAGACCTCCAACCCTGAACTCTGGCCTCAGCACCTGGGCTCTGAGCTTTTTCTCCTCTGTGCATGATTTAAGAGCCCACCCAACTGTGGTGGTTCTTCCTCCTTTCCCCCTCAACTCCAATTACATGTATACCCAGGCTTACTTTTCCTAAATACATATTATGCTGAATGTTACCCTCTTATTCTGTGGTAAGCACTCAATCACCAACTGTAGTTGGTGTTTTTTTTTTTTTTTTTGAGACGGAGTCTCACACTGTCGCCCAGGCTGGAGTGCAGTGGCGCAGTCTCGGCTCACTACAAGCTCCGCCTCCCAGTTTCACGCCATTCTCCTGGCTGAGCCTCCCGAGTAGCTGGGACTACAGGCGCCTGCCACCATGCCCAGCTAATTCTTTGTATTTTTAGTAGAGACAGGGTTTCACTGTGTTAGCCAGGATGGTCTCGATCTCCTGACCTCGTGATCCGCCCCCCTCAGCCTCCCAAAGCGCTGGGATTACAGGCGTGAGCCACCACGCCCGGCCCCACCAACTCTAGTTTTTTTTTTTTTTTTAAAGTTTTGACTATGATCCACGGTTAAAAAAATATATATATTTTTTACATTGTGACAAGGTATAAAGTTTTCCCTAAATAATACTTAATCCCTTACCATGTGGCAATGCAATCTGATTATTTTCTTTTTTATTCTATTTTTAAAAGTCAGCTACTAAATTGATTTCATTAACCACTAAGGGGTCCAGACCCTCAGTTTAAAAACACTTGATCTAGAGAGACTCCTCCCTCCCCCCAACACTTTGTTGGTATATTGTTGATCAGAACCAGGTCAGATATATGAAAGCATATCTAAAGCAATCACTGCCTTGTTTCCTGGATTTTCTAAGGAGGCATCCTTAACTATAGGACAACAGTCCCCAGGGTGTAAAAGATATACTTTCAGTACTATTGTTGTTGGAAATGGTGGAGACTTATTTAAAGCCTTCTAGAAAATATTCGCAATTTGAAATCTTATTAAAGAACGCAGGATTGAAAGTGAGGCAACCCAGGTCCTTGTCTCATCCTGCCACTCATCAATGGGAGATAAATCACCCAGCCTCTCTGAACCAAGGAGTCTCGATCTAGAGGATTGTATATAAATCTGATGATGATTCATTCACTCATTGATTTGATCATTCATTTGACAAATGCTTCAGTAACTACGTACCAGGAAGGTAGAGACCTGGCCGTCACGGCTCATCTGACAATTCAAGCTGAGAGAGCCCCAAATTTATCACCCATTGTATGTCATCATATGCCCAGGTTCTTCATCAAATTCATGATTCATCATTCACCACAGGGGAATAAGCTGCTTCCTATAAGTGCATTACCCAGAAAAATTATGTTCATTTATATAAACCATTTAATAAAAATCTCTCTAAGATGTTTAAATACTATATTGTATCTAATTTCATTAATGGTTTAATTAATTCTAACGGGAGCCTACTTTTATTTAAATTTTATGAATTCTTATGGAAGTTTAATTTTAAATGTCCAAAATGTAATTTTTGCTCTAATTGTTCTACTTTTTTGCGTGGTGGGGGCGGGGTGGGGGACGGACAGAGTCTTGCTCTGTCGCCCAGGCTGGAGTGCAGTGGTGTGATCTTGGCTCACTGCAACCTCTGCCTCCTGGGTTCAAGCAATTCTCATGCTTCAGCCTCCTGAGTAGCTGGGATTATGGGCATGTACCACCTCGCCCAGCTAATTCTTGTGTTTTTAGTAGAGACAGGGATTTGCCATATTGGCCAGGCTGGTCTCAAACTCCTGACCTCAGGTGATTCACTCGCCTCAGCCTCCCAAATATTTTCTTTTCTTCTCCACCATTTGTTAACTCCTTTGGTTGAACTGTAACACCACCAGATGAGTTCTCGCAGTAAATGGTAAGAATATTACTAAAAGCCATTCCTACAGCAACACAGGCAGTGATGATTTAACTTTACACAAGAAAGATTGTGAACTACGTAAACTATCACACAAAACCCAAATCAGATGTAGCCCCCAATCCCCAATTCAGCATTATCGCAAAAATGTCCACAGCCACTCCAGTGCCACTTGATAAGAGGGTATGTGTGATGGAGGAGGAGCCAGGGTGATGAGACCACAGTCTTAACTGATTGCCAGTTTTACAGAGACACACGGCTGCATGAACACATCATGAGGGAGCCCCACTCTCAAGCTTTGGAAGGAGCTTGGACAAGTCAAGGGGCCCTTGCTTTACTAGCTTCATGGTAAATCTGCTCCTACACATATCATTTATGGAATGAAGGAGTGAGTATGGTGAGGCAATCATGAGCATGGCTCCAGAGCTAAATGAGTCTGTGTTTTTATTTTTAATTCCACCATTTACTAGCTGTTAGCAAATTATTTTCTCTGTGCCTCAGTTTTCAATCTGTGAAAAGGGGATAATAATATTTATCACATAGGGCTGTTCTGAATTATTAAAAGATGTAATATATAAAGTGTGTTAAAAATAAGAGCAATACTTATGTGGAGATGATGATGATGACTATGCTGTATCAAATATGATAAATTCTCAAGGGCTGTTGAGGGGTTGAATAGTTTTTGATGCTATAATAAATATTCTCAAACAACTGTGACTTTTGAGTTCCTTTGACTTGGTTTTTGTTTCCAAAATTTTCAAGATTCTGCAATAAAATCTGGCAGAAAAATGACTTAAAGAAGTTTCTAGGCTGGGTACAGTGGCTCACATCTGTAGTCCCAGCACTTTGGGAGGCCAAGGCAGGAGGATCATTTGAGGCCAGGAGTTTGAGAACAGCCTTGGGCAACATAGCAAGACCTTGTCCCTATTAAAAATTAAAAAAAAAAAAAAGCCAGGTATGGTGGTATGCACCTATAGTCCCAGCTATTCTGGAGGCTGAGGTGAGAGAATCACCTCAGCCCAGGAAGCTGAGGCTGCAGGGAGCCACGATCACACCACTACACTCCAGCCTGGGCAACAGAGCGAGACCCTGCCTGCCCTGCCCATCCCCCCCATTAAAAAAATATTCTATTTTGAGCAGAGAAGTACCACAAACAAACAAGTAGTCAAGGCAGAAAAAAATGGCAAAACTTAAGAAAATATTTTCATATTCCCAGGATCCAGTGATACAACTATACAGTTGACCCTTGAGCAATGAGAGACTTCAGACACCAACCCCCAGCACGGCTGATAATCTGTGTATAACTTTTGACTCTCCCAAAATTTAACTATTAATAATAGACAACTGTTAACCAGAAGCCTTATCTATAACATAGTTGATTAACACAAATTTTGTATGTTATATGCATTATATACTGTCTTCTTACAATAAAGTAAGCTAGTGAAAAGAAAATGTTACTAAGAAAATCATAAGGTGGCTGGGCGCAGTGGCTCACGCCTGTAGGCCGAAGTGGGTGGATCACTTGAGAGCAGGTGTTCGAGACCAGTCTGGTCAACGTGGTGAAACCCCGTCTCTACTAAAAATACAAAAATTAGCTGGGCATGGTGGTGCACACCTGTAATCCCAGCTACTTGGGTGGCTGAGGCATGAGAATCACTTGAACCCGGCAGGCGGAGGTTGCACTGAGCTGAGATCTTGCCACTGCACTCCAGCCTGGGCAACAGAGTGAGAGTCTGTCTCAAAAAAAAAAAAAAAAAAAAAGAAAAGAAAAAACCACAAGGAAGAGAAAGTTTACTATTCATTAAGTGGAAGAGGATCTTCACAAAGGTCTTCGTCCTTGTCATTTTCACGTTGAGTGGGCTGAGAGGAGGAGGAAGAGGAGGAGTTGGTCTTGCTGTCTCGGGGTGGCAATTTTGTGAGTTTTTTCAAATTGTTGCAAATCTTTAAAAAATTTTCCAATATATTGATTGAAACAAATAGGCATCTAAGTAGACCAGCACAGGTCCAACCTGTGCTGTTCAAGAGCCAACTGTAAGTTTCATGCTATTGTCAATTAATTCCAATGGCTGTGATTTCCCTTAGCTTGCTCTCTGCTCTGTGGCCTCCTATCCATCTTGTATTAACTGGAGTCCTTTGCACAATGTTAGCTCTAATTTCCATGAATTTTCCTATTCTATGTCCCTTTGTAAAACCTTCCTTTGTTTTGCATCACCAAAAGGTATGGTAGCAGGAAAAGCTTAGGATGGGAGAAACATTCTACCACCACTTCTTGGCTCTGTGTAGAGTGGCTTCCTCACTTCCCTATCAGAGTTTTGCTCGTGTTTGGAAGTGGCCAGATGCTACACTTAGGCATCTTGGAATGCTAGCAGCCCCCGATTGCCTGCTCATTGGTCCAGATACTTCGAGCACTGTCCCAAAAAGTTTTTTAGAAAGGAGAGTTGTAGATGTTCCTTATTGATATATATATATAATTTATTATAAATATATAATATTATATTATAAAAATTTTATTTATAGACTACAAATTATTATATATGTGGTATATATATTTCAGTGTCCAGCAGATAAATAAATTTACTGTTTTGAGAAGCTGAAGAAGTGACATTTACTATTAATGTTCTGTTTCTAGAAGCACAGATGAAAATCTTTGCTTTGGAGAAAAGTTGCCAAAACAAAACCCACAAAATGCAAATGACACACAGGAATCCATCAATTGTTCTTGGAGACAACTGTGAAGACAACTGCAGGCAGTTGTAAAGTATCTGAAGGTTTAAAATGTTCAGCCTTCCATTCAGGGATGTAAGTTAGAAGTATCATTAGCAGGACTATGCGCTTTTAGAGTGAGAGACTTTAACAAGTTTTTTTCGCTTTTCTAATTGCCAGTGTAGGCTGGAGTGTCTCTGAAAGTGACGGTTCTTGGAAGATGTAGGTGTATTTTTGTTAAAGCATTTGCTCATGGGAGATTGTAAGACTAGACCATAGGCAGGATTATGTGTAGGTCTGAACTAGTCTTCCTCCTGCGCTAAGAGAAAAGCTCCTTCCTCCTATGCTAGCCAAGAAGACTTAGACTGGTTTGGTCAGGTACTGTATGGAATATATTGCAGCGTGGGGTGAGAGTGCGGCATCCCACACGTGGTATTATTTGAGACTGAACAATTGGCTTTGGAAATATTATCTTGGCCATATGGAGCCAGACTGTGTTTGAGAGTATCCTGAATACATAAAGAACTCTCAAAACCCAATAAGAAGAAGACAAGCAACCCAAATTTTTTTTAAAAATGGGCAAAAGATTTCAAAAAACTTTTTTTTTTTTTTTTTTGAGACTGAGTCTCGCTCTGTCGCCCAGGCTGGAGTGCAGTGGCACGATCTGGGCTCACTGCAAGCTCCGCCTCCCGGGTTCATGCCATTCTCCTGCCTCAGCCTCCTGAGTAGCTGGGACTACAGGCACCCACAACCACGTCCGACTAATTTTTTGTATTTTTAGTAGAGACGAGGTTTCACCGTGTTAGCCAGGATGGTCTTGATCTCCTGACATCGTGATCCGCCCGCCTCGGCCTCCCAAAGTGCTGGGATTACAGGCGTGAGCCACCGCGCCTGGCTGGCTCACACCTCTAATCCTAGCACTTTGGGAGGCTGAGGTAGGAGAATTGCTTGGGCCCAGGAGTTGAAGACCAGCCTAGGCAACAAAATGAGACTCTGTCTCTACAAAAACATCAAACAATTAGCCAGTCACCCTGCTGCATACCTATGGTCCCAGCTACACGAGAGACTGAGGGAGGAGGATCACTTGAGCCCCGGAGGTGGTGCCTGCAGTGAGCCATGTTCATGCCACTGCACTCCTGCCTGGGTGACAGAGCAAGAGCCTGTTTCAAAAAAAAAAAAGTGCTGTTTATTATATATCAATAATACCTGAGTAGACAGCGTTTCAGTGGTCCTACAGATCTGTCTCTTACTTCAGCAGGGTTTGGACAGAAAAGACCTGGGGACTCATAAATAAATAAATAAAATAAAAAAAGAATATCCGAGTAAAGCTGTTAAAAATAGCATATTTCCCTTTAGGAGGTCGAGGCAGGTGGATCACCTGAGGTCAGGAGTTCATGATCAGCCTGACCAACAAGGCAAAACCCCGTCTCTACAAAAAATAGGAAAATTAGCCGGGCGTCATGGCAGGTGCCTGTAATCCCAGCTACTCGGCAGGCTGAGGCAGGAGAATCGCTTGAACCTGGGAGGTCGAGGTTGCAGTGAGCTGAGATCGCACCACTGTACTCCAGCCTTGGTGACAGAGCGAGACTCCATCTCAAAAAAAACAAAACAAAACAAAACAAAAAAAACAAAACAAAAAAACAAAACAAAACTATGTAGAATTTTGCAACTTTACTTTCTCTTAAAAAAATTTTTTTTGGCCTGGCATGGTGGCTCATTCCTGTAATCCCAGCACTTTAGGAGGCTGAGGCAGGAGGATCAGTTAGGGCCAGGAGTTTGAGACTAGACTGGACAACATAATAAAACCTTGTCTCTACAAAATATATATATTTTTAATTTTTTAAGGTTTTCTTTTTTTGTTTTTTTAGGTCTAACATATATAGTATTCGGTTTCCTCTTAACCAGATCCTATAAAAGGCCCACAGCCACTCCAGTGCCTTCACAGACAGGGAGAGTAGAAAGAAGTAGAAGTAGCAAAAGTCTTAACTGATTGCTCTTTAAGTATTAAAATTTGGGGGGGAAGCCAAGTCCAGAGGATCCCTTAGCCCAGGAGTTCGAGGCCAGCCTGGGCAACACAAAGAGGCTCTATCTTTATAAAAAATAATTTAACAAAATTAATCGAGTGCAGGTGCAGATGCGCCTGTAGTCTCAGCTGCTTGGGAGGTTGAGGCAGGAGGATCACTTGAGCCCAAGAGTTCCAGGCTTCTGTGAGCTTTGATTATACCACTGCACTCCAGCCTGGATGACAGAGCAAGACCCAGTCTCTAAACTGAGAAAGAAAGATAAAAAGAGAAAATATTTACAAATTTTACAAAAACATACGCTCATTTGGATACATGGCAAGGGCTTTTTCCAGGGTCTTGGAGGAGGCCTATGTGAGTGCGAGACCAATGCAGATGACCTCCTAAGCACTCCCTGGGTTTGGAGGAGGGAAGAACGAGGATATAGACCCCGCAGTGGAATGGACTTCTCAGCTCCATAGGCTCAGAGCTGTAGTTTGGACATTAAGCTGCATGGCCTTGTTCTGAGGTCACAAGCTAGTGAGGCCCTAGGATGTATCCATTACACAAGGAATGCGGCAAGTTTTGAAAGGTCAGTGGCACCATCCTCTGCAGTTTATGCATGATCACCAACACAGACCTGCCCCGTCGCTCAGGAGATGGGCTCATGTGCTCAGGCAAGGAGGGTAAGACAAGACGCACAGATTCTATTACTGTGCTGCTGTGGCTACTATTTGCTGATTTGTGACTTGAGGCAGATCATATAATCTCTAGGTGTTGGTTTCAACACTAGTAAAATGAGAATCACAAGAATTACCTATTTGTGGGTAATTATTTTCCATGGAAATAATTTGAATCCTTGTTCTGAAATTTGGCTGATCTCTTCCATTATCTAAAGTTCCTTTTGCAGCTGGAGAAATAGTGAAGTGAAAGAGGATTAGATAGCACGGGCAGGGGACCCCAGGTGGAGTGGCCACTGGTGCCCTCTGCTCAGGCTGGAGGAGAACTCACTGAGCCTTCGAAGGAGCGTATGCAAGTGAGGGCCCTGAAACTTATGCCTTGTTTGCTTCAAGTCATATCTGCCTCTGTCTGGAAGCCTTCTATTATAATTTTTTTACATTTTTTGAAATTACTATTTATTGGGTCCTGCTTTGTGCCAGCCACATATATGCATGTTAGTTTTTCTCAACATTAGAAACACATGGAAAGCTTTAAAAAATACACCAACCTAAGACCAATTAAAGCCAAATCTCTAGGGGTGGGGCTTCAGTATCTGTAGTTTTTAAGAGCCCCCAGATGATTCTAACGTGCAACCGGAGTTGAAACTCTCAGCGCACAATGCTACTTTACATGTTAGCTTCTTAACGCCTTACACAAACCTGGAAAATAGGTCCTCTTATCCGTATTCAAGTATATGAATAAACTGAGGCTCAGGGAGGTTAAATATTTTACTCAAGAGGAAATCACAGAGTCATAATTCAAACCCACACTAGTTTGACTTCACAGGCTGCTTTGCTATACCAGTTCCGATCTTTATGTGCCTCTCTGAGAAAGAACAAACTTTTTCATTCAAAGGCAAAATGCAGTGATGAACAAAATATCATGAACTTTTCATGGCAAATGTGACCTCCTTAATTTTAATCCTTTAAGAGACAAAAGAATAGGCCAGGAGAGGCGGCTCACACTTCACCTGAGTCTAGGAGTTTGAGACCAGCCTGGGCAACATGGCAAAACGCCATCTCTATGTCTCCACAACAAACACAAAAAAATTAGCTGGGCGTGGTGGCACAGGCCTGTAGTCACAGCTACTTGGGAGGCTGAGGTGGGAGGATCACCTGAGCCTGGGAATTCCAGCCTGCAGTGAGCCATGATGGCGCCACTGCACTCCAGCCTGGATGACAGGAGTGGGACCCTGTTTCAAAAAAAATAATAAACTAAAAAATAAAAAAGAGAGAAACAATAGAATAAAGCCATATTCCAGAGTTTAGTTCTAAGTTGGATGAGTCCTTTGTAGCCAACAAAACTTCTGATAATCTTTATTGAAGAGAAGCTTGTTGTTGATGAAACTCCTAAGTACCATCTGGGATTGGAATGGGTCCTGGTGGGATACAGCCTCAGATCTCCTGGATACCGGGTAATTAGAAGTCACACAGAATACAGGGCCTCAAGCCTACCTCATGTGCCCCTCACATTAGTTCCTGAATCCCATGTCTCCTTTTTTCTTGGATTCATTGTTCACATTGCTAGAGTTCAACCCCACATGATTATTTCAGTAAAGATCTGTGGATGGTACAATTTCAGAATCTTTGGATATACAAAAATAACCATATTTTGCACTCTCACTTGAAAGATAGTTTTTCTCAGTCTGATTTTTCCTCAGATTGTTGTCTTCCAGCAATGATGCCAATGAGAAACCTGATGCCACACTGATTCCCATTCCTTTGAGCTTAACCTGTTTATCTCTTTGGAAGCTTTTAGGATTTTACCTTCGTGCCCAGTGTTCTAACATTTCACCATGACATGTCCAGGTGTTGGTTTCCATTTCATTCATCTTGGTTAACATTTCCAATGAGAAGACTTGTATCTTTCTGAAATTTGGAGAAATATTGCTTTAATGATTTCTCCTCTACATTCTCTCCTTTCTTTCTTTTTTTGTTTTTTGAGACAGAGTCTCGCTCTGTCGCTCAGGCTGGAGCCCAGTGGCGCAAACTCGGCTCACTGCAAACTCCGCCTCCCAGGTTCAAGCAATTCTTGTGCCTCAGCCTCCCAAGTAGCTGGGATTACAGGCATGTGCCACCATGCCTGGCTAATTTTTGTATCTTTGTAGAGACGGGCTTTCACCATGTTGGCCAGGCAGGCCTCAAACTCCTGACCTCAAGTGATCCTCCCTCCTCAGCCTCCCAAAGTGCTGGGATTATAGGCATGAGCCATTGAGCCCGGCCCATTTTTACTTATCTAACCCCTCAGTGAATCTCTATGAGGAATGTCCAGGGTTCGTCCCGCTCACTTTTCTTACCAGTTGATTCTAGAGTTGGGATGACACTGAGCTCCTATCTGGATTGCTGTCTTCTGCAAGTGTTTTGGACTGTGGTTTCTTTCAGTACTGTTCCTATATATCTGATCCTGTTAGATATCTATCTCTCAGGCACGTTGCAACATTTCTGGTAAAGCCCTTTCTTGCTTTTTAAGCTGTTATAAATTGGGATCTGTGTGTGTGTGTGTGTGTGTGTGTGTGTGTGTGTGTGTGTGTGTGTGTAGCATGTAGAAATATCAACAGTCCTGGGAAATATAGTAGGTATTTAATAAGTACTGTATATTTTGAATTCATAAAAAATGAATGTATGGGCTGGACACAGTGGCTCACACCTATAATCTCAGCACTTTGGGAGGCTGAAGCAGGAGGATCACTCAAGCCCAGGAGTTTGAGACCAGCCTAGGCAACATAGTGAGACTTCCCCACCTTTATTTTATTAAAAAAAAAAAAAAGGAGATGTTGAAGATGAAGAAGAAGAAGAAGAGGAAGAAGAAGAAGGAGAAGAAGAAAGGAATGAAGGGAAAAAAGGTATCTATAAGGAACTTATAAAGAAATTTACAAGAAAAAAACATTAAAAAGTGGGCAAAGGACATGAACACTTTTCAAAAGAAGACATACAGACAGCCAACAATTAAACAATCACACAAAAAAAGCTCAACGTCACTGATCATTAGAGAAATGCAAATCAAAACCATAATGAGATACCATCTCTCCCCAGTCAGAATGGCTATTACCAAAAAGTCAAAAAACGGGCCAGGTGCAGTGGTTCATGCCTCTAATCCCAGCACTTTGGGAGGCCAAGGCGGGTGGATCACCTGAGGTCAGGAGTTCGAGACCAGCCTGGCCAACATGGTGAAACCCCCTCTCTACTAAAAATAGAAAAATTAGCTGGGTGTGGTGGCAGGCCCCTGTAATCTCAGCTATTTGGGAGGCTGAGGCAGGAGAACTGCTTGAACCGGGGAGGTGGAGGTTGCAGTGAGCTGAGATCGTGCCATTGCACTCCAGCCTGGGTGACAGAGCAAGAATCTGTCAAAAAAAAAAAGTTAAAAATAACTGATGCTGGTGAGATTAAAAAGAAAAAGGGACACTTATACACTGTTGGTGGGAGTGTAAATTAGTTCAACCATTGTGGAAGACAGTGTTGCAGTGAGCTGAGATCGTGCCATTGCACTCCAGCCTGGGCGACAGAGCAAGAATCTGTCACGAAAAAAAGTTAAAAATAACTGATGCTGGTGAGATTAAAAAGAAAAAGGAACACTTATACACTGTTGGTAGGAGTGTAAATTAGTTCAACCATTGTGGAAGACAGTGTGGTAATTCCTCAAAGATGTAAAAACAGAAATACCATTCAACCCAGCAATCCCATTACTGAGTATATACCCAAAGGAACATAAATTGTTCTATTATAAAGACACATGCACGCATATGTTCATTGCAGCAATATTCACAATAGCAAAGACACGGAATCAACCTAAATGCCCATCAGTGGTAGACTGGATAAAGAAAATGTGGCACATATACACCCTGCAATACTATGCAGCCATAACAAAGAATGAGATTATGTACTTTGCAGGAACATAGATGGAGCTGGAAGCTATTATCCTTACCAAACTAATGCAGGAACAGAAAACCAAATACTGCATGTTCTCACTTATAAGTGGGAGCTAAATGATGAGAATACATGGACACATAGAGGGTAACATCACACACTGGGGCTTATCCAAGGGTGGAGGTGGGAAGAGGAAGAAGATCAGGAAAAGTAACTAATGGGTAATAAATAGGCTTAATACCTGACTGATGAAATAATCCACACAACAAATCTCCATGGGGGCAGGAGTGGGGTAATCCCAGCACTTTGGGAGACCGAGGTGGGAGGATCACTTGGGGCCAGGAGTTCAAGACCAGCCTGGCCAACACAGCAAAACCCCTCTCTACTAAAAATACAAAAAATTAGCTGAGCATGTTGGCGCACCCTTGTAGTGCCAGGTGCTAGGGAGGCTGAGGCACAAGAATTGCTTGAATCCAGGAGGCAGAGTTTACAGTGAGCCGAGATGGCGCCACTGCACTCCAGCCTGGGTGACAGAGTAAAACCGTCTCAAAACACACACACACACACACACACACACACAACTCATGACACAAGTTTATCTACGTAACAAACCTGCACATGTAACCCTGAACTTACAAGTTAAAAATAAATAAATGGTAAAAGAAAAAAAAAGAATGAATGAGTATACGTGTTATGTGTGTTTTTTCTGTTGTTCTTCTTGTCTGTACATCATTCCTATTTATACTTCTTCTTCTTATTTATTTATTTATTTATTTATTTATTTGAGACAAGGTCTCACTCTTTTACCCAGGGTGGAACACAGTGACGTGATCATGGCTCACTGTAGCCTCTACCTCCTGGGCTCAGGCGATCCTCCTGCCTCAGCATCCAGAGTAGCTGGGACCACAGGTGCATGCCACTATGCCCAGCTGGTTTTTTAATTATTTGTAGAGACAAAGTCTCACTGTGCTACCCAGGCTGGTCCTGAACTCCTGGGCTCAAGCAATCCACCCACCTTGGCCTCTCAAAGTGCTGGGATTACAGGCATGAGCTACTGTACCTAGCCCATTCCTATGTCTTTTGAAGAATGTATCCTCCTTTCCCCCAACATGTGCTTCTGGTGGGGTTATCAAATAAACCCAGGCCCCGAGACCACATGTATGCACCGGTGACCCAATCCTAACCAAATGGGAATATCTTATTTTCATGGCCATATTTACCAATACAAAACAGAATAGGTAACCCGACATGGTCCAATAAGTCTCCTTCTGTAGGAGAGTGAATGAAGTCAACACACAGATAGGCTGAGCCAGAGTTGTGGAGGATGAGGGATGTAGATAGACAAAGAGAAACCTGGAGGGCAATTGCATTTGAGCCACTAGATATGGCAGCCAAGTTCACCTTTTAACTTTCCAGGGACATAGGTCAAACAATTGCCTTTTGTGTTTAAGCTTATTTGAGCTGGGACTCTCTAACGTACAACTAGAAGAGTCCTGACTAATACAATGTCTAAAGAAAGACTATTTCAACTTTGAGGAGGATTGGTAAGCACTGTAATCTCACAGCTCTGAAAAGCAGTATACCTTCAGTATTGTCCAGGAGAATGGCTGTCACAGACATAATCCTGTAGTGGAAATGGAATCACTAAGTCTTTAAGATCAGCCAGCTAATTTCCCTTGATCTAATTCCCAGGGCACCAAGAAGCCTCTGATTATAAATTGCCTACCCAGGTAGAATTGCCTAGAAAGACAGTAAGCAATCAACAAGAATATCCAGTATACTCAATACTTGTTTCGTTCATTTTTAAGCAATAAGTTGTCAATGCTCTAAAATCAGATCACTTTGGTGAATGCTAATATTGAATTTTCTGAACCTAGAAAGGCCTCAAACCAACATAATCTAGTGGTTAAAATATAGATTCTAGCACCAGACTGCCTGGAGTTGACTCACAGCTCTGCTACTAGCTGTGTAACTTGGGTTGAGTTTTTTAACCTATCTGTTCCTCATTTTCTCATTGATAAAATGGGACTATAATAGTAACTACCTCATAGGGTTGTTAAATGAGAATTATATGCATTAATACCTATGAAGGAATTAAAACATAGTAAATACTGTATAAGTACTTGAAAAAATAAAATAAATATACTAAGGTGAGGAAGAGACCTGGAATGTGGTATCCACTCCAGGGAGACTGAATGACTGCCTCTCTAATACACGAAGAAGTTTAGAACCTCTTTCAATTATTGGCTTACATTTCTAAGTGATGGGCTGAATTCTAAACTTCTAGAGGACAGGAAGGTGCCATACTCATCTTTATGTTTCTAATGCCTGGGACTTGATAGGCCCAAAGAGACAGAAAGTACCCTGTTCGTGAAATCCAAAGATAGGGGTTGAATCTTCACTATACCGCCCAGTGTTTTTCCTAGAACAATTTGGTTAACCTCCCTGACCCTCATTTCCTGCAGCAGCAGTAAAATGAGAATAAGAATACCTCTCTCAATTATTGTGAGGATGAAAGAAGATAATAATTTAGGGAAGTATCTGGGATGTAGTACATGTTCAATCAGTATGGGTTTCCTTCCAATGTTAAAGTTTATAGTTATATAAATATTTTTCATATTATTCAAATAAAGGAGCATATATTCATTTAAGCATTCTATGACAAAATACCTTTGCTGCGCTTATAAGGTCAGCTGTTAGCATCATGACAATAATGCTTTAAGAAAATACATAAAAGGCTGGGCGTGGTGGCTCATGCCTATAATCCCAGCACTTTAGGAAGCCGAGGCAGGCGGATCACCTGAGGCCAGGAGTTCAAGACCAGCCTGACCAACATTGTGAAACCCCGTCTCTACTAAAAATACAAAAAATTAGCCAGGTGTGGTGGTGCATGCCTGTAGTCTCAGCTACTCGGTAAGCTGAGGCAGGAGAATCACTTGAACCCAGGAGGCGGAGGTTGCCGTGAGCCAAGGTCACACCACTGCACTCCAGCCTGGGCGACAGAGCGAGACTCCATCTCAAAAAGAAAATACATAAAACATAAATGTATGACTTTTTAGGGAAATGATTTCACTTTCTGAATCCTTGGCCAGGACTTTTAACTTTAAATGAGATAGAATCAGCTGAGATACTGGTTGGTATACTAGTTATTAAAAATCTTCCTTACAGGGCATAGGAAAATAAATTCAAATATATTCACTTCTTTATACATTCAAAATCTATTTTGATGAGCATCTATTATGAGCTAGGCACTTTGCTAGAGATTAACTACGCATTTTCTATGTTGAATCTGCAATGAACATAATTTGCATCTTCTTTAGCTTTAGTTCTTAACAGATGACATGTTCAAATTTCTTCAGATGCTGATTACTCATTCATTCATTCAATATACATTGAGATCTGTTCTATCCCAGTCACTCTGCTAGATGCCGGGGACATAATAGCAAACAGACAGATAAGGCCCCAGCCACCATGGAGCTTACATTTCCACTGAGGGAAGGGAAGGAAAAGAAGTAAAATAATTACAAACTGCCATGAGTACAAGAAGGGACACAAAAAAGGAAGAAAGATGTACAATAGCAGGGGAGGGAGCAAGGAATATTCCATCAGGGTGCTTAGGGAAGGTCTCAAGGGCAGGGATGATCCTGGTTCACTGCTATGAGGGGCACGTAGAACATGCCTGGAACACTAGGCACTCAATAAATGAGTAAGGAGATAACACATAAGCTGAAACCCAAGATTGGCAACCATTCAAGGAGAAGAGCATTCCAGCCAGAGAAAACAGCACGTACAAAATCTCTGAAGTGGAGAACTTGGAATGTTTGAGGACTTGAAAGAGATCAGTGTGGCTGGAGCAAAGTGATCAAGGAGGGACAAGAGTAGGAAAAGATGAGGTTGGAAAAACTGACAAGGACCAGCCAGATTATGCCGGGCCTCAGAAGCAATGGTAAGGAGTTTGTAGTTTATATAATTTTTTAAAAAATAAACAGAATAATTCTAGTAACATGGGTATAACTAAAGGGAAATATATTCACTAACCCAGACACTACGGATGCTTTTATTTTTTTTTTTCAAGTTAATCAACCTCTTTATTTGAAGACAGGGCAAAATAAATAAAAATCTTTGTCTTTCACTTCTGGCTCAGGTTTGGCATTTCTTTTTTTTAAGTTTTATTTTAAGTTCAGGGGTACATGTGCAGGTTTGTTACATAGGTAAGCTTGTGTCATGGGGGTTTGTTGTACAGGTTATTTCATCACCCAGGTATTAACCCTAGTACCCATTAGTTATTTTTCCTGATCCTCTTCCTCCTCCCACCCTCCACCCTCTGATAGGCCCCAGTGTGTGTTGTTCCCCTCTATGTGTCCATGTGTTCTCATACAGGTGCTCCTTGATTTAGAATGGACGTAAGTCCCAATAAAACCATCTTAATTTGGGGCCAGGCGCGGTGGCTCATGCCTGTAATCCCAGCACTTTGGGAGGCCAAGGTGGGCAGATCACGAGGTCAGGAAATCGAGACCATCCTGGCTAATACAGTGAAACCCCATCTCTACTAAAACTACAAAAAAAAAAAAAAATTAGCCGGGCATGGTGGCAGGCACCTGTAGTCCCAGCTACTCGGGAGGCTGAGGAAGGAGAACGGCATGAACCCGGGAGGCAGAGCTTGCAGTGAGCTGAGATCGTGCCACTGCACTCCAGCCTGGGCGACAGAGTGAAACTCCATCTCAAAAAAAAAAACAAAAAAAAAAAAACAAAAAAAAAAAAACCATCTTAATTTGGAAATATTGTAAGTCAAAAATGCATTTAATACACTTAACCTACCAAACATCATAGCTTAGCTTAGCCTACCTTAAACATGCTCAGAACACTTACATTAGTCCAACGTTACATTAGCTGGGTAAAATCATCTAACACAAAGCCTATTTTATAATAAAGTGTTGGATATCTCATATAACTTACTGAATAATGCACTGAAAGTGAAAAACAGAATGGCTGTATTGGCACTTGAAGTATGGTTTCAACTGCATGCATATTGCTTTTGCACCATTGGAAAGTCAAAAAATGGTAAGTTGAACCATTATAAGTTGAGGACTGTCTGTATATTTCTATGACTTGTGACTGAAGTTGACAAGAGAAGGATCATGAAGATGTACTTGATGGAATTCCAGGCATGTTAGCATAGTTCTTAGTAGGTCTTAAAATGGAAATAAAACTCAAGGCTTTATTCTGAGAATTTCTTCAAGCCTCTTTGTTAAATTCACATCAGCACTAGAAAAGTACACAATATCTGCATAGATTTAAACAACTTTTAATCCAATTCAAAAAGGAGGTATGATAAGATCCTTAGGATTTGGGTTGTGGAAATAAAGTATTAATAATACTCTCTCTTGGGCAGGTACGGTGGCTCATGCCTGTAATCCCAGCACTTTGGGAGGCCAAGGCAGGTGGATCAGGAGGTCAGGAGTTCAAGACCAGCCTGACCAACAGGGTGAAACCCCGTCTCTACTAAAAATACAAAAATCAGCCTGGCATGGTGGTGAGTGCCTGTAATTCCAGCTACTCAGGAGGCTGAGGCAGGAGAATCACTGGAACCCGGGAGGCAGAGGTTGCAGTGAGCCGAGATCACACCACTGAACTCCAGCCTAGGCAACAGAGCGAGAGACTCTGTCTGAGGAAAAAAAAAAAAAAAAAAACTAGGCTAGATGCGGTGGTTTATGTCTGTAATCCCAGTACTTTGGGAGGCCAAGGTGAGCAGATCACAAGGTGAAGAGATCAAGACCATCCTGGCCAACATGATGAAACCCTATCTCTACTAAAAATACAAAAATTAGCTGGGTGTGGTGGCATATGCCTGTAGTCCCAGCTACTCGGGAGGCTCAGGCAGAAGAATCGCTTCAACCCGGGAGGTGGAGGTTGCAGTGAGCCAATATCGCGCCACTGCACTCAGCCTGGTGACAAAGTGAGACTCCGTCTCAAAAATAATAATAATAGTACTCTCTCTTTAATTGTCTTTAGGGGCACTTCATAGAGCCACCTACTTAGATAACCCATAAATATCCCCAAATTGCATTCCCTACCTCAGTTTATGGACATATAAACTGAAACAGGAAAAAGAACAAACTGGAATAGGTTGAATATACATTTTTTCCTTCACCTCTATTGACCCTATCTGTATTTCTTCCACTATCAAAGGCAACAAACAAAGGGAATAAATAAAGCCCTTCTATGATAGGTAAGACTGTTAGCCCAGAATGATTTGGGACCATAAAAGCAGGTTGAATTACTCTGACTGGAAGGTGACAACCAATCTGATCTGACCCTTCATCTTTTTCCATCCTCCAGATCATAAAAATCTAAACATATAACTGCAATAAAATAGGAACACCATTTGGAATTACTGTGACAATTGTTATAGAGATTAACATTTTAATTGAAAACTTCCTATGTGTAAAAATAGCTTAAACAGGATGTCTTAGTTCATTTTCGGTTTCTATAACAGAATACCATAGACTGGGCAATTTATAAAGAAAAGAAATTTATTTGACTCATGGTTCTAGAGACTGGGAAGTCCAAGAGCATAGCACAAGCATCTGACAAGGGTCATCCCATGGAGAAGAGTGGAAGGTGGAAGCAAGCACATTAGACAGAGAGACAAGATGGGGGCCAAACTTATCCTTTTAGCAGGAGCCCACTCCCACAACAATGAACCTACTCTTACAATAATGGCACTAATCCATTCATGAGGGCTCTTTAATCACCTCTTAAAGGCCCCACCTCTTATTTAATAATATCATAATGGCAATTAAGTTTCCAGCACATGAACTTTGGGGGACCTATTCAAACCACAGCACAAGGGATAAGAGGAAATACCAGATGCGAACTAGTTCATTCAAAAGGAATTAATAGTTTTTGCTTTTAAAAAATTCAAATCAATTGCACCTTCTGGTATTACTCTGTAACAAACACTTAAAATACATTATATCATGTTATCCTCACAGCAACCCTTGAGGTCAGTTTTAATATTTCCATTTTGTAAAGGAGTCTTAGAGAGGTTATTTACCCAAAGTCACACAAATGATACCGTTATAATAATAATGGCAAAGTCAGATTCAAACCCAAGCTGACAATTTTTCATCATTTTATAAATAGACATAACACCCTCAATAATTATTTTACATCACCTTTATCTGAAATTAGACAGCTCATCAAGGGCTCTAAATCAGATGCTTAACAGCAACCATCTTGTTTTGAAAACCATCCTATTACGTTTGTATAGCATTTGTCACAAAGTGTTTTCATTGGATCTTTAACACATCCTCTGAGGTAGGCAGGTGGATGTTATAGAATAGGAAATTGAGGTGCTGAGAGAGGCAGTCACTGCCCCAGGGTAAGGCCAAGTTGGATTCTCACAGCTCTCATCTCTATGTTGAGGAATCTCTGTTGTGCTGTGAGTTGCGTGTGTCTACGTCAGGGCCCCACACTGGGCTAGAAGCTCTTTGAGGGCTGGTCCTGCCTATGTCCTATTTGTGACCCAGATGCCTAGCCCAGTGCTGAGAGCCCATATAGAGTTATGTCACTCCATAAACATTCTAAACAGCTTTATCAAGGTATAAATAACTATGAAATAACACGAAATATGTATATTGGTCTCTACCCCTGGATCCTGACAGAGTTCTTAAAACCCTTGTCAATAGGGACACTAGGAGAATCTTTTGTTTTAATATTCAGATTTTTTTTTTTTTGAGACAGAGTCTTGCTCTGTTGCCCAGGCTGGAGTACAGTGGCACCATCTTGGCTCACTGCAACCTCCGCCTCCTGGGTTCAAGTGATTCTCTTGCCTCAGCCTCCCAAGTAGCTGGGATTACAGGTGCCTGCCACCAGGCCCAGCTAATTTTTTATTTTCAGTAGAGACAGGGTTTCACCATGTTGGCCAGGCTGGTCTTGAACTCCTAGCCTTAAGTGATCTGCCCGCCTCAGCCTCCCAAGGTGCTGGAACTATAGGCGTGACCACTGCACCCAGCCTTGTCTATACTTAATTTCTATTTTCTCTCCTCTCTCGAACCCACTCTAATCAAGACTTCCTTCCACTGTTTCACTGAAACTGCACTTATGAAAATGACCAATGACCTCCATGCGGTCAAATCTAAAGGACAAATCTCAATTCTTGTCTTGTTCTGCCTATCAGTAGCATTTGTCTTATTGGTTGGTCTCTTTTTCTTTTATGAGACAGAGTCTCACTCTCTCGTCCAGGCTGGAGTGCAGTGGCATGATCTCGACTCACTGCAAGCTCCACCTCCCAGTTTCATGCCATTCTCCTGCCTCAGCCTCTCAAGTAGCTGAGACTACAGGCACCCGCCACCACGCCGGGCTAATTTTTGTGGGTTTTTTTGTATTTTTGGTTTTTTTGTATTTTTAGTAGAGATGAGGTTTCACCGTGTTAGTCAGGATGATCTCAGTCTCCTGACCTCAGGTGACCTGCCCGCCTCGGCTTCCCAAAGTGCTGGGATTACAGGTGTGAGCCACCGTGTCCAGCCTGAGACCCTTTCTTCACCTTGTCTCCAAGACACCACCCTCCATGGTTCTCCTCATAGCTCAATTGCATTCGTTCTCTGCATTCTTTGTTGAGGCCTCCTTTATTTTCCTAAGCTTTAAAAACTGGTGTACCTGGGTCACATTGCATAGACCTTTTCTCTTCTCTATCTACATATCCTCACTCCTCGCTGTTCTCAACCAGTCCATGACTTTAAATACCATTTATATGTTATTGCCTCCCAAATTCATATTATCTAGTTGTCTTAGTCTGTTTTTGCTGCTATAACAAAATATCACTGACTGGGTAATTTATAAATAATAGAAATTTATTTCTCACAATTTTGGGAGCTGGGAAGTCCAAGATCAAGGTGCTGAAAGATTCAGTGTATGATAAAGGGCTCTATCTCTGCTCCCAAGATGCTGTCTTGTTGCTGCGTCCTTTACAAGAGACAAATGCTGTGTCCTTACATGGCAGAAGAAATGAAAGGGCCAGGCAGCTTTTACAAGGGCATTAATCCCATTCAGGAGGTCAGGGCCCTCATGGCCTAATCACCTCCCAAAGACCCCACCTCTTAATGCCATCTCCTTGGGGTTTAAGTTCCACACATATGAATTTTGGAGGGACACACACATTCAAACAATAGCACTAGCCCAACTTCTTACCCAAATTCTAGAAATATGCATTTATCCAGCAGGCTATGTGACATCCCCATTTGGATGTCTACAGGCATCTAAACAAGCCAAAAACAAAACTGATCTGAAGAGCTTCATATTGCTCTTCATTCAGCTCACCATTTCATAATAGTAACTCCATTCTTCCACTTGCTCAGGCCCAAATCTGGGAATCATTCTTGACTCTTACTCCTCCTCTCACGTCCCACATGCACTCCATTAGAACACCCAGTGTTCCATTCCTGCAAAACCTATTCATAGTCGGACTGCTTCTCACTACCTCCTGCTCTGCCAGTTTAGTCCAAATCACCATCATTGCTTGCCTGAATCATTGCGATAGCCTCACAATTGATGCTCCACTTCTATCCATGGCCCCCTCACTCGATTTTTTACCCAGTGAAGTGATACTTTTAATATTCAAGTTAGATCATGTTCGTTTTCTGTTTAAAACTCTCCTGTGGTTTCCCATTCTACTCAGGATGAAATAAGCTCTTCTACGATGTGTCTATACCACCACGATCTCCACCCACTCTTATCTCATTTCCTATAGCTTTCCATTGTTCACCCTAGTCTGTCCACAATGGTATCCTTGCCATTCCTCAGTTATGCCAAGCACACCCCGTCTCAGAATCTTTGTACTTCTAATATTCTCCAGACATTCATAGGTAATACCCTAACTTCCTTAATAGCTAGGCCTTTCCTAACTACCCCCGTATAAAATAAATTTTCTCATCTCTCTCTGTCCCCTTACCCTGATTTTTTTTTTAATTAGCTGCCTCAGGACATCTTCGAATACCTTGATTTATTATTCTTCATAGCATTATTTTATAATATTTCATTTTTAAATAATTATAGAGTCATACGTAGTTGTAAGAAATTATACAAAGATTCTGTGTGCCCTTTACTCAGTTTCCCACAATGGTCACATTTTACAAAACTGTAGTAAACTATCACGACTAAGAAATTGACATTGCTGGCCGGGCGCGGTTGCTCACACCTGTAATCCCAGCACTTTGGGAGGCCGAGGCGGGCAGATCACGAGGTCAGGAGATCGAGACCATGCTGGCTAACACGGTGAAACCCAGTCTCTACTAAAAATACAAAAAGAAATTAGCTGGGCGTGGTGGCGTGCGCCTGTAGTCTCAGCTACTCGGGAGGCTGAGGCAGAATGGCGTGAACCCGGGAGGCGGGGCTTGCAGTGAACCAAGATCGCGCCACTGCACTCCAGCCTTGGGCGACAGAGCGAGACTCCGTCTCAAAAAAAAAAAAAAAAAAAAAAAAAAAAGAAATTGACATTGCTACAGTCAAGATACAGAGTATTTCCACAGTTCCACTACCCCAGAATCCTTCATGCTGCCCTTTTATAGCCACACCCACTTCCCTTCAACCCCCACCCCCTCCTTAACCCCTGACAACCACTAATCCGTTCTCTATTTCTATCGTTTTGTTACTTCAAGAATGTTATATAGCACAGGCACAGTGGCTCACTTTTGTAATCCCAGCACTTTGGGAGGCGGAGGTGGACGGATCACTTGAGGTCAGGAATTCAAGACCAGCCTGGCCAACATGGTGAAACCCCATCTCTACTAAAAATACAAAACTTAGCAGGGCATGGTGGCACGTGCCTGTAATCCCAGCTACTCGAGAGGTTGAGGCAGGAGAATCTCCCGAACCCAGGAGGCAGAGGTTGCAGTGAGCAGAGATCACACTGCTGCACTCCTGCCTGGGCAACAGAGGGAGATCCGTCTCAAAAAAACAAAAAACAAAACAAAAAACAAAAAACAAAACCACAACAACACAGATTCCTGGGGTCCATCTCCAGAGTTATTGATTCAGTAGGTCTGGGGTATGGGTCAAGAATCTGAATTTCTGACTAGTTCCCTGATGATGCTGATGCTGCTGATTCATGGACCACACTTTGAAAATAACTGTCTTAGAACATTTTAAAATTTCCCTCCTCATCTTCACCTGCCTGATTTATTACTTAACCTTTAGTCCTTCCCTCATCTCAATACATGGTGTTCCATGACACACTGTACTTACCTCATCACCTATCATACTCTACTGTAAAATCTTATTTAAATGTTTCTTGCTCACCAGACTGTATCCTCAACACCTAGCACAGAGTCTGGCACAGAATAGGCACTCAATTTATATGATGACTGAATAAATTCCTTAATTTTGACACTTTAATAGATTCAACTGAAGCAATATCTGTACAGCCATAGGATATTTAGAAGGAAATGCTCCTATGTACTAGAAATAAGAAATGAAAACATCAAGGCAAGGATCTCTTGATTGATAGGTTTAAGGAAAAATACATTAAGGTTTTTTTAGTTAAGATTTACTCGGAAGTTTTTGTGTTTATTGCAGTTCATTTCAACCAAAACACCACACTGAAATAATGATGGACAACAAAGGTCAAGAATTCAAGTTGATTAAAAACAAACAAACAAACAAACAAACAGAAAACTTGACCTTTTTTTTTTTTAATAATTGCTTCAAAGTCTGTATTTTGTTCTTCTAAAAGTGCACTCTTGCTGGGCGTGATGGCTCACACCTGTAATCCCAGCACTTTGGAAGGCCAAGGCAGGTGGATCACCTGAGGTCAGGAGTTCGAGACCAGCCTGGCCAACTTTGTGAATCCCCATCTCTACTAAAAATACAAAAATTTGTCAGGCGTGGTGGCGGGCGCTTGTAATCCCAGCTACTTGGGAGGCTGAGGCAGGCGAATCACTTAAACTAGGGAGGCAGAGGTTGCAGTGAGCTGAGATTGCACCATTGCACTCCAGCCTGTGCAATGGAGCAATATTCTGTATCAAAAAAAAAAAGGGCACTCTTTGCCTTCAGACTAAACACCCCAAACCACAAGACTATCTAACACAGCCAAGCCTTGAAAACAACTCTTTGACTCACATCTGGCCAGATGTTGAAATCTGAACATATTTGCTTGTAGAGGTCTACAAATCATAGTCTAAAATTTCAAAACAAAGAAAAAAACTGTAGAAACCTGAAGTTTTTCATAAGTTCGTGGCAAACTCATTTAGCAGCAAAATCTGACCTGAACAGATGTGTATCTGTTTCTAGCCTTTGTTTATCCTACTTATGGTTAATACTAATGCATTTTTTGCATGCATATTTTGGTTTGATTACAAGATTCTGCTCCAGATCCTGCTGGGCTGTTACAGAATATATGGGATATGCATTATATTCCTGTCTAAAATCCTGATAACTCTCAGTTCTGAAACACATCTGGCAAGAAAGAATTTGGATACAGGATTATGTCCCTATGCTAAGAATGAGATATGAATTTCTCTTAATCTCTGTTATCTAGTCTACTCTAAATATTTATCCAAATTATACCCTCTGTTATCTTATTGTTTTGTATGTGAAAATCAGTCTTGAAAGTAGTTTTCTTCATTTTATCTATTTTAATATCAGTTGAATGTGTTGGAAATTCAATGTTCCTATTCATATGTTAGACTTTCTTTTTAAATCAGGTTATAGGAAATTCTATACTTCTTTGGGATCCTTGTGGCTCACTTACATCAGATGAATCATCGTCATCCTCATATGAATCATCGCCAGAACAATTTCAAAGCATAGAACTATAAAATATATCTAGTGGATAACATTATTTTGGAATGCATTTGGAAGATTAATGTCACATTTAAAAGCCATTGACATTTGGTAGTCTCAACAGATGAAAGCCAAATTTTTGCAGATTAAGATGTGAAGGGGGAATGACAAACTGAAATTATTGCAAAGAGCAAAAAAAAAAAATCCACCTAAAATATATTTAGGAATGAACTGAACAAGAAATGTATGGATCTATGTGAAGAAAATGCTACTGGGAAACTTTAAAAGAAAACTTGGGTAAATGGAGGACCACATGTTTTCAGGTGGCATATTTAGTTTCAAAACAAAGAAAAGTCAGTCAGGTGAGCTTAAATTGAAAGGGGTTTATTTTATTTTATTTTATTTTATTTTATTTTATTTTATTTTATTTTATTTTATTTTATTTATTTTTTGAGATGGAGTCGTGCTCTGTCACCCAGGCAGGAGTACAGTGGTGCGATCTCGGCTGACTGCAACCTCCGCCTCCCAGGTTCAAGCGACTCTTCCGCCTCAGCCTCTCGAGTAGCTGGGATTACAGGCGCGTGCCACCATGCCCGGCTAATTTTTGTATTTTTAGTAGAGACAGGGTTTCGCCATGTTGGTCAGGCTGGTCTCGAACTCCTGACCTGAGGTGATCCCCCTGCCTCTGCCTCTCGAAGTGCTGGGATTATAGGCATGAACCACCACGTCTGGCCAAAAAGGGGTCTATTTGAAGGAGGAGAGGGGGTACCTTGTGGAGATCCCTAAGAGTGGACAGGGCAGTAGAGCCTTAGTAGTGGCAAGCTAGGACCTGGAAAGCCCCAGAACCATGGGCAGGTAATCCATCATACCCCTCTGGGGCCACAGGACTTCATAACTGCTTCTCTGTGAATCTGCTTCTTTCTGCAGCCTTGCTTTCTCTGTACTGCATACATGTAGATCAAACATCTCTCCCTCCTTTTCCCTTACTTTCTAGGTCAAGAGACAAGTTAAAACCATGTAACTGCACATTTCCAGGAAAGAGAATCTGATTGGACCAGCTTGAATCAGTTTTCTACCCGCCTCTATTCCAATCAGCTATGGCAAGGGAGAAGCGGGTTAATAAAGGATAAGGATGCCAACTGGGATGTGGGGAAGTGCTGGAGCAAACTGCCTGGCATGTGCATTATAAATAGATGAGCACGTCCATATTGTGGAAAGGCAACAGGACAAGAGGACAGGCTCTGGGGTCAAATTGCCTGGCTTTGACTTTTGACCTTGCCACTTATTAGCAGCTTCACTTTGGACAAATTATTCAATTTCTTTTTCTTTTTTGAGATGGAGTCTCGCTCTGTCACCCAGGTGGGAGTGCAGTGGCGTGATCTCGGCTCACTGCAACCTCCACCTCCCAGGTTCAAGCAATTCTCCTGCCTCAGCCTCCCGAGTAGCTGGGACTACAGGTCCGTGCCACCATGCCCGGCTAATATTTTGTATTTTTAGTAGAGATGGGGTTGCACCGTGTTAGCCAGGAGGTTTTGATCTCCTGACCTCGTGATCTGCCCGCCTCAGCCTCCCAAAGTGCTGGGATTACAGGCGTGAGCCACCGCGCCTGGCCAAATTATTCAATTTCTTTATGCCTCGGTTACCCCATCTGTAACATGAGGGTGATAATAGTTGTGTGGATTAAATAACACAAATAACACTTTGTAGAAACTACATAAGTATGTATTACTTTTATAAAGATGTCTGTTTCCCCTAAATTAGTCAATAAAAGTACTGCAATCGCAATCAAAATTACAATTTTTTTTTTTTTTTAAGACAGAGTTTCGCTCTTGTTGCCCAGGCTGGAGTGCAATGGTGTGATCTCGGCTCACCGCAACCTCCATCTCCCGGGTTCAAGTGATTCTCTTGCCTCAGCCTCCCGAGTAGTTGGGATTACGGGCATGCGCCACCACAGCAGACTAATTTTGTATTTTTAGTAGAGATGGGGGGGCGTTTCTCCATGCTGGTCAGGCTGGTCTCGAACTCCCGACCTCAGGTAATCCGCCCGCCTCAGCCTCCCAAAGTGCTGGGATTACAGGCATGAGCCACCACACCCGGCCACAATTGTTTTTTAATTTGACAAAGTTTAAAGTTACCATGGAAGAAATAATATATCTCTGGAGAGGATGGCAGGGATAGCCTCTGCCATCCTGGGAAGAGCACAGATTTATACACTATTGGTAATGTTCTAGGTTAGGTTGAGGTTGGCTTCATATTATTACGCTTTTAAACTTACATATATTACAAAATTCTATTTTATGTGTATTAAATATATTTTTAAGGACAATTCTTAAAGACTAGTAAGCAGAGATTTATCCCATCAGAAATTTTTAAATCATCTAAAGGTATGTTAAAACAGTATTACTGCCCAGCAACAGATAAATCAATGAGGCAGAAAAAGTACATACGGACATTTAGTACAGTCATCCCGTGATATCTGTGTGCGACTGTTTCCAGGAACCCCCGCGGATAACAAGTCCATTACATAAAATGTAGTATTTGCATATAACCTACCCACATCCGTCCTCCTGTATACTTTAAATCACTCTAGATTACTTATAATACCTAATGCAATGTAAATGCATAGCATTTGTGCTGGGATTACAGGCGTGAGCCACTGCACCCGACAAATTATTTTTTTAAAACTCTAAAAATGCTAGAAGAAAATACAGGTAACCATGACATCAAAGCTAGAAACAAAGGAAATGACTCATTAGACATATCTACATAAAAATTAAAAACTTCCTTCAGTAAAAAAAAAAAACGAAAAACCATAGGTGATATTAAAAGATGAATTTGAAAAACAGGAAAAATATCTGTAAATATCTCAATCATAGGTTAATATTTCTAATATACAAAAAGCACTTGTAATTTCTAAAATGTGAATATTTCATTTTAAAAATATTTCTAACATACAAAAAGCACTTGTAATTTCTAAAATGTGAATATTTCATTTTAAAAATAGGCAGAAGTCATGAACTAGTAATTCACAAAAATAGAGCCAATAATTATATGAAAGATGTTCAGTTTTACACTTAGGCAACAAAATGCAAATTAAAACGAGTCTTTTTTAAAGAGATGATAAAGATCACGAAGACTGACAATATCTAAGATTAGCAAGGAGATGCAGAGAGCATATTCCTTCTCATACTGTTAATGGAAAAGTAGTAAATAGGTTTCTAGGGGAGGGTCTGGTAATATCATTTAGAGTCTTACAAACGTGCATTTTCCTTGATCCAGTAATTTTATTTCTATGACTTTATTGTAAAAAAATAATCAGGGACATGTACAGATTTACATATAAGAATATTCATCTAGGATTGTAGACCTGAAAAGCTGTCAATACCTGAAAAGTCCAACAACTTAGGGACTGGTTGAACAAATTATGATATCCATACAGCCATTAAAAATGATTCTGTAGGCTGGACCCGGTGGTTCATGCCCACAGTCCCAGCACTTTGGGAGCCTGAGGTGGGAGTATCACTTGAGCCCGGGAGGTCAAGACCAGCCTGGGCAACAACCCCATCTCTTAGAAAAAATATATATATATAAATATAAATATATATGTAATTATTTTAATTTACCTGCAAAGACATTACTGGGAGATAACGCGCTTACGTTTTTCTGTTTTAAAAAACCAAACACCTTTACGTGTATGTATGAAAATTCTAAATTTATGTAGCAATATGTTAATAGTATTATCCACTGTGGCAAGAATGAGAGTTTAAGTTTCTTTTATAAACATGTATGTACTCTCGAACTACTGCTGCTATTACAGGGAGCAGGCATTTTTTAAAAGCACTATTCTTCTTACAGTCAGGAAATACAGGACACTATTACTTCGCGGGGGAAGACGGGCACTGGGAAGAGTCCACGCCGGCGAAGGCAGGCGAAGACAGGGCTCGCTGACGCCCCCGGTCGCCCGCGCCTCTTCCCACAGCTCTCCGAGGAGCCCAGCTACCGGAAACACGCCACATCAGGCCTCGGAATTCTGGGCATCGGACGGACAGCTCGTGACCTCAGAAGGAGGAAAACGGTCACCTTCTGAAAGAAACACGAACTCCTCTTTCCTGTATCAGAACATTTCTCATTCACCTGAGCGCGGCGTTTCTATCCTGAGATGTTGGGAGGAGGTTCGAGGTGGGCGGGGTGACGGTTTTCTCTTGGAAATGAAAAACAGCCTTTCCTGCTACCCCTGCCCGCTCACACAGGCGAGACTTGGAGTCTGCCCCGCGGAAAGCCGTTTCTATGGGTGACGACGTATGGCAACGCGTCTAAGGGAACGTCGGCGAGTCGACTATTGTGTTCCCAAAGTCGCCCTGAAATGAGGACAGAAGTTCGGGGGAGCCGGGGGCGTAGAGTAAAGGCACGATCTGATTGGCCCGCGGCCGCGCAACGATGGGCGGGACGGGGCAGAAGTGTGGGCGAGCTGGGGCGTCACCGCGCGCCGGGTAGTCTCTCTCACGCCCTGGCGGGTGCGCAGGTCTCTAAACTGGGCGGAGCAAGGGAAGTGATGTGTGGCCTCCGGAAGGACGCGCGTAAATCCTCACCCATAAGTAACGAGTCGCCGTGGTCAAACAAGGCCCTCCTACGATACCAATCGCGTGGCGGGTGTGGTACTGCCGAACCCGAGGAATGAGAAAGGAGGCCCGGCAGAAAGTTCGGATCAGCTGCCGGCCGTTCCCGGCGTAGCCTAGGGCGGGGAGGGATTGACTCCCCGGAACATCCCGGGGTAAAGACCTCGCATAACAGCGAAACCGCTGAGGGACTGTTGTGTGGCGAGGCCTTGGAGACAGACAGGCCCACACACTCCCTTTCCTCGTGAGGGTCACCGACCTGCCTACTTGGGAACGACATAGACCTGACAGTTGTGTTTGGGGGTGGAGGTTGATGACCAGTTATTGAATGAATCGCAGAGACATTTGCGTAGGAGTGTTGATGCAAGATTTTCTTCTTTTTTTTTTTTTTTTTGAGATGGAGTCTCGCTGTCTCCCAGGCTGCAGTGTAGTGGCAGGATCTCGGCTTACAACAACCTCCGCCTCCCGGGTTCAAGCGATTCTCCTGCCTCAGCCTCCCGAGTAGCTGGGACTACAGGCGCACGCCACCACGCCCGGTTGATTTTTGTATTTTTAGCAGAGACGGGGTTTCACCGTGTTGGCCAGGCTGTTCTGGAACTCCTGACCTCAGGTGATCCGCCCACCTCGGCCTCCCAAAGTGCTGGGATTACAGGCGTGAGCCACCGCGCCCGGCCCCCCTCTGGCCACTATTATTATAGTTTTTAAAGCCTCTTAATCGTAAATACTAGAGTCTTATTTTATTCTTAGAGGGAATTTTTAGATGAGAGGCAAAATTGTAAAAAGGAAAGTTTGAATATAATTACAGACTATATTTTACGGAAGAGAAATTGAAAATGTACACTTTTTTCTAAATATTTAAAATAAATGTTTAGGCAGGCACATTAGAAAACATAAAAAGGAGCAAAAACTCAGCACTAAACCACTGGTCAAAGTTAACTGCTGTTAACATTTTAGTGTTTTCCTTCTGTTGTTTTTTCCTATCTTACAAATACTGAATCACTAAACAATGCATTTGTTAGACGAACATAAACCACCCTGTGGCTTTATCTGTGGAGTAGGACTATGGGAGACTTTCACTTTGTTAGATATTTCTGTATCATTTGGAGTATTATAAAATGTACATGCATTCCTTTTCTAACCAGAAAATCTAAAGTGTTTTTGTTTTTGTTTTGAGACGGAGTCTCACCCTGTCGCCCAGGCTGGAGTGCAATGGCAGGATCTCAGGTCACTGCAACCCCTGCCTCCTGGGTTCAAGCGATTCTCCTGCCCCAGCCTCCTAAGTAGCTGGGATTACAGGTGTGCGCCACCACGTCCAGCTAATTTTTTGTATCTCTAGTAGAAACGGGGATTCACCATGTTGGCCATGTTGGTCTCAAAGTCCTGACCTCGTGATCCGCCTGCCTCAGCCTCCCAAAGTGCTGGGATTATAGGCGTGAGCCACCGCGCCCAGCCGAAAATCTAAAGATATTGAAAAGATACAAAGGAGCACATTATGAACATTTTTTTCGTATCACTGAGTATTTTATAACTGCATCATTGATTTTAAAAGAATTCATGACTTTGAAAACTAATATTCTACAAAGTAGCTTTTGATTTAACATGAGATTTTATATATGTGCTTATCTTGGTTCTCTATGAAACCCCATTGAAATAAGAAAATGTAAACACCAGCAAGGACTAAGAGAATGAGAAAGAGACAATAGTGGATGGGAAAAATTGGCATCTACTTAGCGGAGGAAGGAAAGGGAATCCAAGAAGGCTGACTGCAGAGGGGAATGTCAATTAGAAGTAAAGCAATTTATGGCTGGGTGCAGTGGATCACACCTATAATCCCAGCATTTTGGGAGCCCGAGGCAGGCGGATTGCTTGAGCTCAGGAGTTTGAGACCAGCCTGGGCAACATGGCGAAACCCTGTCTCTACCAAAAATACAAAAAAATTAGCTGGGCATGGTGGTGTGTGCCTATAGTCCCAGTTGCTCCGGGAGGCTGAGGTGGGAGGATCGCTTGAGCTGGGAGGTGGAGGTTGCAGTGAGCTGAGATTGTGACGCTGCACTCCAGCCTGGGTGACAAAGCGAGACCCCACCTCAAAAAAAAAAAAAAAAAAAAAGTAAAGCAATTTATATTTCAGAACTCCAAAAAGGCTCACAGAGGTACCATATCAGTGGGAGGGTGTGTAAGGGAGGATCAGGGGGTTGATTGAAAATCTGGCTGGTCGCGATGGCTCACGCTTGTAATCCCAGCACTTGGGAGGCTGAGGCGGGTGGATCACCTGAGGTCAGGAGTTCAATACCAGCCTGACCAACATGGTGAAACCCTGTCTCTACTAAAAATATAAATAGCCGGGTTTGGTGGCGTGCTCCTGTAGTCCCAGCTGCTCAGGAGGCTGAGGCATGAAAATCGCCTGAACTCGGGAGGTGGAGGTTGTGGTGAGCCAAAATTGCACCATTGTACTCCAGCCTGGATGACAGAGTGAGACTCTGTCTCAAATATATATATATATATATTGTATTTTTTCACAGTTCTGTAGGCTATAAATCTGAATCAGAGTGCCAGCATGGATGGTTTCTGGTGAAGGCTGTTTTCCTGCCTTGCAGACATCCACCTTCTCACTGTGTCTTCACTTGGTGGAGACAGAGTGAGCTCTCTGGTGTCCCTTTTTATAAAGATACTAATCCTGGCTGGGCGCAGTGGGTCACGCCTGTAATCCCAGCACTTTTGGAGGCCGAGGCAGGAGGATCACAAGGTCAGGAGATCGAGACCATCCTGGCTAACACGATGAAACACCATCTCTACTAAAAATACAAAAAATTAACCAGGCTTGGTGGGCCTGTAGTCCCAGCTGCTCAGGAGGCTGAGGCAGGAGAATGGCGTGAACCCGGGAGGCAGAGCTTGCAGTGAGCTGAAATCATGCCACTGCACTCTAGCCTGGGCGACAGAGTGAGACTCCATCTTAAAAAAAAAAAAAAAAAAAAAAAAGAAAGATGCTAATTCTATTGGATCAAGGCCCCAACCTTATGACTTCATTTAACCTACTACAAAGACCCTATTTCCAAATACAGTCACATTGGGGGCTGGGTGTTGTCTTAGATTTTATTTAGCTCATGTTTCTGCAGACTGTGTATTCTTTTCTTGTAATTTTTAAATTTATTTATTATTTTTATTTATTTTTTTATTTTTATTTATTTATTTTTTTTTTGAGATGGAGTGTTGCTCTGTTGCCCAGGCTGGAGTGCAGTGGCGCGATTTCGGCTCACTGCAAGCTCCACCTCCCGGGTTCGCACCATTCTCCTGCCTCAGCCTCCCGAGTAGCTGGAACTACAGGCGCCTGCCACCACACCCAGCTAATTTTTTTGTATTTTCAGTAGAGACGGGGTTTCACCATGTCAGCTAGGATGGTCTCGATCTCCTGATCTTGTGATCCACCCACCTCGGACTCCCAGAGTGCTGGGATTACAGGCGTGAGCCACCGCACCCGGCATTTTTTTTTTTTGAGACGGAGTTTAGCTCTTGTTGCCCAGGCTGGAGTGCAATGGCGCTATGTCGGCTCACTGCAACCTCCACCTCCTGGATTCAAGTGATTGTCCTGCCTCAGCCTCCCGAGTAGCTAGGATCACTAGCACCTGCCACCAAGCCTAGCGAAATGTTTTTGTATTTTTAGTAGAGACAGGGCTCCATCATGTTGACCAGGCTGTCTTGAACTCTTGACCACAAGTGATCCACCCGCCTCGGCCTCCCAAAGTGCTGGGGTTACAGGCATGAGCCACCAAGCCACCATGCCTGGCCTGCAGGCTGTATATTCATCAGCAGCACTGGCATCTGCTTCTGGTGAGAACCTCAGGAAGCTTCCACTCTTGGTAGAAGGTGAAGGGAAGCCAGTGTGTCACATGGCAAGAGGGGGAACAAGAGGAAAGGAGGTGCCAGGCTCTTTTTAACAATCAGTTCTCACAGAGATTAAGAGTGAGAACTCACTACTGCAAGGGTAGCACCAAGCCATTCACGAGAGATCTGCCCCCATTACTCAAATACCTCCCACTAGGCCTCACCTCCAGTGTTGGGAATCAAGTTTCAACATCAGATTTGGTGAGGAGAAATATCCAAACTATATTGGGATTCAGCAGGTGAATTGGGGGGTGGGGGCACAGACATTCAATCCACAGCAGTTATTTTTGGTGAGCTACCATTTTCATTTTTAGAGAAACAATTCTTTTTCACTTATACTTAGCTAAATTTTCTGATATGAATAAAATTGCATATTTGTAATAAGAGTAAGAGTGACATACACAGATTTAGGAAGAAACACAAACTTTCCTGGTAAGCAAAAAACTCAACTGGTGAGAGGAGAAGTGCATGGGCCTATTAAGAAGTAGCCTACAAATTTCCTATAGCCTGCAATGTGCTGCACGTTCTATGTGAATTTGCTTTACAGAGGGAATGAGCAAGATTGATTAATCCAGGGTTAGATAAGTGGCCTCTAAAGTGAGCTTCTATTGCTCCACTATTTTTCCAAACTCCCAGGGTACAAACTCTCATAGATATATGTGTACTTGGATATAGGAGTAAATTCATAGGATAAACTTCTAGCTTTGTACCTTTCTTTCATTTGATTAAACATTATGAAATATGTACTAAATGATGAGCCCTGTTCTAAACCCTCAGGATTCAAAGATGAGTAACACATGGTTCCTGCTCTTGAAAAATTTCACTATAGCAGTATAATTCTCAAAGCTGCTCAAAGACACAATGACTACATATGGACATGTTAACAACAGGGCCACCAACTACAGTGTATACGTATGAGTCACCTGGGTGCCTGTAAAAATACTTATTCCCACTTTACTTCTGTGAACCTCCTCCCTAAAACCCATATCTAATCACAAGAAAAAGACAAATTCCAATAAAGGAGAATCCTACCTGACCAGGGCTTCTCAAAACTGTCAATATCATCAAAAACAAGGAAGGTTTGAGATAATGACATCATCCAAAGGAGCCTAAGACAACATGCCACCTAAATGTAAACATGGTACCCTGGACAGGATCCTGGAACATAAAAAGGAGACTAGGTAAAAAGGCAATCTGAATAAACTATGAACTTTAGTTAATAATAATTTATCAATATTGGTGCATTAATTGTAATGAATGTTCCATGAATGTAAGATGTTAATAGTAAGGGAAACTGTAGTGGGTAGGGAAGGATTTGGGAACTATACTCTCTGCTCAATTTTTCTATAATTCTAAAATTGTTCTAAAAAATAAAGTTTGGCTGGGTACGGTAGCTCACACCTGTAATCCCAGGACTTTGGGAGGCCAAGTTGGGCAGATCACCTAAGGTCAGGAATTTGAGACCAGCCTGGCCAACATGGTGAAACCCTGTACCTACTAAAAATACAAAAATTAGTGGGGCGAGGGGGCAGGCACCTTTAATCCCAGCTACTCAGAAGGCTAAGGCAGGAGGATCGCTTGAATTCAGGAGGTGGAGGTTGTAGTGAGGTGAGATCGCACCACTCCATTACAGCCTAGGTGACAGAGTGAGACTCCATCTCAAAAAATAATAATAAATAATAACATTTACTAGCCAGGCATAGTGGTGCCCACCTATCATCCCAGCTACTTGGGAGGCTGAGGTGGGAGGATCTCTTGAGCCCAAGAGTTTGAGGCCAGCCTGGGCAACATAGTGAAAACCTGTCTCTTAAAAAAAAATTAATTTAAAATTAAAAAAATAAAGTTTATTGATTTAAAAGTATGTGTATTCTTGTGCTCCACCCCTGGATTCAATAATTCAGAGATGACTGGAACTCTAAATTATTGTATGAGGTAGGGAATTCACACAACACTTTGAGAAATACTGCAGATTTAGAGTAATGTAAGGTTCCACAGAAATTGGAGGTCCTAATGAATGACAATATGAGTATGTTAGCAATAATGACTTATTCAGGCTGTCTCAAGTAATGGAGATTTATTACAAGGCTGTGTGAGTCAATAAGAGACAGAAGAATCCCACAGAAATCCTAGAGCAGTAATCAAAGCACAGACAAGTCCCATGCAGACAGAAATCACAGGATCCATCTCTAAAACCAGATTATTTTGGTAATCCCTCAGTTGCAGTTTGGAGACTCTTTAAGAGTGGTATTCCACCCTTAACATGATTCGGCTATTCTCTTGATCTCTACTTCCCTTGGGGGCATTTTCCCCTACTTCTGTCATTGCCAACTAAATTTTCTTCACATTTCCCAGTTCTGATGGCCAAACTCAGAAAGAATCCTATTTCTTTGTCATCATTTGTCACCTCCTGCTTGGGCAGCTTAGCTGCCTTTGGTCCACTGCAAAGCAGAAGAGGAATACAAGGTAATATGGAATAAAACTTCCATACTCAAGAAATAGCCCAGTCACTCTGCTTGGCTGGAAGTGTGGCCAGGGCAGTTTCTCATAGATTTGAGGGTGTGGCAGGCATTCCAATGTTTCCTGACTAATACTTGAAAGAGAAAGATACAACCTGAGGGTTGAGGGCTAATCATCTTTGTGCCAGTGATGCTAGTGATTTAGTTATTGAACACAGTAATTTCCAAAATACCTACTGAATCAGAATATCTAGGGCAGGTATCTAGGAATCTTTAAAATCATGAAGTGATAGAATCATTTTCCATGTGAGCTTGGAAGATAATTGAAGGGTTTTTGTTGTTGTTGACATTCTCTTTCTTTTTTTATTTTTATTTTTGAGACAGTGTCTTGCTCTGTCATCCAGGCTGGAGTCCAGTAGCACTATCTCGGCTTACTGCAACCTCCGCCTCCCTGGTTCAAGCAATTCTCTTGCCTAAGCCTCCTGAGTAGCTGGGACTACAGGCATGTGCCACCACACCAAACCAATTTTTTTTTTTTTTTTAGAGACAGGGTTTTGCCATGTTGGCCAGGCTGGTCTTGAAATCCTGACCTCAGGCAGTCCACCCGCCTCAGCCTCCCAAAGTGCTGGGGTTACAGGCCTGAGCCACCGTGCCCGGCCTTGTTGATATTCTCTCTTCAAGGGACCAGAGTGTTAAATATTTTTAAAAGCCTTCATTTCCTATTTTATGTTAGTATTATTGTTATAGAGAACAGAAAAAAAAGTTGCTGGACTAATATAAATTTAAATTGTTTTAAATTTATAAATGTATAGTTTTTTTAAAAAAATTACATTTATAAATTTATTTGAAGAGTTTACTGTGAAGTCAATAATTAAAAGCTAGTTAAATGTAAGCATTTGTTTAATGCTTCGGTTTCTAGTTTTCTGTCTAGGAGGTAATATGCCCAAGATTCTTTTTGAAAGTATCTGGCCAGTGTAGGACAACAAGACAATCTTTCAAGGCTCCAGGCTAGTTAACTGTTTCTCTGCTTTGCATTGACTCAAATTCTAAGAGCAAGACTGTGGTAAAATACAAAGGGAGAAACTAAACACACAAAAAGCAAAAGCAGGAGAGAGAAGAGGCTAGAAAGGAATGTTGAAGGAAGCAAACCATGTGCAGGGTAGGCTAATGATTCTGTAGTAAGAAATGCCCTCCAATTCTCAAGGACTTAGAACAGAGATTTCTTTTCCACTTATGCTACACTGGGACACTTGGTCATCATGGCAGAGAGAAAGCAGAACATAGCGAACCACTGGCTCTCCAAACTCCTGCCAGGGAGTTCACACACGTCCTGTTCACTCACATTTTACTGGTCAAAGCAAATTACATGACTGATTTCCTCAGGAAGGGGATATATAATCCCCGTTTAGGAGAAGCACCACATAAAGGGTACCAAATATGAGTCAGTAGTAGACAGAATACCTCATAAAGACCACAGTCTTATATGGGATTATTTAAAATTACATTTAACCTTATTTCAGCATGACTACTTTGACCAAATTATTTGCTGTCCCCAGCTTCAGCATAGGACATAAGAAAGTGAAATAATATCAAGTGCTACTGCGGCCACTGTTGTATGAATATGAGCGTAGTTTTGTGCCAACCTGTCCTCGAGATATTCTCTCTTATCTCATTGGCTCAACTTGAAGCGTGTTCCCTTTACTGAGGGGAATATTAGGCACTGATTTGCTTAGACAAATGAGCAAAAATCTCTATGAACACATTTTTCTACAGCTAGAACAATTTCCCCTTGATAGAATTTCATTGACTTTTCAGATAGGAAGTCATGTGGTGTCATGTGGGGCTTCTGCTTTATAAATGCTAAACATTTCTAGTATGATGTTAGTTCAGTCTTATGGACATTGTAGCTGTGTCTCCCAACTTGTGTTGCAGCCATGTGATTATAGGGTAGGGGATGATTGAGTTCTTATTTTCAGAGATTACCTCTGATTTGCTTATTTAATCAGGCAGTTCTATGGCTCTTTTCACAATAATTGCCAGGTCTAAGCAAATCGGTGCCTACTATTCCCCGGGCTAAAGGGGAATATGCCCAAATTGAGCCAGTGAGATATGAGAGGTTACCTGGGGGACTCTGAAAAAGAAGGTCCTGAATCCTTGTGAGAGAACTACCAGGTAGATAACCACCCATCGTGGTTTGCCTGGGACTGCAACATTTCCCTGAACATAGAAATTTCAGTGCAAAATCCAGGACAGTCTGGGCATACTGTGATAATTTGTCACAATAGCTACCGGAACTGAACGCTTTCTTTCCTTCTGGGCACTGTTATGTGCAGATGTGAAGCTTGTGACTTCTGAGGACATTTTGCCATAAAGAAGGAAGCTAGCCTTATAATGAAGTTCACAGAGCAGTAAGCTACTAGAAAAATGAAATTGGGTACAGTATTAGGCCATTCTTGTGTTGCTATAAAGAAATACTTGAGACTGGGTAATTTATGAAGAAAAGAAGTTTAATTGGCTCACGGTTCTGCAGGTTTCACAGGATGCATGGTGCCAGTATCTGCTCAGCTTCTGGGGAGGCCTCAGGGAGCTTTTACCCATGGTGAAAAGCAAAGAGGGAGCAAGCATGTCACACGTCAAAAGCAGGAACAAGAGGGAGTGGCAGGGTGGGGAGTTCTACACACTCAAACAACCAGATCTTGTGAGTTCTCACTCACTATTGCAAAGATAGCACCAAGCCATGAGGAATCCACTTCCATGACCAAACACCTCCCCTCCCACCAGGCCCCATCTCCAACATGTGGGTTACTTCTCAACATGAGATTTGCACGGGGACAAATACCCAAACTATATCAGGTACATTAAGATCTTAAAAATGCCCTGAATCAGGCCGGGTGCGGTGGCTCACGCCTGTAATCCCAGCACTTTGGGAGGCTGAGGCAGGCGATCATCTGAGGTCAGGAGATCGAGACCATCCTGGCTAACACGGTGAAACCTTGTCTCTACTAAAAATACAAAAATTAGCCGGGCATGGTGGCGGGCATCTGTAATCCCAGCTACTCGGGAGGCTGAGGCAGGAGAATCGCCTGAACCTGGGAGGCGGAGCTTGCAGTGAGCCGAGATCGAGCCATTGCACTCCAGCCTGGGCAACAGAGCAAGACTCCGTCTCAAAAAAGAAAAAATTCCCCTGAATCAAATTAGCTCTAAAGCTTCCTTTACCTCTGTCTTTTCAGTTAAATAAGCATATATATATCTTCTTTTTTGTTTATGCTAATTTGAATTTAGTTTCCGCTATTTACAACATAAGGATTTCTTAGGGACACAGTCTTGTGGCAGAAATTACTAGTTGACCCTCAAAATCATTCTTCCTCTTTCAATGGTAACAGCATCCTCAACTTTTAAGTGGATATAACTGCCCAGAATATAAATACATCTCCAAGTCTTTCTTGTGGCAAGGTGTAGCCTTGTGAGTATGTTCTGGCCAAAAAGATATAAGCAGAAATATTATGTACAGCTTTCAGGACGTGTCCTTAAAAGCACACAGAAGAACTGTGTGCTTTCTCCTTTACCCTTCCTTCTTCCTGAGATGGCTGGAGCTATGTTACAACCATTTTAGATCATGAGAGAAATAGGAAGAAATCAAGGTCACTCATGGCAGAACATCAGAAAGAAGGAACCTGGGTTTCTGACACAATGAAGCACCATATCCAACTTGGGGCACTTACTTCCTACTTTATGTAAGAGAAAAATAGACATATATGATGTAAGCTACAGTTATTCTGGGTTTTTCTTTTTTCATCATTCAAAGCTGAGCCAAATCCTAGCTAACACTAAACCTTATATATGTTTCATTATGTACTTTATTTAAAAAAATTTTTTTTAGACAGGGTTTCAGTCTGTCACCCTGGCTGGAGTGCAGTGGCACCATCATGGCTCACTGCAGCCTCGACCTCCCAGGCTCAAGTGATCCTCCTGCCTCAGTCTCCTAAGTAGCTGGGACTACAAGTGCACACCACCATGCCCAGTTAATTTTCTTTTTTTTTTGTAGAGACAGGGTTTCACCATGTTATCCAGCTGGTCTCGAACTCCCGAGCTCAAGCAATCTGCCTGCCTCAGCCTCCCAAAGGGATAGGATTACAGACATGAGCTACTGCACCTAGCCTCACCATGTACTGTTTGCTGTTGTTGTTGTTGTTTGAGACAGAGTTTCACTCTTATCACCCAGGCTGGAGTGCAATGGTGTGATCTTGGCTCACTGCAACCTCTGCCTCCCAAGTTCAAGCAATTCTCCAGCCTCAGCCTCCCGGGTAGTTGGAATTACAGGCGTGTGCCACCATGCCCGGCTAATTTTGTATTTTTAGTAGAGACAGGGTTTCTCCATGTTGGTCAGGCTGGTCTCGAACTCCCAACCTCAGGTGATCCGCCCGCCTTGGCCTCCCAAATTGCTGGGATTACAGGCGTGAGCCACCACACCCGGCCCTCACAATGTGCTTTCTTATAAGTCAAACTCTACCAGGTAACTTATAAATCGTAAATGAATCCCACTCCAAATTTCTGAATTATTCCAGTTTTTATGTGACATTTTTGATGGGATAAATGAGCATTAGTAGTAAATGTGCTATATTGAAAGAGAAACACAAAAAATGGGAGAATGAACATGAATGTATTATTTTTCTAATATATTGAGTGTGGGAGTCTTAAACCTTCCAATTATTAAAAGGGTCAATGATGGATCCAGTAGTTTAAATTATAATGTTAATATTTGGGCCTGGAAATATATTTTTAAATTATTTATATTCAATCAGCTTTAAAATATTGTAAAACTAGAAAACTGTAATTCAAATTATCTTCTTGTAACATCACTGCTTTAGGAAGTTTCTAGTTCCAAGTAAGATGGAGTGAGCAAATCCCAACCTATCTCTCCTACTGAATGTAGCTATTAACCTGGAAAGAATGCATGGCTCCCAAACTTGAGGACTGAAAAGTAAATCGAAACAGAAAGGTTGGAGAAGAAGGCATGAATATGAAGTACCACTGAACATGCAGAGAGCTTACCATTTTTTCCCCTCTGATATCCCTAGTCTGGACTTGTGCAGCCCAAAAGCCTGAAGTCCAAATCAGTGTGGACAGAAAGAGCTCCAGGAGAAGGCTTCTAGATCTGGCTTGAGGGGTGGAAAAAGAGTTTCCTAATATACAGACAAAGTGGGGGAAATCTCATGTGCTTTGTTTTTTGTTTTGTTTTGTTTTTCTTTTCTCCATTCTCTAGCACCCAAACCTCAAGTAATCCTATAAAAGCAGAAGTGAAAATGACATTAATGGTAAGAGGAGCAGGCAGGTGCCTAAAACTTTGAGAAAAGAGAACTTTCCTCTCTGATCAGAGGTGCTGTGTTCCCAAAAATCAGAGTAGGGTAAATGGCAAACCCCCACTGCTTTCTTTTTTCATCTCTGTCCTCCCACTGCCTCGCTCCAGACATAAGCGTAGTTACGGAAAGTGAACAGAAAAGTAGCGTATGTACTTGGCTGGGCACAGCAGCTCATTCCTATAATCCCAGCACTTTGGGAGGCCGAGGTGGGAGGATCACTTGAGCCCATGAGTTCGAGACCAGCCTGGGCAACACAGTGAGACACTGTCTCTACAAAAAATACAAAAATCCGTTGGGTGTGGTGGTGCGTGCCTGTAGTCCCAGCTACTCAGGAGGCTGAGGTGAGAGGATCTCTGGAGCCCGGAGGTCAAGGCTGCAGTGAGCTGAGATTGCACACCTCAGCCTGGGCAACAGAGAGAGACTCTGTCTCAAAAATAAAATGAAAAACAAAACCCAAGTTTTCTGATCAGAGAACTATAAAAGGGAGCCCCAAGGAATTGGGATAAAACTAGGAAATTGAGTAGAGGAAGGAGCAAAAGTTTATGATTTCTGAGGTAACTCCCAAGCTGTACATGTGTGGATCTGATCCTCAACACTGTACCACAGGCTGTGAGAACTGAACTACACAGTTCCTGCCTCAGACCTTGACTGACCACTGGGTCAAGAACATTCAGGACTGATCCAAATAACACTGCAAAGCCTTTAAAAACAGAACTGATATTAAAATTACAACCTAGAGAAGTCTAATTGGAGTTTACAGTCTAATCCCAACCTGACTGATTATGGCTAACACAAAAATGTCAACATTCACTCCAGGATTTAAACAAAACCTCTAGTCTCGTAGCATAATATTCAAAATATCCAGGATACAATCTAAAATTACTCAGCATTTGAGAAACCAGAAAAATCTAAACTGGGAAAAGATAATTGATAGACACTAACACTAAGATGACACAGATGTTGGCATTATCTGACAAAGACATTAAAGTAGGTGTTATAAAAATATTCCAAAACATCCTTGAAATAAATGAAAACATAAAAAAAAGAAAGTCTTGGCAAAGATTTCCCTTTTTTTTTTTTTTTTTTTTTTTTTTTAGGACAGAGTTTTACTCTTGTTGCCCAGGCTGGAGTGCAATGGGGCAGTCTCAGCTCACTGCAACCTCCGCCTCCTGGATTCAAGCAATACTCCTGCCTCAGCCTCCTAAGTAGTTGGGATTACAGGCACCTGCCACCAAGCCCAGCTAATTTTTGTATTTTTAGTAGAGATGGGGTTTCACCATGTTTGTCAGGTTAGTCTCAAACTCCAGACCTCAGGTGAGGCTGCCCACTTCAGCCTCCCAAAGTGCTGGGATTACAGGCGTGAGCCACCACACCTGGCCATGATTTCCTATTTCTATTGTATTCAGTTTTTCCATTTGAGAACTGAAAAATACAATAGCCAAAATTTAAAACCCACTGGATGGGCTCAGAACAGAATGGAGATGGCAGAGGAAAGAGTCAGTGACCTAGAAGGTACATAATAGAATTACTGATCTGAACAACTGAGAGAAAAAATTACTTAAAAAATAGGAAGAACAGAGCCTTGGGGATCTGTAGGATAGTACTAAAATGCCTCACGTAAATTATTAGAGTCCCAGAGAGGAGAAAGACTGTGATGTAGAAAAAGGTTTTTGGCCAGGCACGGTGGCTTACGCCTGTAATCCCAGCACTTTGGGAGGCCGAGGTGGAAGGATCACCTGAGGTCAGGAGTTTGAGACCAGCCTGGCCAACATGGTGAAACCCCATCTCTACTAAAAACACAAAAATTAGCTAGGTGTGATGACACGTGTCTGTGATACCAGCTACTTGGGAGGCTGAGGCAGGAGAATCACTTGAACCTGGGAAGCAGAGTTTACAGTGAGCCACGATCATGCCTGTTGGGAGCTGAAAAGGACAAAGAGATCGTGACCACTGGAGGCTATATGATCAAACAGCAAACTGTTTATCATGAATGCAGGATGTGAGCAAACTCACGACTGTGCCTGCTGCCAGGAGGTTTGCTGAGGGCAATCACTCCCTGGCACCGGGCTCCTTGAAGTTATCTACTGGGACAACTAGAGCCTACTGTTCAAGGAATGTGGTCTTGCAAGCCTACTCTAGACCGAGCAGCTGACCTCTTCTTCCACACCCCCACTTGTCTCTATCTCTTTTGCCAAATAAATACGGAGGGCTGTTCAGGACCCTTGTCCACTACAGGCAAGGTGCCCTCTGACCCCTTCTTCCAAATATAATCTTTTGTCTTCGTCTTTATTCCCACGTTCGCCTGCCTTTGTTCAGTCCACCACGGATTGAGATCGGTTACAATGCCACTGCTCTCCAGCCTAGGCGACAGTGAGACTCCGTCTCAAAAAAAAAGAAAAAAGAAAAAGGCGTTTGAAGAAATAATGCTTGAAAACTTCTCAAATTTGTTGAAAGACAAACATACAGATTCAAGAATCCCAACAAATCCCAAAAGGATAAACCCAAAGAAATCCATCCTCAGACACGTCATAATCAAACTGCTGGATAAATAAACACACATGAAAAAAAATTTTTTTTAAGAGACAAGGTCTCACTCTGTTGCCCAGGCTCATAGCCTCAACCTCCTGGTCTGAAGAGATCTTCCAGCCAAAGCCTCTTGAGCAGCTAGGACTACAGGTGGATGCCATCATGCCTGCATGATTTTGTACTTTTTTTTTTTTTTTTTTTGTAGAGGGAGGGTCTCACTATTCTGCACAGGCTGGTCTCCAACTCCTGACCTCAAGTAATCCTCCCACCTCAGTCTCCTAAAGTGCTGGAATTACAGGTGTGAGCTACTGCACCCAGCCAAAAAAACTCTTGAAGGAGATTTTTTCCAGGAATCTAGAGGGGAAAAAATGCATTACATAGGGGAAAAATGAAGATGGATTTTTTTAATAAAAAATCATGAAGACCAGGAGAGGCAGAGAATTTATAAAGTGCTGAAAGATTTTAATATTCCCCTCAATTTTATAGCCAACAAAAATCCTTCAGAATTGAGGTGAAATAAAACAATCTCAGATGAAAGAAAATTAAGAGGATTTGTGGCAAGAAGACCTATGCTTAAAAAAAATAAGTGCTAAAGGAAGTTTTCAGGCAAAAGGGAAATTATACTAAAAGGGAACTTAGAACATTAGGAATAAAGAGGCTGGGCGCGGTGGCCCACACCTATAATCCCAGCACTTTGGGAAGCTTAGGCGGACAGATCACTTGAGATCAGCAGTTCAAGACCAGCTTGTCCAACATGGTGAAACCCCATCTTTACTAAAAATACAAAAATTAGCTGGGCATGGTGGTGCATGCTACTCGGAGGCTGACGTGGGAGAATCACTTGAACCCAGGAGGCCAAGGTTGCAGTGAGCCAAGATCACACCACTGCACTTCAGCTGGGGCATCAGAGTGAGACCCTGTCTCAAAAAAAAAAAAAAAAATGAAGAGCAGCAGAAATGGTAAATATATAGGTAAATATAATGAATTATTCTTCTACGCTTGTAGTTCTTTAAAATATGTTTGATGGTTAAAAGCAAAAATTATAACAATGTCTGATAGGGTTTTCAGTGATTACAGATGTCATACATAAGACAGCAATAAAATATGGAGGGGAACTATACAGTGGTAATGTTTTTAAATCTCACTTATAGTGGTAATATATTAATTTTAAGTAGATATTGAAAAGTTATATATGTTGCAATCCCTTGAGCAATCATTTAAAAATTGGACAAAGACATATAGTAAAAATGTCAATACACAGATTAAAATGGAATACTAGGCCAGGCACGGTGGCTCACGCCTTTAATTCCAGCACTTTCAGAGGCCAAGGTGGGCAGATCACCTGAGGTCAGGAGTTCAAGACCAGCCTGGCCAATATGGTGAAACTCCATCTCTATTAAAAATACAAAATTAGCCGGGCGTGGTGACACACACTTGTAATCCCAGCTACTCTGGAGGCTGAGGCAGGAGAATCACTTGAACCCAGGAGGCAGAGGTTGCAGTGAACTGAGACCACGCCATTGCACTCCAGCCTGGGCAAAAAGAGTAAAACTCCTTCTCAAAAAAAAGGAATACTAAAAAATGCTCAAATAAAACACAGAAGAATTCAGGACAGGGGAAACAAAGGAATGGAAAACAGAGGAACCAAACAGAAAACAAATAATAAAATGGTTGACTGAAACCCATATATCAGTAGTTATATTAAATGTAAATTACCTCAGTGCACCAACTAAAAACAGAGATTGTCTAAATGAACCTCAAAAAACCCATGACACAATATGCACTGTTAAAAGAAACTTATGTCACATATGATATAGAGATTAAATGTAAAGGAATGGAAAAAGATATAACATGCAAACTAATCAAAAGGAAACTTGGATGGCTATATGGATATAGGACAAGATAAACTTCAGAGCAAAAAAGTGACCAGGGATAAAGAAAGTCATTTCATAGCAATAAAGGAGTCCGTTCATTAAGAGGACATAAGAATTCCAATTGTTTATGCACCTAACAATAGAGCTTCAAAATACATTAAGCAAAGCCTGTAAGAAGTAAAAGAATAGACAAATCCACAATTATTGTTGGAGAATTCCACACTCCAGTCTTGCAAATAGATAAAACAGACAGAAAATCAACAAAAACGTAGAAGAAATATATATGGAAGAATTAAACTTCAAGGTCTAATACAATATAACACTTCACCCAACAACAGCAGAATACATATTATTTTAAGGGCACAAGGAGGATTAAAAACGATAGACGATGTACTGGATCATAAAACAAACAATAACCAATTAAAAAGAACAGAAAATAATACAAACTGTTGTCTAACCATAATGAAATTAGAAATCAATAACAAACAAGATAACAAGAAAATCTCCAAACAGTTGGATATTATACAATGCAATTTTAAATAATCCATGGATCAAAGAGGAAGTCTAAAAGAAAATTAGGAAATGTTTTGAAGTTTTTTTAAAAAAGAAAATACAACATATCAAAACTATGAGATGCAGCTAAAGCAGTGTTTAGAGGAAATTTTATAGCATTAAATGCTTATAATTAGGCCAGGCAGGGTGGCTCATGCCTATAATCCTAGCACTTTGGGGAGGCCCAGATGAGCGGATCGCTTGACCTCATGAGTTTGAGACCAGCCTGGGCAACATGGCAAAACCCCATCTCTACAAGAAATACAAAAATTAGCCAGGCGTGGTGGTGCATGCCTGTGGTCCCAGCTACTCAAGAAGCTGAGGTGGTAGGATGCCTTGAGCCCAGGAGGCAGAGGTTGCAGTGAGCTGAGATTGTGCCACTGCACTCCAGCCTGGGGGACAGAGCAAGACTCTGTCTCAAAAGTAATAATAATAATAATAATAATAGTAAATGCTTATATTAGAAAAGAAAGCTCTCAAGTCAATTACCTCAGTTTTCATCTTATGAAAACTAGGAAAAGGAAGAGCAAAATAACCCCAAAGCAAGCTGAAGAAAGGAAATAATAAAACTAAGAGCATAAAAATCAATTAAATTGGAAACAGAAAAATAGAGAAAAATTAAAAATCCAAAAGTTGGTTTTTTGAAATGATCAATAAAATTGACAAACTTTTAGCAAGACTGACAAAGAGATAATACAAATTACCCATACCCAGACTGAAAGAGGCCATATCACTACAAACTCTACAGACATTAAAAGGATAATAAGAGAACAATATAAACAACTTTATACACACAAACCGTATACACATAAACTCAACAACTTAGAAGGAGTGGACCAATTCCTCACCAACCACTGTTAAAAGAAAAACTTCAGCCAAATTAAATTTAAAGGTGTTTAATTGAGCAAAGAATGATTCGCGAATTGGGCAGCCCTCAAAATCACAGCAGATTAAGAGAGACTCCAGCGCAGCCATGTAGTGGAAGAAGATTTATGGACAGAAAAAGGAAAGAAAGTACAGAAAACGGAAGCGAGGTACAGAAACAGCTGGATTGGTTACAGTTCAGCATTTGCCTTATTGGAACACGGTTTGAACAGTTGGCTACATTTGATTGGCCAAAACTCAGTGACTGGCACAGGTGCGGGCTATGGTCAGTTTATACCTCCACTTGTTATACTTCACGATGTATAGAAAAACCTTTAGGTCGAACTTAAATATTCAAGGAGGCAGCTTTAGGCTAAACTTGATTTAATACCACAAACTACTAAAATTCACCCAAAATGAAATAGGAAGGGATGAAGAGGGAACGAACCCCACCTCATTTTATGATGCCATCATTAGGCTGATATTAAAATCAAATACATTACAGAAAAGAAAGCTACGCATTAATGTACCTTAATGACAGAAAAATCTTCAATAAAATTTAATTCAGTAACAAAAAATTGACCACATCATGACCAAGCAAGGATTATTTTGGGAATGTAAGCTGGTTCCATATTTGAAAATCTGTGTCGGCCGGGCGCAGTGGCTCACGCCTGTAATCCCAGCACTTTGGAAGGCTGAGGTGGGTGGATCACCTGAGGTCAGGAGTTTGAGATCAGCCTGGCCAATATGGCGAAACGCCGTCTTTACTAAAAATACAAACATTAGCCAGGCGTGGTGTTGGGCACCTGTAATCCCAGCTACTCAAGAGGCTGAGGTAGGAGAATCGCTTGAACCCGGGAGGAAGAGGTTGCAGTGAGCCGAGATCTTGTCATTGCACTCCAGCCTGGGAAACAAGAGCAAAACTCCCTCTCAAAAAAAAAAAAAGAGAGAGAGAGAAAAGAAAATCAATGTCATCTACCTTCTTAACAGCCTAAGGAAGGAAAACTACATGATCGTTAATTGATACATAATTACCAATTGTGTATCAATTGAGAAAAATAGAAAAAGGTAAATGCCAATTTATGATTGAAAGAAAATAAAACCACTCAGCAGACTAGGGATAGAAGGGACTTCCCTCAACATGATAGAGGGTATCTTCAAAAAAAACCTACAGCTAACATTATCCTTAGTGATGAAAGGCTGAATGCTTTCCCCCTAAGATTAGGAACAAGGCACAGCTGTCTACTCTCACCACTCCTACTCAACATGGTTATGGAAGTCCTAGCCAGTTAGCAAGATAAAGAAAGAAAAGGCACACAGATTAGAAAGAAGGAAAACAACAACAACAAAACCTTTCTTTATTTGCAGATGACATGGTTGTTTACAAAGAAAATCCAAAATAATCTGTCAAAAAAAATCTAGGACAAATAAGTGAGTTTAGCAAGGTTGCAGGATACAAGTTCAACGTACAAAAATCAATTGTATTTTTTTATTAAATTTTTTTAATTTAAAATGTTTAAGTGTTTAGTTATTTTCTAAAGCCAGGGTCTCACTCTGTCGCCCAGGATGGAGTGCAGTGGTGCAATTATAGCTCACTGCAGTCTCCAACTCCTGAGCTCAAGTGATCCTCCCACCTCAGACTCCCAAGGAGCTGGGACTACAGGCATCCACCACCATGTCTGGATAATTTTTTTATTTTTTGTAAAGGCAGGATCTGGCTATATTGCCCAGGCTTGTTTCAAACTCCTGGTCTCATGTGCTTCTACCACCTCGGCCTCCCAAAGTGCCGGTATTACAGGCGTGAGCTTGAGGCCAGGGGTTCAAGACCAGCCTGGGCAACACAGCAAGACTGTCTCTACAAAAAATTAAAAATTAAAAAAATTTTAAAAAAAGAACATTCCAGGAGAATCAGTGAATATGATTCCAATCTGAGGGACTAGGTAATATAATAGAAGAGACTTTGAGACAGATAGTTTTTAGGTTTAGGAGTAGGTCAGAGACCTAATGACAAGGACGTCCATCTGGGTGACACAGGGAGCAGCCAGACGCTGAAAGACAATGGGAAACAAGCAAATCTCTGGGTACTCGAGACCAGCCTGGCCAACATAGAGAAACCCCATCTCTACTAAACATACAAAAAATTAGCCGGGCATGGTGGCACATGCCTGTAATCCCAGCTACTCAGGAGGCTGAGGCAGGAGAATCGCTTGAACTTGGGAGGCAGAGCTTGCAGTGATCCCAGATAGAACCACTGCACTCCAGCCTGGGCGACAAGAGGGAAACTCCGTCTCAAAAAAAAAAAAAAACAACAACAGTTGTTATGATTGTGGAACATGCAGTGGAAGTGAGATGTAACTTCTTTATAATAATAGCCTATGTGCACATTTTAAATGAAAAGTATGTATGGCTTCTATAATTATTTTCCTTTTTTCTATATTTGTTCTGATTATATTTATTGAAATGTAAAAATAAAATCAGCAACTGATGTACAATACATGAGAATCAAAGGAAAATCTTGTGGTGTTTCTGATGCCTCTTGAGCATTTCGAGATGTTTGGATAGATGTCTGAATTTCCATTTACAAAGTTAGATTATTATTCCAAAAATAGATTAGATTATTATTCCAAGAATAGATTAGAGAAATATTGTATTTTCAAAATACAGTATTTCTAGTGATTTGAAGTTTCTGGGTGAGTTTTTACAGTGCTTGAGGAAAGAATACATTACACGAGTCATAAAGGTTTACAGCATTAGCAAGCAAGTGAAAGCATCTTCACCTTATTGCTTCTATGCATGTGTTTTAAACAAACTGTCCTTATTTGATTAGTCATATTTGGAATCAAAATTTAGACAGCTCATTGCTAGACAGCAAATGTAGACCGGAGACCTTTTTTGTACAATTGAATGACATCAGAGCAGATTATTTTATCTATAGACCAAAAACAGCAACACCACTCTTAGCAGGCTGAGTTTGTTTGTTTGTGACAGGGTCTCGCTCTGTCGCCCAGGCTGGAGTGCAGTGGCACCATCTCGGCTCACTGCATCCTCCGCCTCCCGGGTTCAAGCGATTCTCCTGCCTCAGGCTCCCGAGTAGCTGGGATTACAGGCGTGAGCCACTGCGCCTGGCCCAGGCTGAGCTTTTAATTCTTTCCCTTTTCTGCACTAGCAAAGAGGCAAAAAAGATTGTTTTTTGTTTGTTTGCTTGTTTTTGAGACGGAGTCTCGCTCTGTCGCTCAGGCTGGAGTGCAGTGGCGCGATCTCGGGTCACTGCAAACTCCACCTCCCGGGTTCACGCCATTCTCCTGCCTCAGCCTCCCGAGTAGCTGGGACTACAGACGCCTGCCACCACGCCTCGCTAATTTTTTTTTTTTTTTTTTAAGTAGAGACGAGGTTTCACCATGTTAGCCAGGATGGTCTCGATCTCCTGACCTTGTGATCCGCCCGCCTCGGCCTCCCAAAGTGCTGGGATTGCAGGCGTGAGCCACTGTGCCTGGCCAAAAAAGTTATTTTATTTGTTGATGTTGAAGTATGATTCAAGACATATTCAAACTTCCCTTTATACTATCTCTACATATTAATAAAAATCTTTAAAATTAATAGCAGATATTGCAATTTGTAAAAGCATCAAATATTATGCCTTTGGTGATTTTAAATTATAGTTTCCCTGAATACTCAAATACTTAGCACAGATAGCTCCATGGAGATGACAAAATCCAGCTCAAACACAATTCAATTCCTTTGTTCTCCAGTGTGTGATCTGTTTCCATGGAAATTACATGTTGACCAGGAATTGTAAAAATACTATATGCAAACATATCTTAGAAGCAGACCTTTTTAGAGAATAATTGTGATTTACTTTGAGTCACTCCATTGAAACTGTTCAAACAATAGAAAATAAAACTGTATTTTTCTTCAGCAGAGACCCTTCTGCAATTTCCCTTAGCCCCATATGTTAATCTAATAGCATTGGAGATTATAGAGACTTTAATTTGCCTTTTGGTGAGAGTAAAATTAAATCTTAATGATTTAGGTAAATTTTTTCATCTAAAAAAGATTAAGAACTTAGTCTAAACAAGGTGTTGTTCTGGGTACTAAAAAGAACACAGAGCCATATACCAATACCATAATGGTGTAAAATGAGATGACTATGGTAAAGCTGATGATCAATGTTCTCTGGGAGTGTGAAGGAGGGTGGGAGATAAAGGAAGTCTTCTTGCATGACATGACATTTGAACTGGGTCTTGAAAATGAGAACGTGAGGCTGGGCATGGTGGCTCACGCCTATAATCCTAGCACTTTGGAAGGCTGAGGCAGGCGGATCACTTGAGGTCAGGAGTTCAAGACCAGCCTGGCCAAAATGGCGAAACCTCATCTCTTTTAAAAATACAAAAATTAGCCAGGCATAGTGGCACACACCTATAATCCCAGCCACTTGGGAGGCTGAGGTACAAGAATTGCTTGAACCCAGGAGGTGGCAGCTACAGTGAACCGTGATCGCCCCACTGCACTCTAGCCTGGACATCTGAGTGAGACTCTGTCTCAAAAAAAAAAAAAAAAAAGAGAGAGAGCTTGAGTAGAAGATGCTTCCTGGTGAGGGAAACCATCTGAGCAAAGGCATGGAGGTGGGAAAACCGAAGGCATATTTGCGGAATGCTGAGAAATCCAACTGGCTGATGTGTAAAGGACACTGTGGGAGAGAAGATGAAAATTCAAGGCCTGTGGCTAGGCCTTGAATGCCACGCTAATTTGGACACTATGCTCAAGAGCAGTATTGTTCTATTAGGGGATTATAATCTGGACTGTCAGAAGTTGAATATTAAATGATGAAAAAGTAAGGGAAGGAAATAGATCAGTACATTGAGAAGAGTGGCCCTGAAAGGAGGAAGAGAATGGAGAAATAGCTTGAAGGAATAGCCGCCTTGAAAGATGGTTTATTTGAGACATATGGTGGCTTAAAAATATGTCCACAAATTTTTTTTAAATTCCTGTCTTTAAGAGGCAGTGATGAATTCTGCTCCTTGGAATGTGGGCTGAATGTGGCAACTCACTACTAGCAAATAGAATGAGGCAGAAGTGACAGTGTGCCACTTCTGAGACTAGGTCATAAAAGGCACTGGGACTTCCTTCTTGCTTGCTTTCTCGGATCACTCACTCTGGGGAAGCCAGCTGCCATGTTGTGAGGATGCTCAACCTTGGAAGTGGATTCTCCAGCCCCAGTAAAGCCTTCTGATGATGACAGCCCTGGTTGACATCTTGATTGCACCCCGTGAAAGATGCAGAGCTGGAACCACCAGAAGCTAAGCTGATCTCCTATTCCTGACCTACAGAAACTGTGAGATCATGTGTTTGTTGTTGGATCTACTAAACTTTGAGGTAATTTTTGATGCAGTTAATAGATAACTAATGCAGGAGGTTGGAAAAGGAGAGTCTTTTTTTTTTTTGACAGAGTTTTGCTCTTGTTGCCCAGGCTGGAGGGCAGTGGCGTGATCTTGGCTCACTGCAACCTCCACCTCCCGGGTTCAAGCAATTCTCCTGCCTCAGCCTCCTGAGTAGCTGGGATTACAGGCGCACATCACCACACCCACCTAATTTTTGTATTTTTAGTAGAGGCAGGGTTTCACCATTTTGGCCAGGCTGATCTCGAACTCCTGACCTCAGGTGATCCACCCGCCCGCCTCAGCCTCCCAAAGTGCTGGGATTAGAGGCGTGAGCCACCGCACCCAGCTGTAAAAGGAGAGTCTTAAACATGCTTGTGGATTGAAAAGAAGGAGCCAGTGGAGACCAAGAGTGAAGATCACACAAGGAGAGGGGAAATCATAGTTAGGCCAAATTCTGGAGGAAGTTTCTAGGGGGTAGGATCATCAGTAAAGGGTGAAGTTATTTTTGGAAAGGAAGAGTGAGGATCAGAAAAATTTTCAGATTGGAAAAATGGAAGGTGATATCAAGTTCTTGGTTCCTTCATCAAAAGAGGAGATCACGTCTTCTGCTGAGATAAAGGAACCTCTGGGATCAAGAGCTCCGAGAGAGCAGAAAAAATTGGAAGAGCTACTGTGTGATATCACATAGACAATCAGATAAAGCAAAGAACACAATTCTCTCCAGCTAGGCTTAGCACCCTGGGAGAGTAAGCTGAGAAAGCAGACAGTGGAGCTTACCCAGGGGTGGGGATTGATAAGGCAGATATGAAAGATCAAGTGGGCAGAGGATTCTGAGATGCTAATGTAATTAAAGTGGCTGGGCATGAAGTCTAGACAGGGCACAAGGGCACCTGAAATTATAAGGAGTAATGAACTGAGAATATAAAAGGGCGGAACTTCCACAGCAACTATAATCTGTATGACACATCTCACGCTTTATTCATAAGCTCCCTTAGTATCATGAACTTTTTTAGCATGTATGCTTAGTTGCCCCAGTGAGATAATAAACTCAGGGTAATGACCTGAGTTCATACATTTTGTACCCTCTCAGAAGCTAGCAGTTTGCTTCATAAGGATTCATTTATTTGTTGAATCAATGAATAAAATCATTCTAGCATTGTGTGTGTATGTTCTACTGTTTTTTTCTTCCTTCACAATAAGCATCTGATTGAAGATAAAGATCTGCTCCTGTTAGATAGATAGTCAAAGTATTCCATCCCTGCCTCTAAGAGCCAGGGTTTCTGGATGTTTTTAAGAAGTATTATATAATTATTTAAAAAGGAAAAATACCCGATTGGCTAAAGACAATAAGCCTAATTATGCCTATGTGAAGCGACCTTGAAATAAACCTTTGGTGATTTCTTTTCAATCTGACAAAAACCAGAATAAAAGTGAAAAGGTTTAGAGGGAAATAGGAGACCAGCATTCTCCTGGAAAATCAGGGGAAGTGGAGGCCTCTATTTAGAGGAATCTTGCAGAAGCTTAGATCCACAGTGGGGGCTCTGAGAGGAGTGTCTGGTTTTTGAAGATTACTAGTACAAATGGCTCCTTAGCCTGAGTGGGCATCGATGTATCCTTTACCTGGCACACATTTTCTGTCATTCTGTAAAAAGTAGACCTGTTAAAGTCTATTAAGAAAAAATTGAAAATAAGTTTTTAAACTACTAGATAGAGTCATTGACTGTAATGATATATAGGTAGTCCTTCCAATTTTACCACCTGCTCTTCTATGTATTACACATTCACACCCCAAGCCACTTTTCACTCAGTTCAGGTTTTTCTATATCAGCTGATGAATTGATATTTTGAACTACAGTATGGTGATACAGCCAAAAGTTTCAGTTCAATTTTGGCAGTCACTAGCTTTGGTGATCAGTTTGTTTATGCAGTTATTTGAATGTTCGATTGCATTTTGCTCCTATTTTATTCATAAAATGAAGGGAAGTCAGCAGGCACAATGGCTCATGCCTGTAATCCCAGCACTTTGGTAGGCCAAGGCAGGTGGATCACCAGAGATCAGGAGTTCTAGACAAGACTGGCCAACATGGTGAAAACCTATCTCTACTAAAAATGCAAAAATTAGCCAGGTGTGGTGGCGGGCACCTGTAATCCCAGCTACTCAGCAGGCTGAGACAGGAAAATCGCTTGAACCTGAGAGGCGGAGGTTGCAGTGAGCTGAGGTCACACCACTGCATACTCCAGCCTGGGTGACAGAGGGAGACTCTGTCTAAAAAAAAAAAAAAAGAAAAAGAAAAGAAAGAAAGTAAAAACGAAAAACCGAAGGGCTGATACCAATGATGGCAAGTTTAGTTTTCATACACTTAGTATGATTGAGATAGAAATCATTTTACTATTAAAAAGAAACAGAATTCAGCTACAATCAGATGCTGATTTTCCTCATTGAAAAGGAAAAAAAAAAATCATTAGAAGAACACATACAAAGTGCTGGGATTAAATTACCAAAACCTGTACCTGAAACTGAGGTGTAATGAGAAATTTTATGCTGGGCACAGTGACTCACACCTGTAATCCCAGCACTTCGGTAGGCTGAGTCAGGAAGACCGTGTGAGCTCAGGAGTTGGAGAGCAGCCTGGGCGACATGGTGAAAACCTGTCTCTACAAAAAAAATACAAAAACTAGCTGAGCATGGTGGCGTGAGCCTGTATTCCCAGCTGCTTGAGAGACTGAGTGGGAGGATGGCTTGAGCCCTTTCGGAGGTTGCAGTGAGCCAAGATCACGTCACTGCACTCCAGCCTGGGCGACAGAGTCTCAAAAACCCATCTTAAAAAAAAAGAAATTGAACCCTCAAGGCTACTTCCAAACACAATGCCTTAATCATATTCAAGAGAATAACGATTTTTGCATGTTGGCACAACAGAGATTTCCATAATGTAACTTTAGACAGCTGTTTTCTCTTAATTAGTTTAGTAGGCCAAATATAAAAGAGTTTGTTTATGCAAACATTTTACAAGAAGTTGTGAAATCATGACACTGTGTTGTTGTGTGATTGATAAGGTCTTTATGCATTTATTTTGAAGCACAAAAGACTACATAAGTGGATGTCACAATGGGCAACTTCTTTTCTTCAGTGCCTCCATCAAATGCATAGAAAAGAGGCATGTTCAGCAAACCTGGATATTTCCATAGAGATGTAGGGCAGAAAATGCCAGGATAAATTTTACAAATCAACTAAACTGATAGTGCCATAAATAAGAACGGAGAAATGAAAATTACATATTTCTCAAGTCTCATACCAAATGCAAATGATGCTTTTTAAGTGCTTTAAAGACATCCCACTGGAAAATAGATCATGGTTTTATTTGCCTTCTTCCAATTAGAAAGATTGCTGCTTCATTCTGTATGTTGGTCCCCAGAGAGCTTACAATGGTGAGAGCATGGAAGGCAAAAGAATAGTCATCATCTGGAAAGCAGCTCAAAGTAGATGTTGTACAATGGAGCTCAGGCAAGTTCACAGCATCGTAGGTAAAGGAACAGGCTTTACTGGGAAACTTATAAGCTGGGGGTCTGCAAGAGAAGGCATGGGTGATATGCTGGTACCAGGGCTGTTACAGTAGGTAGCTAGTGAGGTATGGGCAGGGCAGGAAAGGGCTGCCCTCACACACACACCAGGAGTGTCCACGGACCATCAGGTGATGGTCAGGCAATTGTTAACTGTCTTTCTAAAGTAATAATTGGTCACAGCCCCCGCCAGGGAAAGGCAGTCTCCTAATAACTAGAAAATGCTTGGCCGGGCCTGATGACTATAATCCCAGTTACTTGGGAGGTTGAGGCAGAAGAATCACTTGAACCCAGGAGGTGGAGGTTGCAGTGAGTTGAGATGGTGCCACTACACTCCAGCCTGGGCAGCAGAGCGAGATTCCGTCTCAAAAAAAAAAAAAAAAAAAAAGAAAGAAAGAAAGAAAGAAAAGAAAAGAAAATGCCTGAAGGCTGGGCCTGGTGGCTCACGCCTATAATCCCAGCACTTTGGGAGGCTGAGGTGGATGGATCACTTGAGCCCACGAGTTCAAGACCAGCCTGGGCAACATGCCGAAATCCCGTCTCTACAAAAAATACAAAAATTAGCCGGAAATGGTGATACACACCTATAATCCCAGCTACTTGGGAGGCTGAGGTGGGAGGATTGCTTGAGCCTGGGAGGCCAAGGTTACAGTGAGCCGAGATGGCACCACTGCACTCCAGGCTGGGTGACAGAGTGAGACCCTGCCAAAAAAAAAAAAAAAAGAAAGATAAGGAAAAGGAAAGGAAAGGAAAAGAAAGAAACTGGTGATCAGCAGCTTCTCGCTAAGATCTCAGGAGTGGGAAGAAATAACATAAGACCCTGGAAGCATGCCAACACATAAAACCCCAAGTCAAGAGTTTAAACAGGCCGGGCACAGTGGCTCACGCCTGTAATCCGAGCACTTTGGGAGGCCGAGGCGGGCGGATCACGAGGTCAGGAGATCGAGACCACCCTGGCTAACACAGTGAAACCCCATCTCTACTAAAAAAATACAAAAAAAAAAAAAATTAGCCAGGCGTGGTGGCAGGCACCTGTAGTCCCAGCTACTCAGGAGGCTGAGGCAGGAGAATAGCATGAACCACGGAGGCAGAGCTTGCAGTGAGCGGAGATCACGCCACTGTACTCCAGCCTGGGTGACAGAGGGAGACTCCGTCTCAAAAAGAAAAGAGTTTAAACAGTGCACTTGGTCTCTCAAGTCGCCTGCTTGGCCCTCTTCCAAGTGTACTTTCCTTCCTTTAGTTCCTGCTCTAAAGCTTAATAAACTTTCACTCCTGCTCTAAAACTTACAACAATCTCTCCTTCGGCCTTATGACCCTCATTAGAATTCTTTTCACCTGAGAAGGCAAGAATTTCTTCTGCAAAGACAAGCAGATGTTGTACAACGGAGCTCAGGCAAAGTCACAGCACTGTAGATGCAGACCTGCAGGGAACTACCACCACTAACAGAGTGTTCTGTTGGACAGGTCATAGTGAGCATTCCAATGAAGGCACATTCCTCCCTTTTTGTTCTCTCTTTTTCAAGACCAAAACTTGAACATTCTTATCCGTGGGGTCCACATAGACAATGTGGCATCAGGCTGTCTGGATGTAGATGCCAAGAGTCAGGAGTTATCTGAGAAGGCCAGTTGCCTCTTATCTGGAAGTCTTGGGTGCCCACTGGAAGTTGCAGCCCTTCCAGCGGGGAGGGAGAAAGTCATGGGAAGCTGAGTTTGAAAGAAACAGGAAGGCACTGGGTTACAGCTCTTTCCTCATCCTGGAAGCCCAGAGTCATCTTCAGACTCTACTGTTTCACCACTGGCACTGGTCAGTGGCATCATCTTTAATATAAAAAGCCATAAAGGGTCCCAGTGTGATGGCTGATGCCTGTAATCCCAGCACTTTGGGAGAGCGAAGCAGGAGAGAATCACTGGAGCTCAGGAGCCGGAGACCAGCCTGGGCACCATGGCGAGACCTCCATCTCTATAAAAAAAAAATAAATAAAAAGTTAGCTGGGGTGCTGGAGGGCGCCTGTAATCCCAGCTACTCGGAGATTATCTTACCACTGCACCCCAGCCTAGGCAACAGAGTGAGACCCTATCTCAAAAAAAAAAAAAAGTCATAAAATTTAGGATTCTATTTCTATGAGCATTTTAAGATGCCTTCTTCTTGTTCGCAGCTCCTAGCACCTTTTATTTTATTCTAGTTTAAGCAAAATTTAAATATTTTTAAGGTTGGCGGTTAAAATAACGAGGTCAGGAGTTCCAGACCAGCCTGGCCAATATGGTGAAACCCCGTCTCTACTAAAAATACAAAAATTAGCTGGGAGTGGTGGCGGGTGCCTGTAATCCCAGCTACTCGGGAGGCTGAGGCAGAAGAATCGCTTGAACCCGGGAGGCAGAGGTTGCAGTGAGCCGAGATCATGCCACTGCACTCCAGCCTGGGCGACAGAGAGAGACTTCGTCTAAGGAAAAAAAAAAAAATGTAAATATTTGTGCCTTCTGTCCTCTTTGGAGGCTGACACTAACTCATTGCCACCTGCTGGAGAAGAGAAGACGTGCAGCCAGACACCTGCCGCCTTGTCAGGCCTGTGTCGCCGCCTCCGCAGCCCGAAATCATCCTGCCCTCCAAGGCACCGCCCTGATGCTCCAGGTGAAGGCTGAAGAATGGTATGTGCGGTGGGCTCGGGCAGAGGCGGGTCCTCGCCCTTTCCATTCGTGTGAAGTGTGGTGTGTGTGACCTGCACCCATCCCTTTACTGTTGGGGGTGGGCACCCCGGCGAGCCGCAAAACAGCAGGCGGACTCCCCTACTGGAGAGAAGCCGGGGAAGTGCAATGGTAAGAGAAGCGGCGGCCACACCTGCTGCTGTGAGGATCTGAGCAGGGTTGGTTTTCTGTTTGTGCGCGCGCGCGCGCGTGTGTGTGTGTGTGTGTGTGTGTGTGTGTGTTTTAATTATACTTTAAGTTCTGGGATACATGTGCGGAACCTGCAGGTTTGTTACATAGGTATACATGTCCCATGGTGGTTTGCTGCACCCATCAACCAGTCATCTACATTAGGTATTTGTCCTGATGCTATCCCTCCCCTAGACCCCACCCCCGGACAGGCCCCGGTGTGTGATGTTCCCCTCCCTGTGTCCATGTGTTCTTATTGTTCAACTCCTGCATATGAGTGAGAACCTGTGGTGTTTGGTTTTCTGTTCTTGTGTTAGTTTGCTGAGAATGATTGTTTCCAGCTTCATCCATGTCCCTGCAAAGGACATGAATTCATCCTTTTTTACAGCTGCTGTTTTTTTGTTTCGTTTTGTTCTGTTTTGTTTTTTGAGATGGAGTCTCGCTCTGTCGCCCAGGCTGGAGTACAGTGATGCGATCTCAGCTCACTGCAACCTCCGCCTTCAGGGTGCAAGCGATTCTCCTACCTCAGCCTCCCAAGAAGCTGGGATTACAGGCTCCCGCCACCACGCCCAGCTAATTTTTTTTTTTTTTTTTGTAGAAGCAGGGTCTTACTTTGTTGCCGAGGCTGGTCTTGAACTCCTGGCGGGGGTACTCCGCCTGCCTCAGCCTCCCAAAGTGCTGGGATTACAGGCGTGAGCCACGGTGCCCAGCCTGGAGCAGCTTTGCTGTGTTTCTATAGCGTGTGAACAGGTGAAGTTTACTTATTTAGACTAATGTCATATGACCCTAGGAATAAAAATTAGAGAAAGCAATTTGCAAGCCTGCTCTTATAGGTATAAAATTAGGCCTATAAGCAAGAGATTTGAAAACTCGTTCACCACAGACCACTGACATTTTTCATGGCTCCAAGAAAGTATTTAGATGTATTAAATACCTAAGTTGTTTGTTTCAAGAATATCACTAGGGCTGCTGGCCGTGGTGGCTCACGCCTGTAATCCCAGCACTTTGGGAGGCTAAAGTGGGTGGTTCACTCGAGGTCAGGAGTTAAGAGGCCAGCCTGGCCAATATGGCAAAACCCTGTCTCTACTAAAAACACAAAAATTACGTGGTGGCTGCGCATCTGTAATCCCAGCTACTCGGGAGGCTGAAGCAGGAGAATCACTTGAACCTGGAGTTGGAGGTTGCAGTAGGGGAACCTGCTCAGGGAAATTGTTTTTCAAATCCATCCACTTCTTTTCTTCCCAACTGAGTCCTAGTTCAGGGAACCACACTCTCTCCCATGGATCTGCCTCTCCCTACCCTGAGGGGTCTCTGCTTCCAGGCTTGCCAGCATCTGAGCCATTTGACAGCAACTAGAATGATCATTATAAAATGCAGATCTGAGTATGTCTTTGCCCTGCTTGAAAATCCTTCAATGGCTTGGTGTGGTAGTGCACACCTGTAATCCCTACTATTTGGGAGGATGAGGTGGGAGGATGGCTTGAGCCCAGGAGTTGGAGGCTGCAGTGAGCTATGATTGCCACTGCACTCCAGCCTGGGTGACAGAGTGAGGACCTGTCTAAAAGAGAAAGAAAGAGACAGAGAGCGTGAAAGAGAGGTGGGAAGGGCAGGGAGAAGAAAGAAAGGGGGAGAGAGAGACAGAAAGATGAGAGAAAGAAACAAAGAGAGGGAGGGAGGGAGAGAGGGAGAGAGGGAGGGAGGGAGGGAGGAAGGGAGGAAAGAGGGAAGGAAGGAAGAAAGAGGAAGGGAAAGAAAAGGAATAGAAGGAAGGGATCCTGTCATTGTTATGGAGTCCAAACCCTCTAATAAGTTTATGGGGTCACTCTGGGGCTGGCCCAGCCTCTTCTTTTAACCTGGTGCTTGTGCCATGCGGCCTCCCTTTCTCAAGCACTATCACTTCTGGGCCTTCATACACACCCCCTTCCCTCATGCAGTCACTTTTGGAGGAAAAGGTTTTTTTTTCCTTTTTCAGGCCTCAGCTTCCTTTTGGAAGAGGCCCCTAGTCTCCCTGAGACTGGCTGGGTTCTGCTTCACTCTCACAGCCCAGCCCAGCGTAGCCCAGTCCCACGGACCATTCACAGCCCATGAGAAGTTGGGTCCTCTCTCCATCCCCTTACACTTCAGGCTCCCTGAGGGCAGGACCGGGTCTTGTTGACTTTTGTATCCCAGTGTCTAGTGGGCCTGGTCCATAATAGGTGTTTAGAAACTAGGAACCTGTGGCCGGGCGCGGTAGCTCACGCCTGTAATCCCAGTACTTTGGGAGGCCGAGGCGGGTGGATCACCTGAGGTCAGGAGTTCGAGACCAGCCTCAACATGGAGAAACCCCATCTCTACTAAAAAAAAAAATACAAAATTAGCCAGGTGTGGTGGTGCATGCCTGTAATCCCAGCTACTCGGGAGGCTGAGGCAGGAGAATTGCTTGAACCTGGGAGGTGGAGGTTGCGGTGAGCCAAGATTGCGCCATTGCATTCCAGCCTGGGCAACAAGAGCAAAAAACTCCGTCTCAAAAAAAAAAAAAAAAAAGAAAAAAAAGAAAAAGAAACTAGGAACCTGTTCATCAGTGAGAACACATGGACACAGGGAGGGGAACAACACACACTGGGGCGTGTGGGGGGCGCTGGGAGAGGGAGGGGCTTAATACCTAGGCGATGGGTTGATGGGTGCCGCAAACCACCATGGCACACATTTACCTATGTAACAAACCTGCATGTTCTGCACATGTATCCCAGAACCTAAAATTAAATTTAAAAAAAAATATAACCCATTCATGTTGCATGAATAAGTGAAGTGGCATATTTGAAACATTTTTAATTCCCAAGAAAAAATGTGTGTGCTATCAATTTTATGGACTAAATTAGAATCAAATTCTTTAAAAGTAGGTTTTCTGATAAAGCAGAAATTCCCAATTTACTGTCATGGTTTGATTTAAAAAAAAAAAACTGATGTGAGAAATGAAATTAAAATTTCGGCCAGGTGTGGTGGCTCATGCTTGTAATCCCAGCACTTTAGGAGGGCAAGGCAGGAGGATCACTTGAGCCCAGGAATTTGAGACCAGCCAGGGCAAAATAGCGAGATCTTGTCTCTACAAAAAATAAAAAATAAAATAAAATGTTCCCCCAAATCTGTTATAAATGAGATAAGACTCATGAGAATCATTCAACTCTTTCTTTTCTTAGACCTGACTTTCTCAATAGAATATATATTACTTAACAATGAGAGTTTTTACGAGACTAAAGTACTATTCTGAAAAATAGGCTGGGCGCGGTGGCTCACGCCTGTAATCCCAGCACTTTGCGAGGCCGACGCAGGGGGATCACGAAGTCACGAGATCGAGACCATCCTGGCTAACACGGTGAAACCCCGTCTCTACTAAAAATACAAAAAAAGTTAGCCAGGCATGGTGGCGGGCGCCTGCAGTCCCAGCTACTTGGGAGGCTGAGGCAGGAGAATGGCATGAACCCGGGAGGCGGAGCTTGCAGTGAGCCGAGATCGCGCCACTGCACTCCAGCCTGGGCGACAGAGCCAGACTCCGTCTCAAAAAAAAAGAAAGAAAGAAAGAAAGAAAAATAAGTGTGACTTTGCACTGATTAAATTTGGCCATAGTTAATTAATCCATAATATTTGATATGGTTTGGCTGTGTCCCCACCGAAATCTCATCTTGAATTGTAGTTCCCATAATCCCCACGTGTGATGGGAGGGACCCAGTGGGAGATAATTGAATCACGGGGGTGGTTAGTCCATGCTGCTGTTCTTGTGATAGTGAGTGAGTTCTCATGAGATCTGATGGTTTTATAAGGGGCTTTTCCCAATTTGCTCAGCACTGCTCTTTCCTGCTGCCATGTGAAGAAGGATGTATTTGCTTCCCCTTCCACCATGATGGTAAGTTTCCTGAGGCCTCCCCAGCCATGCGGAAGTGTGAGTCAATTAAACTTCTTTCCTTTTGTAATTACCCAGTCTTGGGCAGTCCCTTATAGCAGCATGAGAATGGACTAATACAATATTCTTTCCTATTAAGGAAAACTTTATTTGAATAAAGTTGTAGAACACTTTTTTTTTTTTTTTTTAAGGAGTCTAAAAGCAGGGCAAGTTTAAATTCTGGACCTCCAAACCAGATTTCAGAAAGACTTAATTGTGCCAAAATGATCTTATTGTTAACAGGGGTTGTTTGTCCCTTCATTCTAGGGGCTCTCAAACACATCAAAGCCTGCTAAGTCTCCAATTCTCCCTGTGAAGCAAGACACCCCTGTGTTCAGTGGCATTTGGCAAGGATCCTGAGGTCACAGCCTGGTTTTGTGATGTGGTGATAATGACTCTAAGTAGTGAACGCCAAAGATTTTATATTCTGCCTGCAAATCATGATGGGTTCTAATGACACAGCATATAAAAGTTCTCAAGTATTGCTTTGCCACCTCCACTGCTCATTAACTTAACTTGGTAGGAGTTTCTTGATGGAAGACAATCAAACATTTTTATGAATGAGTCACAAATACTATCACACTGATTCTTTGGCAAATATAATTCTTATTGTTTTATAAGAAAACAGTCATCACCTGCAATAGACTGATGTTTGTGCTCTCCTCACCCCCAACCAAATTTATATGTTGAAATGTTGAAATTCTAACCCCTAGTGTGTATCAGGAGATGGGACCTTTGGAAGGAATTAAGGTCATGAGGGTGGAGCCTTCATGAATGGGATTAATGTCCTTACAAAAGGGGACCCCAGAGAGCTCTCTGGCCCTCCTTCTGCTATGCAAGAATACAGCAAGAAGATGGCTGTGTCTGAACCAGGAAGTGGACCCTCAGACACCGACTTTGCTAGAGCCTTGCTCTTAGACTCCCCATCCTCCAGAACTATGAGAAATAAATCTGTTGTTGAAGCCACTCAGTCTATGGTATTTTTGTTACAGCATTCTGAACAAACTAAGACATCATCTTTCTTAGTTTTCCAGAAATAAACATGTTTTCCAAGGACAGAAAAGGACAAAAGAAGAAAGCAAAAGATACCTCCTGGTATTCTCCTGGTAGGAATTTTCCTCCAGCTACAAAAACATTAGTGTAGTGGGCTGAACAATGATCCCCTAAGATAGCAGGTCCTAATCCCTGATATCTTTGGAACCTGAAAATGTTACCTTATTTGGAAAAGGCTCTTTGAAGATGTGATTTTTTTTTTTTTTTTTTTTCAGATTTCTTTCTAGATGGGGAGATTATCCTGGATTATCCAGGTGGGTCCTAAATGCCATCACATGCATCTTTGTAAGAGATAGGCAGAGGGAGATTTGAGACAGACATGGAAGAGGTAATGTGAAAACAAAAGCGAATATTGGAGTGATACTTCCACAAGCCAAGGAATGCCAGCAGCCATCAGAAGCCAGAAGAGGCAAAAAGAATGAATTCTCAGCTGGGTGCGGTGGCTCATGCCTGCAACGTCAGCACTTTGGGAGGCCAAGGCAGGTAAATGGCTTGAGCCCAGGAATTCAAGACCAGCCTTGGGCAATATGATGTAACCCTGTCAGGAGGTCAGGAGTTCAAGACCAGCCTGGCCAATATGGTGAAACCTTGTCTCTACTAAAAATACAAACGTTAGCTGGGCGTGGTGGCACATGCCTGTAATCCCAGCTACTGGGGAGGCTGAGACCCGAGAATTGCTTGAACCTGGGAGGCAGAGGTTGCAGTGAGCCGAGATCATGCTACTGCGCTCCAGCCTGGGTGAGAGAGTGAAACTCTGTCTCGTAAAATAAAATAAAATAAAATAAAATCAACTGGACTTCAGGGAAACAGGTCTGTAGCAAACTGCTCAAATCCTAATGCAATGTTGTAACCAGAGCACTAACAAAAACAATCATAATGCTGATAAAAAGAAAAATATATATATATATATATATATATATATATATATATATATATATGAGCCCATTCTATCTGTGCTTGCACGTGCACCCACCTTCATTGTCAGTCAGCCTTTGCAGCATCAAACCGTTGGGCTCACACTGCCTCCTCTGAGATGTAGACACGTGAGGGAATTAGAGATCATCTTCACTGGGGAAAAAAAGGCTTCTGGAATTAAATGAATGATATGTACACGTAAATTCTCCAGCTGCACTTTTACCAGATAATTTCACTTTGGGGGAAAACTCGTGGTCCTTAAAGTCACTATTTTGCCACTACTTGCACAAAAGGAAAGTATTTCTTCAGGATTCATTTTTTTCCTTTAAGATCTTCATAAATTGCTTCAAAATATTAATGTGCAATGAAAAATAGCATAGAAACCAAAGTGACTTCCATTTTATGCTGTCCTTAGTGCCCTAGTTACCAATTTACATGTGACCTATTATTACAGAAACATATGTCATAGAAGAAAGAACCGTGTTCAGGAGGTTAGTCAGGAGAAGATTTTGTGTAGCAATGATCTTGTTACTTGGTTTTATTGGAGCTGTACAAAAGGCACAAAAATGGAAATACTGAATGTATCAGTCAGCATTGCGTCTGCATGCATGTAAACAGAGACCCAATTACCATGTCTTTACCAAACAGGGATTTGTTTTCCCACATGGTCAGGATTCAAAGGTGGGCAGGCCAGGCTGCTGCAGCTGCTCTAGGGACCCAGGTTCCTCCTAGCTCCCGGTACCGTCGTTAGATTGTTGCTTTCATCTTCATGGTGGCAAGACAGCTCCTTGACCATCAAGCATCGTGTCCATGAGTCAGGCAGGAGGAAGAAGGGAAGGACAATGGGCATGTTCCTGGAAGCACCAACAAGCCACTGTTTGAGAGCTGAGAGTTGGCCAGATCATGTCATAAAGTAACCCCAACTACAAGAGAGGCTGGGCATTCAATATTTTAAGTGGGTAGACTGTGCCCGAATAAAATTGGATTCTGTGAGTAAATACAATGGGAAAATGGCTATTGGCAAGCAGCTGGCAGTGTCTGCCACATTGGCATAAAATGTGTCTTAAAGATGCTCATTATAAATCTGATATTTATTTATTTTTTTGAAATGAAGTCTCACTCTGTCACCAGGATGGGAGTGCAGTGGCGCAATCTCAGCTCACTGCACACTGTATCTCCCTGGTTCAAGTGATTCTCCTGCCTCAGCCTCCCAAGTAGCTGGGATTACAAGCGTGCACCACCACACCCAGCTAATTTTTGTGGAGACGAGGTTTCACCATGTTGGCCAGGCTGGTCTTGAACTCCTGACCTCAAATGAACTGCCTGTCTCAGCCTCCCAAAGTGCTGGGATTACAGGTGTGAGCCACCGCACTCAGCCATAAATCTGCTATTTATTGAACTCAGAAATTTCTTAGGAGGCCTTAGGGTTGATGCTCACGGGAAACAATTTTCCTCTGCAGGGAAATCTTAAAGAACACCACTTTAAAAATTACTGGATTGGCCAGGCGCAGTGGTTCATGCCTGTAATCCCAGCACTTTGGGAGGCTGAGGCGGGCGGATCATGAGGTCAGGAGTCTGAGACCAGCCTGGCCAACATAGTGAAACCCGGTCTCTACTAAAAATGCAAAAAATTAGCTGGGTGTGGTAGCAGGCGCCTGTAATCCCAGCTACTTGGAAGGCTGAGGCAGTAGAATCACTTGAATCCAAGAGGCAGAGGTTGCAGTGAGCCAAAATCATGCCACTGTAGTCCAGCCTGAGCGACAGGGAGAGGCTCCGTCTCAAAAAAAAAAAAATAGAATTACTGGATTAAGTTCTGCAGATGCTTTTGAATAATGTTTTTTGGTTTTTTTGGTTTTTTTTTTTTTTTGAGATAGAGTTTCGCTCTTGTCACCCAGGCTGGAGTGCAATCGCACGATCTCGGCTCACTGCAACCTCTTGTGTTCAAGCGATTGTCCTGCCTTAGCCTCCTGAGCAGCTGGGATTATAGACACGTGCCACCACGCCTGGCTAATTTTTGTATTTTTAGTAGAGGTGGGGTTTCACCATGTTGGCCAGGCTGGTCTCAAACTCCTGACCTCAGGTGATCCGCCTGCCTCAGCCTCCCAAAGTGCTGGGATTACAGACGTGAGCCACCGTGCCCGGCTTGAATAATGTTAATAAGGGATTTGGATAATGCTGCTAGAAGAACTCTAGGAATGTAATACAACTTTAAAAAACAAAACAAACACAAACTTCTATAATTTGCATTCTCCCACATCTCTTCATTTGTAAAATGTATTACACTGAATCAAAACACATGAGATACATAAATCAGATTTAATTTTCAATTAGAATAAAATTCCTGATCTATTCTCTGGGTAAAACTTATTAATCCCTAAAAGTTCTCTTTAAAATGAACTGTTTGTTATAGCACATTCCCTAAAAACAAAAGTACTGCATTTGACTTCAGGAGAGCTAAGTGTGAGTGTCAATTCTTCCATTTATTAGTTGGTGACCGCAGGGGACATAAGACCTACCCAGGATGTGCTCCCACTTTGTTCCTTCTCTGGAGCACCCCAATCTTGCTCAAGTATCTCCCCATCCCATACCTAGGAGAAGCTGATCTCACCTCCAGCACCATAGGTAATCCGCCCTCCCTCCAGTGATTTGGGCAGAAATGGGTGTTAGTTATTATAAGTTGAGATTCTAATTAATAATACTAACGTTGAAAAAATTACTCATCTCTTCCACATCCCCACATTCTAATCTATTAAAACAGGGATGATGCTCTTGGCTCTATTTAACATAATCACCGTAAAGTGCTTTTTTATTTTGCAAAATGGAATATATTCAGAAGATGGTATTGTGTCAAAAAGAAATAGAAGTAAGTGGACTAGCTTGGGACATTTCCTATAAACTGTTATTGTTGTATTTGCAAATTATGGAAGCTATTTTCTTTTAAAAACTGTTTCAAATGTGTATATTCAAATGAGTGTCAGTTACTTTGAATTAGTCACGTTGTGAATTTCTGCATGTATTCATTCAGTCATCCTCCTATGCACCAGGCACTATAGTTGCTACGGGTACAGTAATTCGCAAGATGGTCGTAAGAGGTAGCAGGGACTCCTCTTAGGGGCCTGCCATGCACTTTCTCCAAAGCATGGAAATAAAGGAAAAGTTTTAGTTATTGCAGGGGAAATTCCAGGCACCTAGTTAGCCCTGAGAAGTAAACCAGCAACTTGATTAGCAAGAAGGTAATAGTAGCTTAAAACAATAGCCAAGAAAGTTCGAATTCTGGGATGTTTTGTTCTCTATAGAAACTAAAGATAACTCTTCTCCTCCCTGGCTGTCTGAGGGTAGGCCACCATCATGAACTATCCTAACACATAGGATAGGACACAGTAACTATCCTAACTAGAAAGTTCATGACTACTTCAGAGGAAACAGATGCTCATTGATGTCCTTCATCCCGGGAAGGCAACAGTGCCTAAGACAGAAATTCAGAAAAAACTAGCCAAAATGTATAAGACCACACTGGATGTCATCTTTGTATTTGCATTCAGAACTCATGCTGGTGGTGGCTTTGGCATGATTTATGATTCCTTGGATTATGTAAAGTAAAATGAACCCAAACATACCAAACATAGACTTGCAAGACATGGCCTGTATGAGAAGAAAAAGACCTCAAGAAAGCAACAAAAGGAATGCAAGAACAGAATGGAGAAAGTCAGGGGTACTGCAAAGGCCAGTGTTGGTGCTGGCAAAAAGCCGAAGGAGTAAAGATATTGCAAGGATGTTATCTGCGGCCATTGAGGATTTTTCACAATAAGATTAATAAGGCCGGGCGCAGTGGCTTACGCCTGTAATCCCAGCACTTTGGGAGGCCAAGGCAGGTGGATCACAAGGTCAGGAGTTCAAGATCAGCCTGGCCAACATGGTGAAACCCCACCTCTACTAAAAATATAAAAATTAGCTGGGCATGGTGACACTTGCCTGTAATTCCAACTTCTCAGGAAGCTGAGGCAGGAGAATGGTGTGAACTCGGGACATGGAGGTTGCAGTGAGCTGAGATCGCACCATTGTACTCCAGCCTGGGCACAGAGAAAGACTCTGTCTCGAAAAAATAAATAAATAAATAAAAAGAGGCTGGGCGTGGTGGCTCATGCCTGTAATCTCAATGTTACAGGAAAGGGGTTCCCATCCAGACCCCAAGAGAGTGTTCTTAGATCTTGCCCAAGAAAGAATTCAGGGCAAGTCTACAGTGCAAAGCAAAAGCAAGTTTATTAGGAAAGTAAAGGAATAAAAGAACGGCTACTCCATAGACAGAGGAGCTCCAACGGCTGCTGGTTGCCCATTTTAATGGTTATTTCTTGATAATATTCTAAACAAGGGGTGGATTATTCATGCCTCCCCATTTTAGACCATATAGGGTAACTTCCTGACGTTGCCATGGCATTTGTAAACTGTCATGGCACTGGTGGGAGTGTAGCAGTGAGGACGGCCAGAGGTTACTCTCGTGGCCATCTTGGTTTTGGTGGGTTTTAGCCGACTTCTTTACTGCAACCTGTTTTATCAGCAAGGTCTTTATGACCTGTGTATCTTGTGCTGACCTTGTATCTCATCCTGTGACTTAGAGAATGCCTTAACCGTCTGGGAATACAGCCCAGTAGGTCTCAGCCTAATTTCTCCCAGCTCCTTTTCAAGATGGAGTTGCTCTGGTTTCACACCCCTCTGACACCAGCATGTTGGGAGGTCACGGTGGGTGGATCACCTGAGGTCAGGAGTTTGAGACCAGCCTGGTCAACACGGTGAAACCCCGTCTCTACTAAAAATACAAAATTTAGCCGAGCGTGCTGGTGTGCACCTGTAATCCCAACTACATGGGAGGCTGAGGCAGGAGAATTGTCTGAACCTGGGAGGTGGAGATTGCAGTGAGCCAACATTGCAACACTGCACTCCAGCCTGGGCGAAAGAGTGAGACTCTGCTGAAAGAGAGAAGAAAGAGAGAGAGAGAGAAAGAGAAAGAAAGAAAGAAGGAAAGAAAGAAAGGAAAAGAAAGAAAGAAAAAGAAAGAGAAAGAAAGAAAGAAAGAAAGAAAGAAAGAAAGAAAGAAAGAAAGAAAGAGAAAGAGAAAGAAAGAAGGAAGCAAGGAAGAAGGGAGGGAGGGAGGGAGCGAGAGAAACTAAAGATAACCTCCTAACAGATCCCTGAGTTGTTTTTCAGAAACATGGATGCCCAGCAAATGAATCCACTGGCACCTAGACCTCAGGTTAGGGGGAACTGAGGACTCAACTCTGACTGCCATTTTTTTTTTCTGAAGTTCTTTCTGGGGGGCCTGGAGGAAGTCACGCCCATGAGCCAGAGATAACATTCTTTTCTCCTGACCCCAAATTTTTAGACAAACCTTTTCCATCTTAACCAATTGCAAATCAGAAAATCTTTGAATCTCTGACCTGTAACCTGCCCCATGCCCCACCACCCACTTTGAGATGTCCCGCCTTTTTAGGTCAAACCAGCATATAGCCTCCATGTATTGATTTATGACTTTGCCTGTAACCTCTGCCTCTGCCTTTAAAAACTCTTGCCAAGGTGGATGTATCACCTGAGGTCAGGAGTTCGAGACGAGCCTGGCCAACATGGCAAAACCCCGTGTCTACTAAAAATACAAAATTTAGCCGGGCTTGGTGGCGGGAGCCTGTAATCCCAGCTACTCGGGAGGCTGAGGAAGGAGAATTGCTTGAACCTGGGAGACGGAGATTGCAGTGAGCCAAGATCATGCCACTGCACTCCAGCCTGGGCAGCAGACCAAGACTCCATCTCAAAAACTAAATAAATATAAAAACCCTTACTTGCAAGCCATTGGGGAGGTCAGGTCTTAAGTATGAGGTGCCTGATTCTTCTTGCTTGGTGCCCTGCAAAGATAAATACCGTTCTTCCTCCTATTGCAAACTGCAGAGTGAATGTTTGGCTTTACCGAGCCAGGTGTGCAGACCCCAGTTCAGTCCTGTACCAGGCACAGGTCCCTGCCCTCATGGAGCTGCAACTGCCAATGATCTGTTGCAGTGCCCAAAACAGACTTACCCAGAGGCAGGTTCTGGGCAATGCAAAAACACCAATCTCATTCTTTTATTGCTAGGTTTTTTTTTTCCTAAGCCAATACTATTAGTTTGGTTACATATCTTATTCACTAGGCTTGTTATCAAATTACTTATGTTACTTTTTAAAAATTAACCTGTTCTCAGCCAGATGTGGTGGCTAACACCTGTAAATCCAGCACTTTGGGAAGCCAAGGCAGGATGATCATTTTAGCTCAGGAATTCAAGACCAGTCTGGGCAACATGGCAAAACTCCATCACTACTAAAAATACAAAAATTAGCCGGGTGTGGTGGCACATGCCTGTAATTCCAGCTATTCAGGAGGCTGAGGCAGGAGAATCGCTTGAATCTAGGAGGTGGAGGATGCAGTGAGCCGAGACTGCACTACTGCACTCAAGCCTGGGCGACAGAGCAAGATCCGTGATCCGTCTCAAAAAAAAAGAAAGAAAGAAATTGCAATCTGGAAGGATGGTTAGAACCATTCTTTTGAGGGCGCCATCGCTACTTAAAAACATGCATGTTGAAGTTCTGTTTAAAAACTCACATTATTTTTTAGTCCCAGGTTAAGAGTGTGGCATTACTTTACAATGAACCGCCTTCAGATGTGGCAGTGATTGCCCTTGCCCCCTATTATTCTGTCGTTGTCATTGTGAGATATTCATTTTAAACACCTAGAGAAGGGAAAATTAATCATGTTTTAAAATCAGATAAAGCATTAATGGTCATGAAATTTTAATACTGATTCTCAGTTTTTAGTTTTCACACAGATGAAACTTTCTTATTTAGAGATAAACCTAGGGAAAGATTTAATGAGTAATTGATATTAAAAAGTTGAAATCACATGTAAGCTCTAATTTTTTCACATGAAAGCAATTTTGCTTTCCACGTCTTTTTTTTTTTTTTTTTTTTTTTTTTTTTTGAGACAGAGTCTGGCTCTGTCGCCCAGGCTGGAGTGCAGTGGCGCCATCTCGGCTCACTGCAAGCTCCGCCTCCGGGGTTCACACCATTCTCCTGCCTCAGCCTCCCGAGTAGCTGGGACTACAGGCACCTGCCACCATGCCCAGCTAATTTTTTCTATTTTTAGTAGAGACGGGGTTTCACCGTGTTAGTCATGATGGTCTTGATCTCCTGACCTCATGATCCACCTGCCTCAGCCTCCCAAAGTGCTGGGATTACAGGCGTGAGCCACCACACCCAGCTCAACATCTTTTTATTTGAAAGAATTGAGCTCACATTTGTCAGATAAATTGCTGCCTAAATTATCTAAGATGATTTTCACATTCTTGTGTGGAAATCAAATTTTGCAAGGTTGTAGAATTAACTTAGAAGAGACAAAGGTGTGTTCTTTCTTTCAGGAGGGCTTGCTAATTGAAGTTGAAGCATCAGATGTCCTGAAAGCACTCAAACTCATCAGGTAACAAAAGCCCAGACAACGGAAATGAAGCAAAGCAAGTTAGTTCTTGAAATGAAACTCTGGAAATCCCAACTTGAGCAAATAAAGAGGCAGAAAAAAAAAAACCTAGAAAAAGAATAAATCACAAAATAAAAGGCACTTAGGAAGGGAATTTTTTGTTTAAGTATTTATTTAGTTTTTTCCATTATAAGCATTGCGTAGATTGTGCTATGCTTTTGAAATTGTAAAAATATGTCTGTTTGTTGTATGTCTCTTCTCTCACTACTTGAAAATGTAAAAAAGAACATTTTCTTGCCTGTATCTTACATGTGCAGGATTACAAGCTCAGATGCTTGCTGGGCCAATCCCAAAATAGGCTCTGCAAAGTGGGGGACTTTGCAGAGCCTATTTTGGGACCCTGAAAGGGTTAGCTGCCTCTGGACTCCAGATTTTTTTTTTTTTTTTTTTTTGTTGAGACAAGGTCTTGCCCTGTCACCCAGGCTGGAGTGCAGTGGCGTGAATCATGGCTCACTGCAACCTCCACCTCCAGGGCTCAAGCATTCCTCCCACCTCAGCCTCCTGAGTAGCTGGGACTACAGGCACACAGCACCACACCTGGCTAATTTTTGTATTTTTGGTAGAGACATGGTCTCACTATGTTGTCCAGGCTGGTCTCAAACTCCAGGCCTCAAATAAACCTCCTGCCTTGGCCTCCCAAAGTTTTGGGATTCCAGATGTGAGCCACTGTGTCCAGCCAGACTCCATTTTTTGCCACACAAAGTGTGGGCCCAGTGCTGCTAGACATTTGGGTATTCCAGAGAACAGTGTCCTGGTCTGGGGTCCCCCAAAAGCTGACCCTGAGACCAGGATTGGGTACAAGGATTTATTTGGGAGGTGATGGCAGGGAGCTCAGTGATGGCGTGAGGCAGTGACATGGCCACCTGCTGTCTGCCAATCTCTGAGGGGGCAGAGATAGGAAATTGCCTTATCTTTTCAAAAGAAGTATTTTGAGGTTTCAGTTATTAACAGGAAATATAGTTAAAGTTTCATAGTAACTGCTTACAGACAGTGGGAAAGATTATTATTATTATTTTTTTTTTTTTTTTGAGATGGAGTCTTGCTCTGTCGCCCAGTCTGGAGTGCAGTGGCACGATCTCAGCTCACTGCAACCTCTGCCTCCTGGGTTCAAGCAATTCCGCTGCATCTGCCTCCCAAGTAGCTGGGGCTACAGGCGCCTGCCACCATGCCTAGCTAATTCTTTGTATTTTTAGTAGAAACTGGGTTTCACCATGTTGGCCAGGATAGTCTCGATCTCCTGGCCTTGTGATCCACCCTCCTTGGCCTCCCAAAGTGCTGGGATTACAGGCATGAGCCACCGTGCCTGGCCGGAAAAATTCTTTAATTTTGAGCTGAATCCAGAGTTTTCAGTTGGCTCTTTTTCTTTTAGGCATAGAATACAGTATTCAGGAAATTATAGCATTACTACATTCTGGAATGCCTGACAAGAATAAGTTTAGGAAGGCTTGGAGGAGAAAAGGTAAATTGCTACTCTTTGGGGAAGGGGAGGAATCAAAGCATTCTGGGTAACATAAAATGAGGCACAAATAGCGAGGCAAGATTTGGGAGGGAGTGGGGAGTGGAGAAGACCAGAAAGACCCAATCACTAGTTAATTGTAAACAAACACTGTAATGTTGACTTTTTTTTTTGAGACAGAATCTCGCTCTGTCACCAGGCTGGAGTGCAGTGGTGTGATCTCGGCTCACTGCAACCTCCCCCTCCCAGGTTCAAGCGACTGTCCTGCCTCAGCCTCCAGAGTAGCTGGGATTGCAGGCACCTGCCACCACACACAACTAATTTTTGTATTTTTAGTAGAGACGAGGTTTTGCCATGTTGGCCAGGCTGGTCTCAAATTCCTGACCTCAGGTGATCCACCCACCTCAGCCTCCCAAAGTGCTGGGATTACAGGCATGAGCCACCGCGCCCCGCCTAGTGCTTTTCTTGGAACACTCTCTCCTTGGCCCCCGGACACCACTGCTGGTGTCCTTACCTGCTGCTTCTTCTCAGCCTCCTTTGCTGGCCCCTCTTGCTCTCCCTGGCCCGTCAACACTGCAGTGGCCTGGGGCTCAGCCTTCTGACCTCTTCTTTCTACACACATTCCTTATATGCTCTTGTCCAAACTAGGACTCTCTTTGTTTACATATATTTCAATGACTCCCAAATTGAGTATCTCCAGTCCAGACCTCCCTTCTGAATTCCAGACTCATAAATCCAACTGCCAGTTCAAAGTCTCCACTTGGGTTCCTCCAGGAAGCATCTCCGTTAGCATGTCTATGGAAGAGCTTTGATTCCTACCCACCCCAGCTTAGTTTGGATTCCCCCAAAGGCAGACTCTGAGACAAGGAGATCCGTAGGGAATTTGGGGGTTGGGGGAGATGGGTAGGTTGTTTGCAAAGATGGCCTTAGCATTCTTTCCTTCTTGTATGACATTTCCTTTGCAATGTGACTTTGACTTCCCTGCCACCAAGAAGTGGAATTTGTCTCTTCACCCTTTGAATCTGGCCTAGCACCTGAGCCCTGCTTTAATGAAAAGAATGCAGTAGGAGCAGCACTGTGGACCTCATGAAGCTTCGCAGCTTCCACTTTTGTCCCTTTGGAACACTGCCCAAGACTGCCATGTGAAGAATCCCAGTCTAGCCTGGTGGAGGAGGAAAGGGTATTGGGACTACATGAGCCAACCCATCTGAGGCCTTTTAAATCAGCCAGCTGACAGCTAGTGTCTACCATCTACCATTGGAGGGCATCTTAAACCTTCCAGCCCCAGTCAAGCCACCATATTATTGTAGCCACTGAGTAAGCCCAGGCAAGACCAGCAGAAAATTTGTCACCCAGTTGAGTCCAGCCCAAATTGTTGACCCACAGAATCATGAGCAAAAATAATGGCCATTGTAAACCACTATGTTTTGGGGGTGGCTTATTATGCAGCTGAAACTAAATTATACAGGAGGTTATCCCAGGAAGCACAAGTGAGGAAATAATAGAAGTAAGACAGAGAAAGGAGGAGAGTTAATAAGGGGTGCTCTAAGGAGCAGGTTATTACTGTGGGCAGTTAAAGCTAAATCCTGCTGGATACCCTCTGAAGAGTCCTGTAGAAGCCATCTCAGAACAGTCTCTCCACGGAAAGAGAAACCAGGTTACTCACCCAATAATTCCTTACCCTACACCTCACTGGCCAATGGTTCCCTGGGGGATTTAGGTCCCCAGCACTTCCTTTTTTTTTTTTTTTTTTTTTTGAGATGGAGTCTCACTCTTGTTATCCAGGCTGGAGTGCAATGGTGTGATCTCAGCTCACAGCAACCTCTGCCTTCTGGGTTCAAGCAATTCTCCTGCCTCAGCCTCCTGAGTAGCTGGGATTACAGGCATGCATCACCACACCCGGCTAATTTTTTGTATTTTTAGTAAAGAGGGGGTTTCTCCATGTTGGTCAGGCTTGTCTCGAACTCCCGACCTCAGGTGATCCACCTGCCTCAGCCTCCCAAAGTGCTGGGATTACAGGCATGAGCCACCACACCTGCCCTGGTCCCCAGCACTTCTGATCTGCTGTGCAGCCAAGCTGAACAAGGTCCCTGGCAATGGAGAGATCTTGCAGGCAGGGAAGTAGAGGAATGAGGGTGAACTTGAGGTGGAAGCCATCAGTATTTATGGGAACTATCCACCCTGGCTGCAAGTAAACTCAGAGGTAGGCCAGGAGGATGCAGGACAGGACATCACAGCATCTGCTAACTTCCCAAACCCATTTCTTCCCCAATTCAGTAAGTGGCAATACCATCCTCCAATTGCTCCCCACAGAAACTTCATCCTTGGATGCATTAATTTCTTCTACACTCCACATTCAAATCCTTTTAGTGTTACCTTTGAAACATATCCTGAATCCAATATTTCTACCTCCTCCACTACAACTCTGGTCCAAGCCACCAGCAACTCTCACTTGGATTATTGGATTATTGCAACCATCTATTTATTATTTTTTTATGAGACAGAGTCTTACCCTGTCACCCAGACAGGAGTGCAATGATGAGATCATGGTTCACTGTAGCCTCAACTTCCTAGGCTCAAGCAATCCTCCCACCTCAGCTTCCCAAGTAGCTGGGACTACAGGTATGCGCCGCCGCACCTGGCTAATTTTTTTATTTTATTTATTTATTTATTTAGATGGAGTCTCACTCTGTTGCCCAGGCTGGAGCACAGTGGTGCAATCTCAGCTCACTGCAACCTCTGTCTCCCACATTCAAGTGATTCTCCTGTCTCAGCCTCCCAGGTAGCTGCGATTACAGGCGTGATCCACCACGCCCTGCTAATTTTCGTATTTTTAGTAGAGACTAGTTTCTCCATTTTGGCCAGGTTGGTCTCGAACTCCTGACCTCAAGTGATCTGCCTACCTCGGCCTCCCAAAGTGCTGGGATTACAGGCATGAACCACTGCGCCTGGCCTAAATTTATTTTTTGTAGAAATGTGGTCTCACTATGTTGCCCAGGCTAGTCTTGAACTCTTGGGCTCAAGCAATCCTCCTGCCTCAACCTCCCAAAGTGCTGGGATTACAGGCGTGAGCCACTGTGCCTGGCCCAGAGTGACCATTTAAAACCCAAGTCCCTGCTCAGTTTTCAACCCTCCCAAAGCTCCCTATCTCACCCAGAATAAAATGCAAAATCTTTACTGTGTCCTAGAAGGCCCCATAGAATCTGCTATTTTTCTGACTTCACATTTTGCAACTCTCTCCACGTCTCACTGCTCTGGCCTCACTGGTTTCCCTGTAATTCAAAACCCCAGGCCCAGGGTACGTTCTGTTCCTCTATCTAAGATGCCTCCCCCAGTCATCCACAGAATACAGCCCTAACTTCCTTCTGGCCTTGACTCAAATGTCCGCTTATTAGAGAGGCCTTCTTGACTCTAACTAGGCAAACTCTCCCCCAGTCACTCTTCACCCCTTTACCTTGCTTTATTTTTCTTTATTAAACAACTGACATTACTTTTATACTGCTTATCTCCAATCCTCCCCCAACTGGAATGTAAGTTTTATGAGAATAGGGGCTCTCTTTTTTGTTTGCTGATGTATTCTCAGTACCTAGATTTTTTGTTAATTTAATGAATTAGTATGTATTGTGGGACAGTCTGATGATTTTATATGGATTATTTATAAGTTAGTGCTCTGGTTAAAATGAAATAATTAAAAGCCTCCAATAAAACATTCCATACTTTAGTCCAGGCGTGGTGGCTCACGCCTGTAATCCCAGCACTTTGGGAGGCCAAGGCGGGTGGATCACCTGAGGTCAGGAGTTCGAGACCAGCCTGGCCAATATGGTGAAATCCCGTCTACACTAAAAATACAAAAATTAGCCGGGCATGGTGGTGGGTGCCTGCAATCTCAGCTACTTGGGAGGCTGAGTCAGGAGAATCACTTGAACCTGGGAGGCAGAGGTTGCAGTGAGCCAAGATTGTGCCATTACACTCTACCCTGGGCAAAAAGAGCGAGGCTTTGTCTCAAAACAAAACAAAAACAAAAACAAAACAACAACAACAAACATTCCATACTTTAAAGAAGAATACTGGCCGGGCGCGGTGGCTCACACCTGTAATCCCAGCACTTTGGGAGGCTGAGGCAGGTGGATCACGAGGTCAGGAGATCAAGACCATGCTGGCTAATACGGTGAAACCCCATCTCTACTAAAAATACAAAAAATTAGCTGGGCGTGGTGGCAGGCGCCACCAGCTACTCAGGAGGCTGAGGCAGGAGAATGGCGTGAACCCAGGAGGCAGAGCTTGCAGTGAGCCGAGATCATGCCACTGCACTCCAGCCTGGGCAACAGAGCAAGACTCCGTCTCAAAAGAAAAAAAAAATGAATGCTTAAGTGTAAATTTGGTAGTGAATAGTCTTGTGTTATGTTCTTATGAAGATTAAAGTAACAATACCAGAAAAAAGTTATTCTAGGCCATGGCTCACGCCTGTAATCCCAGCATTTTGGGAGGCTGAAGATCACTTGAGCCCAGGAGTTCAAGACCAGCCTGGGCAACATAGAGAGACCTTATCTCTACTAGTAATTTTAAAAATTAGCCAGCTGTGGCTGGGCTGAGGTGGGCAGATCACAAGGTCAGGAGTTCAAGACCAGCCTGGCCAATATGGTGACACCTCGTCTCTACTAAAAAAAAAAAATACACTAATTAGCCAGGCATGGTGATGCACGTCTGTAGTACCAGCTACTTGGGATGCTGAGGCAGAATAATTGCTTGAATCCAGGAGGCAGAGGTTGCAGTGAGCTGAGATCATGACACTGCAATCCAGCCTGGGTGACACAGCAAGACTCCACCTCAAAAAAAAAAAAAAAAAAAAAAAGAGCCAGATGTGGTGGCATGCACCTGTGGTCTCAGCTATTTGGGAGGCTGAGGTGGAAGGATCACTTGAGACCAGGAGGGTGAGGCTGCAGTCAGCTGCAATTGTGCCACTGCATTCCAACCTGCGTGACAGAGCAAGACCCTGTCTCAAAAAAAAAAAAAAAAAGAAAAAAGAAAAGAAAAAAGTCGCTCTGATAGCTATATTGTTGAGCTGTTTGCTGAAACAGTGTGCTTGATTATTATGGATTTATGTATTGGTCGTTCACTCAAAAACATGGATTAAGCCCATCCTATATACTAGGCTCTGGGCCAGGCCTGGGGATAGAAAGTTGAAAGATAAAATCTGGCCTTCAGGGATACAACATCACAACAATTATGACCGAACCCTGAGGAGTTCTGAGCTAGCAGTGTGTATGAGGTGCCAGGCAGTCAGGGCTGCCACTCTCAGAGTGAGGTTAGAGATGCCAGAAAGATGCATCCTGGAGGCAGCAATGGGAGGGAACATGCAGAAGCCCCTCAGACTCAGTCAGGGGGCAAAGGGGAGCTCCACTGAGACAAGGAGCATGAGGTTTGTGGGTGGCTGGAGTGTCACCTACCAGTGAGAAAATTATTGCCTCAGAAATGGATTGGAATTCTGTATGTAAATTCTGTTCATCCAGAACTTATCCCCATTTTCTCTGAGTTCCTAGGTTCCTGACAGTTTGCTCTTTGAACTTTTTTGCTTCTTATTAGTTTTGTTAGATCTTTTAACTGCTTTCTGCTCACTCCTGAACTACAGAATGCCTTGATCAAAGATATTGTCATATCACTGAAATGCTTGCTGTAACATGAGTTGAAATGCAGTAGTGGAAATACTGTTAATACAGTTATGCTCAGACAACTGTTAGCACAATTGTAATCTGTATCTCTGCTTCTCTTCCTTTCCTCTGCTCGAGAGGAGTTTCAGACAAGCTAGGGCAACGTGACAAAACTCCGTCTCTACAAAAAATACAAAAATTAGCCAGACTTGATGATGTGCAGCTGTAATCCCAGCTACTTGGGAGGTTGAGGTGAGAGGATCGCTTGAGCCTAGGAGGTTGAGGCTGCAGTGAGCCATGATTGCACCACTGCACTCCAGCCTGGGCAGCAGGGCAAGACAGGAAGAAATAAATGCATGTTTGTTCAATATGCATGATCAGGACCCCCTTCATGAATATTCACAGCTCCTCCTACAACCTGTTGAGTGCGTATACTTGGCCAACTTCTGTATAAATCCCTTGCCAACCTCTTCTCCTTCAAAGAGTTTGCTTTTAGTTTTTCAGCCAGAGGCTAAATCCCCTTCTTAAGAAATACAGTTATCCTTTCCAGGGCTGCCACTCTCAGAGTGAGGTTAGAGATGCCGGAATTTCTCGTGATTTTTCAGCTGACAGTCTCTATCACTCTGAAGAGTGAGTGATCAGCTCCGTTTATCCAAATCAGTCACTATCTGTGGGTGTGCAGCTATTCCTTGATGCCTAGGGGTCCACAAAGAAGGAGTTGTTCCCATCAGATGACTAGGAGCAACCTTGGGTCAATTCTTTTATATAGACCTTAAGTCCACACAGCTTCCATACAATCAAGATTTTTCCTCCTCTAGGGATACTCATGGGATTAACAAATTACAGTTATAAATTACTGTTCTCTAGTAAGTCACACCATTATCTGGGAGGATCTTTCTCAGAGATATTCCATATAATTACAAAGTTAGGTAGAAAACCTTTGTCCAAATGCCATGCCAGTATGCTGTATGATGGCGTGCTTGGAGAGCAGGAAAGAACCTGTTCGTTGAATCCGCCTCAAGGGAGGGGACAACTCGTGACTAATGTCCTGATGGCCAACTGTGTTGCCCCAGGAAAGTGCGTACAAAGGGTCAGAAGCCTCTCCAACCTGAGCAAAGTGTCTGCTGTTTACTAGAAAAATCCTCTGTGTCCACCCTGAAAGATGTGTCTTTTTTTTTTTTTTTTTTTTTTTTTTTTTTTTTGAGATGGAGTCTCGTTCTGTCACCCAGGCTGGAGTGCAGTGGCGCGGTCTCAGCTCACTGCAACCTTCGCCTCCCAGGTTAAAGCGATTCTCCTGCCTCAGCTTCCCAAATAACTGGGATTACAGGCATGTGCTACCATGCCCAGATAGTTTTTGTATTTTTAGTAGAGACTGGGTTTCACCAGGTTGGCCAGGCTGGTCTTGAATTCCTGACCTCAAGTGATCCCCGCACCTCAGCCTCCCAAAGTGCTGGGATTACAGGCGTGAGCCACCACACCTGGCCTCTCTCCCTATGTTTTGTCCCTCCTTGTCCACTGTCTACCTCCTTTTACCCAAAGCAAACCAATCCTCCCAACAAAAATAATTGAAAGCCTATCCCTTTTTTCTGTGTCTTGCAAATTTTTCATCCTTAGGCTTCTATGGAAAATCAATGTCTTTTCTTGAGCCCTAAACCAGTTACTGCTGGCTCTGCAGAGAGGCTTCCTAAGCTCAAGTCTTGCTTGCTTTCCCCACAATCCCCACTCCCTGAGAGGAGGTAAGCTTGGATCTTTGGGTGGCAGTGAGACCTCCATTGACGTTGGCTTTCTCCCATAGCATAAACTCAAACACACCTCCATACTGAGGATGCATTTGTTCTGAAACTCCACATCTGAGCTATGCATAGAAGTCTTACTCCTGTGAACACACTTTTTTCACTTTATTTATTACCTTACATTCACCCTCCCACTGCCTGGGTCACATTAGCTCTCTGACCTTGACTGACAACAAAAGCATCCCTTCAACCCTTGCCCAAATCTACAAGTATCATCTTGACACTGGGGGAAATGGTGGTTTGGGGAGTTAGGATTTATTCTCTCTCTACCCTGCCCTACTGTAAACTGAGGGTTTTTTGTTTGTTTGTTTGTTTAATTGAGACAGGGTCTTGCTCTGTCGCCCAGGCTGGAGTGTGGTGGTGCAATCTCTGCCCACTGCAGCCTTGACCTCCTGGACTCAAGCAATCCTCCGCCTCAGTCTCCTGAGTAGCTGGGACCACAGACACACACCACTAGATGTGGCTAATTTTTGTATTTTTTGTAGAGACGGCGGGGCGGGGGGGTCTTGCTATGTTGCCCAGGCTGGTCTCGAACTCCTGGACATGATCTTCCCACTTCGGCCTCCCAAAGTGCTAGGATTACAGGTGTGAGCCACGGCCCTGGCCTGTGTGTACTTTAACTTGGAGCAAATGACCCTTCATTCTCTGCCCTACTTGCCTCGGCAATCACATTCCTGCAGTCACTCTTCACTCTAGCCACACTGGCTGCATCGGCCAGAGAGGAAGCAGGGAAAGCAGCTGGGAGTCAGTTGCAGGGGCCCCAAGCAGGCATTTTCCAAGTGGAGTCACACACCCGGAGTGGGAGGGGAGAAATATGCTCCATTTGCTGCAGAAAGAAACTGCAATTCGAAACTGAAATAGGTAGAACATTTATACTAACTTTATCTAAAAAAGAAATAAAGCTTTACCAAGATTTAATATGTGGTTTGTCACTGGCTGCTCACATGATCCATTCTCGGTCAGATGGCAGACGGTCAAGTGCCACGCGGGGACAGGGCCCTTCGCTTTCTTCGCATGGAATTTGGCCATGCCCCTCAGGTTGTGTGTGCCCTGTGAGTCGCTTCACAGATCATATTAGCAGCTTTCCAAAACCAGTCCTCACAAAACAGACAAGCGGCTTTAAAAGAAAATCCTGCAGAGAAACCTCAGACTGAAGATAATACTATTAACACAGCACAAGGAAACAAGAAAATGCAAGAATGCTTCTCTGTACCTGGTACAAGCTCTTAATCAGCCATATTAGGAGGAAAAACAATGGTGATCTAACCAATTCTTACTTTGGACTAAGCCAACAAATTCAAAATTATCAAGAAGATTATTGAAATAAGGATTTACATTCACTGTAATGAAAAACAAACCTCACCATATGTGAATACTGGATCCTGAGCACAGAGCCTGGTGGAGTCTCTTTTTCGCATGACAGACATTCAAGCCCAGCATTGAGATACACTCAGCTTAGGACAAATCCTTCAAGTTGCTTCATCACAAAGTGTTAAACCAACATTTTCAAAAACAAAGAAACATAGGCCAGGTGCGGTGGCTCATGCCTGTAATCCCAACACTTTGGGAGGCCAAGGCAGGAGGATGGTTTGAGTTCAGGAGACCAAGACCAGCCTGGGCAACATAGTGAGACCCTGTCTCTACAAAAAAATTAAAAATTAGCAGGTGCGGTGGCTTGCAGGAGTGGTCCCAGCTACTCAGAAGGCTGAGGTGGGAGGATCGCTTGAACCTAGGAGGTTGAGACTGCAGTGATTCTACACTGCACTCCAGCCTGGGTGACAAAGCAAGACCCTGTCTGGAACAAACAACAAAACCAAAACCAAACCAAAACAAGAAGCATATATGTTTCCCAGACCTAGAAACAATGACACCTAGTAACAATGAGTATACCTAACATTCAGATCCTTTTTTTTTTTTTTTTGAGTTGGAGTCTCTGTTGCCCAGGCTGGAGTGCAGTGGTGCAATCTTGGCTCATTGCCTCTGCCTCCTGGGTTCAAGCAATTCTCCTGCCTCAGCCTCCTGAGTAGCTGGGATTACAGGTGCCCACCACCACGCCCGGCTAATTTTTGTATTTTCAGTAGAGATGGGATCTCACCTTGTTGGCCAGGCTGGTCTCAAACTCCTGGCCTCAAGTGATCCACCCGCCTCGGTCTCCCAAAGTGTTGGGATTACAGGTGTGAGCCACCGTCCCTGGCTGGATCCTAATTTCTGAAGACCATTTTCCATTAAAAGGCTTCAGGGTCTGTCAAATAAATGGCCAATGCCAGGGCTGGGTCAGAGAAAGTACAAGATGATCCTTGGATTTCTTCTTGTTCCAGAAAGTAAGAAAGTGCACAAAGACTGAGGGAAAGATGTAAATAAAACACACAAACCAGCTTGTAGGGGCTCCCACTGGCCAAATTTAGGACAATTTGAGCATAATTTAAAAATTTTAATGATGGTAACACATTATAACACATTGAATAAATGAAGAATTTGTGCATCATGATGATACCTCACATAAAAGAGACTGGGAAGCTCTTCTTTACAGAGACTATCAGCTAATATAGAACACATAATAGAATTAGAAAATGACCATTTTGCAACCCCCAGCATAATAACTTATTCAGGTGAAGACCATCAAGGAATACTAAAACTGTTAGGTAAAATGTGTTGGGGAACAGGATGTTCACACCGTGTCAAGTATCCCCCTGACACTACCCGGTTACTTAAGCATCAAGGGATACAGTGCCTTTACAATGGAGAGAACTGATGGATAGCCCTTTAACCAAGTGATCAAATTTAGTGTCAATAATAATGCAACAAAGTGACATTCTGTGCCTCCCCACTTAATGTCATACAAAGTACACAAATTAGTTAGGTAGTATTCATGCCCACAATGTTTAACCAGAATCCAATTAAGCAAACAATTAGAGAAATCTAAATTACATGCCAGGCTACAGATGACTGGCCTGGACTCTTACAAAGTAACAATGAAATGAAAGACAAAAAAGGCAGAGAGCTGTCTAGACAAAAAGAGACTAAAGAGCTATCAAAACTAAATGCACCCACCAATTTGGGGAGCTGATCAAATGGGTGGATCACTTGATTCCTGGAGTTCAAGACCAGCCTGGGCAACATGGCAAAACCTGTCTCTGCAAAAAGTACAAAAATTAGCCGGGCATGGTGGTGGCGCATGCCTGTAGTCCCAGCTACTCAGGAGGCTGAGGAAGGAGGATCACTGAGCCCAGGAGGCAGAGGTTACAGTGAGCCATGATCCCGCTGCTACACTCCAGCCTGGGTGACAGAGTGAGACTCTGTCTCAAAACAAAAAAGCCAATACAACAAAATCTCATTCAAGTCTGGTAGAAAGAAAAGTCCTGAAAATGTGGTGATGAGCAAGGAATAACAAAAAACAATTAATTGTACATTAATGTCATTGACATTATCTTCAGTGGACTGTTCTATATTAGTGAACATTTTTTTTAACTGCACTGACTTTGTCAGGCTTCCTCCTGTCCTATTTTGATTCTTGTTTTTGTTTCCCATGAAGTGTTGCAGTTCCTCAACCACACACTCTTGGCATGGTTTTTAGGAACATAACTTTTAGGGTTAGCAAAAGGATGCTGTGGGTTTTTTCATCCATCTGAGCATTATTATAGTGCAACAAGATAACTTATTTTCATAATGAAGTATACCATCTTCTTTTTATTAGCATTCAAGATGAATGAATATTGTTATTTGCTTGAGAAAGGCTCATTTATGATTTTTTTCTATTATACAATGTTAATGTCTTATTTTGCATTTTTTCCTCATAGAGGATATTTTTTGTCTTGGAAAAAGCATTCTTCTAAGAGAAGTAAATGATGGACCTCACTGTACATCACAGACACATGTAGCTGGTGGAAATTCAGAAATGCTACTTTATACAGTATATTTAATGATGTGTTGGGTATACCTCTTAAATTAGGAATTGTGTTCTGCTGCATTTAATAGACACCCACCTTCTGTCCGTGGCCGCCACCAGGAAGCATCATTAAAATCTCTCTTCCCACTGCTGTCATGTCTAAGTCAGTCTCCTAAACAGCCAAGCAGCTGTGGCAGCTCTTCACTGGAGGATCGAGCTTTGAAACGACTGATGAGAGGCTGAGGAGCCATTCTGAGCAATGGGGAATGCTCACAGGCTGTGTGGTCATGAGAGATCCCAACACCAAGTGCTCCAGGGGCTTTGGGTTTGTCACCTATGCCACTGTGGAGGAGGTGGATGCAGCCATGAATGCAAGGCCACACAAGGTGGATGGGAGAGCTGTGGAACCAAAGAGGGCTGTCTCAAGAGAAGGTTCTCAAAGACCAGGTGCCCACCTAACTGTGAAAAAGGTATTTGTTGCTGGCATTAAAGAAGACACTGAAGAACATCACCTAAGAGACAGTAGGATAAATGTGAACACTGCTAGGTAACTGGTATTAAGGGGTTATTCTTTTTTGTATTATTCTTTTTGTATGTGTGATGATGGTATTAGAGCTGTGTAACAAGGGAAAGTTTTTATCATTTAAAGATCTATACTGAAATATTTATACATGAAATATGTCTGTGATTTGCTTCGAAACAACTAGGGGCTAGAGAGTGGGAATATAGAAGAAATAAACTTAATTGTGAGTTGATAATTCTTGACATTAGGTGATGGGCACATCTAGAAAATATAACTACAAAATACCTTCCTACAAAGCTAAAGCCTCATTTATATTTTTCTTTAACATATGTAAGTGTTGAAAAGGAAGAAACAAAAAGAATGAAGTCTCTCTTCCATCACCTACTCCCAGGCTCTTAGAGGCAGACTCTATTAACATTTATATTTTCTGGTATATCTTTTCAGAGTTAGATATAAGCATACATTTTATGCCTTGACTTTTTTTTTCTTTTTTTTTTTTTCTTAGACAAAGTCTTGCTCTGTTGCCCAGGCTGCAGTGCAGTGGCACAATCTCAGCTCACTGCAACCTCGGCCTCCCGGGTTCAAGCGATTCTCCTGCCTCAGCCTACAGAGTAGCTGGGACTACAGGCGCCTGCCACCATGCCTGGCTGATTTTTGTACTTTTAGTAGAGATGGGGTTTCACCATATTGGCCAGGCTGGTCTCAAACTCCTGACCTTGTGATCTGCCTGCCTCGGCCTCCCAAAGTGCTGGGATTACAGGCGTGAGCCACTGCGCCCAGCTATGCCTTGACTTTTAATAGTTATATACCAATTTTTTTCCTTCTCAATTTTTTATCTCCTTCTCTTATTGACATTTATAATTTGCCAAAGACCACAGTCTTAGTTGTTACAAAAATGAAAAAATAATTAGAGTAAGTAGATATCTAAATATTAGTATATCTGATTTCTTAACTAGAAAATTTTACAAGCCATAGTTTTATTTTTCATTTATTCAGTCTATATTAGTTGTAAAATAGAATCTGAATATCTTTTTTTCTTTTTGTTTTGAGACAGGATCTCACGCTGTTGCCCAGGCTGGTCTTGAACTCCTGGACTCAAGTGATTTTCCCACCTCAGCCTTCCAAAGTGCTGAGATTACAGGTGTAGGCCACTGCATCTGTCAGAAATCTGGTCAGAATATTGGATTTTATTTTATTTTATTTATTATTATTATTTTTTTAGACAGAGTCTTGCTCTGTTGCCCGGGCTGGAGTGCAGTGGCATGATCTCAGCTCACTGAAATCTCTGCCTCTCAGGTTCAAGCGATTCTCCTGCCTCAGCCTCCTGGGTAGCTGGGATTACAGATGCCCACCACCATACCCGGCTAATTTTTGTATTTTTGTAGAGACAGGGTTTTACCATGTTGGTCAGGCTGGTCTCAAACTCCTGACCTCAAGTAATCTGCCTGCCTCAGCCTCCCAAAGTGCTGGGATTACAAGTGTGAGCCACTGTGCCTGGCAGAATGTTGGAATCTGTGACCCTGATTATTACTTCCTCCCTTAAAAACAAACAAAGTTGCTATACTATAAAGGTTATTCCTGGCCAGGCACAGTGGCTCACACCTGTAATCCTAACACTTTGAGAAGCCAAGGCAGGAGGATCACTTGAGTCCAGGAGTTTGAGACCAGCCTGGGCAACATAGCGAGACGCTGTCTCTAAATTAAATTTAAATTTAAATTAAAAATTTTAAAAAGTTATTCCTATAACTTTTCTAACAATACAGGTAAGTTAGTAAACCACAGCCACATCAGGACTACATATAAGTGACAAGAAATGAGACTACCTAAAGAATTTAGGACAAAGTAATTACTTTGACACCATAATATTATAGTCTAAATATTGTCAAATTGACAAAAACTTCATTTCACAATAACTTGCTCCCTTCTAAACAACCACTAAAACACACATATACACATATGTGATAGTTGAGAAGGGCATACATTTTTCTTTGAAGCAATGAGGTAATTTTTATAAAGTTATTTTTTATTTTTTTTGAAACGGGGTTTTCACTCTTATTGCCTAGGCTAGAGTGCAGTGGCACAATCTCGGCTCACTGCAACCTCCACCTCCCAGGTTCAAGCAATTCTCCTGCCTCAGCCTCCCAAATGGCTGGGATTATAGGCATATGCTACCACACTTGGCTAATTCTTTTTGTATTTTAAGTAGAGACGGGGTTTCACCATGTTGGCCAGGCTGGTCTCAAACTCCTGACCTCAGGTGATCCGCCTGCCTCAGCCTCCCAAAGTGCTGGGATTACAGGCATGAGCCGCTGCACCCGGCCTGAAGTTAATGATTTTGTATTGCCTAGGTCCAAATGTTGAAATCTTTGCTATTCTCAAGTGACTAGAATTAACTTGAGAAATACTGTCTAAGAGAAAAATACCAGATATCCTTAAAGGCATGCTTATTTGTTTTATTATGTAGACTAACTCAACAGAGTAAAAGAATAATTGCGGTGGCTCATGCCTGTAATCCCAGCACTTTGGGAGGCCGAGGCAGATGGATGACGAGGTCAGGAGTTCAAGACCAGCCTGGCCAAGATGGTGAAATCCCATCTCTACTAAAACTATAAAAATTAGCCAGGCGTGGTGGCAGGCACCTGTAATCCCAGCTACTCGGGAGGTGGAGGCAGGAGAATCACTTGAACCTGGGTGGCAGGGGTTGCAGTGAGCCAAGATCGCACCACTGCACTCCAGACTGGGCGACAGAGTGAGATTCCATCTCAAAAAAAAAAAAAATGCTAAATTTTCCATCATATATATATATATATATATATATTGAGTCAGGGTCTCACTTTGTTACCTAGGTTGGAGTGGTGTGATCAGGGCTCACTGCAGCCTCAACCACCTGGGCTGAACCAATCCTCCCACCTTAGCTTCCCGAGTATCTGGGACTACTTGGTGCATGACACCCCGCCTGGCTAACTTTTGTATTTTTTGTAGAGACAGGGTTTCACCATGTTGCCCAGGCTGATCTTGAACTCCTGACCTCAAGTGAGCCGCCTTCCTCTGCCTCCGAAAGTGCTGAGATTACAGGCATGAGCCACCACATCCAGACTTCCATCATATTTATAGATACATATATACGTGTGTGTTTGTGTATGTGTAAAATAACTTAATCCTCCAATAAGTCCCCAGGCCATTTTCTCTGCGGAAATAAGTATGAAGTAATAGGGTACCCAGTAATATTATGAAAGAAAAAAAGAGCATAACCTTTTTCTTGATGTTAGGTTACTCTTGTATAAAGGAAAATCCCATAAGTAAAAAGAATTCTGGAGCCAATTCAGATGATACAAATGTAAAAAATTTTCAGTTACCTAACACCTGAAAACATGTTTGATTTAACCAGTTGACTTCTAACCATCACTGTGTAATGTGACCTGCTAAAGTAATCTTTCAGCTGTCAATTTGATGTCTTTTTTTTCTTTTTTTTTTTTGAGATGGAGTCTCACTCTGTCACCCAGGCTAGAGTGCAGTGGTGCCATCTCGGCTCACTGCAAGCTCTGCCTCCCAGGTTCAGGCCATTCTCCTGCCTCAGCCTCCCGAGTAGCTGGGACTACAGGCACCCACCACCACGCCTGGCTAATTTTTTTTTTTTTTTTTTGTATTTTTAGTAGAGACGGGGTTTCACCGTGTTAGCCAGGATGGTCTCGATCTCCTGACCTCATAATCCACCCATCTCGGCCTCCCAAAGTGAACAGTGATATGCACAGAATGATTTGAAACTGTCAGTGTCTCTCTCCCTCTTTTTTTAACTTTGGTTCTGTGTTAACCAGATCATGTCTAACAAAGTGCTTCAAAAGTTATTTCTAACCAAATAATATTTAAATCACAGTGTATCTCATTTAAGTACAAGTATTTTAAGTTAACAGTTTCCTCAGGAATATTCTGTCTTCTGACACCATCATTTGAATATCACAGTTTGCAAAGACCTTTCCATATATGATTTCATCCAGTCCTTCCTACAGCCACTCAAGATAGGTAATATTCCCATTTTTTTTTTAAAGGTAAGAAAACAAGATTGGTCCTGAAGCCAAGTGTTTCATGACCAAAGCCCACACTCTCCTCATGAAATTGAGAAGGGACAGGCTGTGGAGTGAATCCTTGAAAGCAAGTAATGTTTTAAGTACTATTACAATTTGTAGATTGTGTTTCACAGGCTCCCAATGAGCTAGGAGGGAAATGTTTTTAATCCCATGTGTACTCATTCTGAAGTAGCTGTAAGTATATAAAAACCATATTCATCTACACACTCATTCAAACCTTTATTAAGTACCTACCATATGTACAATACTGTTCCAAATATTAAGGGAATACAAAGATGAATTTTTAAATGGTGCCAAATCCCAAGGAGTTTACAATATAATAATAGTAAAAAGTAATTTAACACGAACTGTAGGAAGAAAATTACAAGTAAACATTTGCCCCTGATGGAGAAAAATGACCTTATTTTTAAATTTAAAGCATAAATTGCCAGTTTGGAAACACTGCTATTACATACACCTGTATTAGTTCATCCTTTTAAAATGATGCTGATTGTTTTTAGAAAAGAAAATGTCTTATGCTATATTATCTTTATGATTGGCTTCAAATTTTAAAACAAAAATTTGCTTAAAGAAAAAAATATAGATTTATAAAATCAGATTAACACTGTACACAGAGAGATAAAGTGTGTTGGCAATAATATGTAAAAAGTTGAACACAACTGGGTCTAGCAGTGAAGAGTTAAATCTGAATTACTTTGGAGACTTGCCCTAGCCAAGTTATTATGCACAATTTCATCATATAAAAAAAGGGATACTTGCCCCTAATTTAGATTATAACTCACACATGCCATAATTACTTCCATCTGTAATAATACATAGGGTTAAAAAAACTAGTATAAAAACTTTCCTAATAATTTACAAATCAAAAATAATTTGGACTAGAACTAAGGATAAAAAGAAAAAGGGATGATGGTGTAGACAATTTAACAGTAAACTCTCAGTGCAAAAATAAATGTAAATTTGCAAGTATCCATTTTTTTCTATACTTTTTTTTTTTTTTTGGAGACGGAGTCTCGCTCTGTTGCCCAAGCTGGAGTGCAGTGGCGCGATCTCGGCTCACTGCAAGCTCTGCCTCCTGGGTTCATGCCATTCTCCTGCCTCTGCCTCCCAAGTAGCTGGGACTACAGGCGCCCACCACCACGCCTGGCTAATTTTTTGTATTTTTAGTAGAGACGGGGTTTCATCGTGTTAGCCAGGATGGTCTCGATCTCCTGACCTCGTGATCCACCCGTCTCGGCCTCCCAAAATGCTGGGATTACAGGCATGAGCCACCATACCCGGCGTTTTTTCTATACTTTTAAAAATGGCTCAGAGCAGCAAAACAAGTTAGAGGATTTATTCTGTGAAATGCACTGCAGAGAAAAAGAATGGGCAAATAGTATAATTAAAAATAGTTATTGATTCACACTTTCCAAAATTTTTAAAAAGTAAACCACCAAAGACCAATACTTCTCTCTCCTTTCAATACTAAGCCATTTTTTCCAGTAAAATTAATGAAATAATGTATATTTTTATAACTAATCAGTTTGTGACAGCTGTGGTTCTCACTTTTTAAAAATACAAAATCATAGTTGCAAACAGATAATACACAATGATTTTTAAAACTGAATAGGCAAAGCCTTACTCTAACTGATCAAATGACCAATCAGCTGGATTCAGGCTTTTCAGGCTACAGATGACTTTGATCAACAGCCCTGCACATATCAGAAGCGTCCCCACAGATGTTCTAAACACAAATGCGGCTGCTGACACCCTGACGCTGCAAACAACAGCAAGGGCATAGAGAGGAGACCTTGATGATTCAGTGTGATTCTTCAACAGATTTCTCTTCTTCACTTTCCTCATTGGCTTCATCTTTTTCCTTGTAAGAATCCTGGCTGTTGGTATCAATAAAATAATTTTCTTCCCCATTCTCTCTTTCTTCTATTTTTTCTTCTTCATTAAAGCTAGGGGAAGAAATTTATCAATCTTTCAAAGGAAAAATGAGTTGGTTTAAAGGTAAACAAACCCTCTGCAAGTATGCCACCGTGTAGCCAGTCTTCCTCAAGTGTATGAATTCCAATTTGTTACCAAGACAACTCAAAAAAAAGAAGAAAACGCTATAAAAGTGCCCATTGAGAAATTTAATATTCCTGAAAACTAATTTATTTCAAAATTTGAGTGATTGTTTCTTTAAACTTCATTTGAAAGCATGCTATTATTTTTGTTACTTATGTCTTTAAGAAATCTGTTATTCTGCTTTAAAAATAAAATACTTCATGTGAACGTTAATGTGTCAAACATGTTAAAATATCAGTGTGTTTTACAACAGTTCATATGTCTTTTACTATTGGGTAAAAGATCTTTTTAAAACAATATAGAACAAAAAATATACATAGTATAAAATTGTGCTTTTCTGCAGGTAATAATTTTTTCAAAGGTAAGCCATTCAGACATCTTATATATGTTACCTTTCTTTGTCTTCAGTGACACTTTTCGTCTCTTGATTGTTGAAGTACTCAAGTACTTTTCCACTTTGGCCTTTCTTTGAAACAAACTCATCAGATATTCCTAGTGCTTTTAGGGTATTAGAATAATGCTTTTCTGCTGCCATTCTTGCATTTTTCTATAGGAAAGACAAACCTTTTTAGACGAGAACAGAAGACTTTAAATTTTCATCAAAAATGTATAGATTAGGCCAGGCGCGGTGGCTCACGCCTGTAATCCCAGTGCTTTGGGAGGCCGAGACGGGTGGATCACGAGGTCAGGAGATCAAGACCATCCTGGCTAACACGGTGAAACCCCGTCTCTACTAAAAATACAAAAAATTAGCCGGGCGTGGTGGTGGCCGCCTGTAGTCCCAGCTACTCGGGAGGCTGAGGCAGGAGAATGGCGTGAACCTGGGAGGCGGAGCTTGCAGTGAGCCGAGATCGCGCCACTGTACTCCAGCCTGGGTGACAGAACAAGACTCTGTCTCAAAAAAAAAAAAAAAAAAAATATGGATTAAAAGTACTGGTGATAATTAAGTTCAGCAGTCACAGTTGTTTGAAAATCTGCATACCCTATGACCAACAATTACACTCCTAGGAATATAACCAGAGAAGCTCCCACATATGAGTCCCAAGGGAGGACATGTTCAAGAATGTTCAGGATAGTACTGTCCTTCAATAACCCCAAATGGGAAATCACCCAAATATCTATTAGTAGCAGAATGGATAAATAAATTGTGGTCTATTCCTATAATGGAGTGAAACAAAGCAAGGAAAATGAATGAACTACAGTTACATGCCACAACATGGATAGATCTCACAAATATAATACTGAGCAAAAGAAGCAAAGCACTGACAAGTACATATTGTATGATCTATATAAAGTTCAGAAATGGGCAAAACAACTATATTGTTTGAGGATAGGTACACACACTGTAAAATTGCAAAGAAAAACAAGGAAGTACTTATCCTGAAAGTTAGAATGGTGGTTACCTCTTGGGGAGAGGTAGAGGGCTGTGATCTGCAATGGCACATAGGGTTTTTGGGGTGCTGGCAATGGTCTATTTGTTAACATGGGTGGTGGCCACATTAGATTGATCTATAATTATTTTTTATATTGTACCTAGGTTTTATATACTTTTATGACTGTATAAAGATATCTGAAAAAAAAAAAAAGATTTCATGCAATAATTGTTGTCAGAGGATTCTTTTTCCTTTTTTTTTTGAAAAAGGGTCTTGCTCTGTCACCCAGGCTGGAGTGCAGTGGTGCAAACACAACTCACTGCAGCCTCAACCTGCTGGGCTCAAGCGATCCTCCCACCTCAGCCTCTGGAGTAGCTGGGACCATAGGCGCGTGCCACCATGCCCAGCTAATTTTTGTATTTTTTGTAGGACGGGGCGTCACTATGTTGTCCAGGATGGCCTTGAATTCCTGGGTTTAAGTGATCCACCGGCCTTGGCCTCCCAAAGTGCTGGGATTACAGGCATGAGCCATGGCACCCAGCCAATTTCTTTTATTTTATGTATCTACTGTAATTTTTACTCTTTATAAGCCATATCCCCAATCCATTAAAGATGATAAAAGCACCAGTGTTGTAATCTTTACTCTGTGGAGGAAGCAAGGGATATAACAAAAAGAATATGAATTTAGAACTGGGTTCAAATCTGTAGAATGTCACTTCCCGGCTTTAAGATCTGTTGGAATTGTGATGACCCTCTCATCACAGCTCCAGAGATGGCAGGCTTTATGGAGCCACATAGTGACTGGGTTCACACTAGTGCCTCCACTTTAGCCCATTTTAGCTCCCATGAGTGGATCTGAACTGTTAGAGGGCCAAGAATTGCCCTCTGGACCTCCAACTAAAGCTAAGACCTCCAAGTAAAGCAAGCATTCCTAATACTAGGAATGGCCCAGTTCCAATGTACCAATGGCATTCATACTGGGAAGGGTGTGGAGGAGTACCCAGTCTAACCCCCATATTTAATAAAGAAACCAAGTCTCCCCCGGCCCCCGCCTCAAAGGTGAAATTGACTAAGGTCACAAGGCTAGTGAGTGGTAGAACCAAGTCTCTTGACCATTTCCTAGGTCTTTTATATTACATCATGCTACTTTCTCTAAGTGGTAGTGGTCGTCAAGAGTTTGAAGGTGACCTAAAGCCTGACTTGAGCAACGTAGTTGTCAGATATTTGCCAAATCTAGTATAATGAGGGGCCATGGAGTCTAGTGTTACACAGGAGAACCTGAAATAGCAAGGACTGATTACAATAGATAAAACTATCACCAGGGCATTTCCTGATACTCTGGAAAACTGAAAAAGAAACACTGCTGCTAAAACGCACTCACTGTGAATAACAATAATATTTTTTAGAAAAGTAAGTAAAAACCCATCCAGAGTCTGTGAATATCAAAAGACAAGTCTTGGGGAGCTGAAAGGAAGGGCAAAATGAGAAATAAGAACTATACCCTAAAGACTGCAGAGAAGAATAAAGAAACCCCAAACCTAGCTCTGAATGCATTACCAACAGTATATTCTGACTTCAGCAAATTAAATATATAAGACATTAAAAAGACATTAGTCAAAATTTGTGCCAGTAAGCCTTCATCTGACTTTGGTTTAAAATTCAATTTAACATCTTCTCAGTTAATTAATCCTGTGATTTCCAAGAAACAGGACAACATAGTTTATTCTGTAAAGAATCACAGGCATATTGTGTTAGGGAATCACTCAGCAGCAGCGAGACCACAATTAACTCCTATAAATGGGCAAAGCAAATAGCTGCAAGCAAATTTATTAAAAACCAGCTGTTAATTAGCAGCAATAGTTCCAGCAAAATAGACTGCAGCAAAAAATGTACTAAAAAAAAAAAGCAATGGCGATTCACTGCCATGGTAACTCTGTTTATACTTTTTGAGAAGTTAATGAGAAGACCCCTTGATATCATTCATTGAAAATGAGAATAAATGGAATTGGTGAGAATGGATGATTGTCCCTGTTATAAAGGCTTATTAATTGTCTACCCAGGGTTAACATTTTAGTAGGGGAATGAAAATGGTAAGGCGAAGGTATAATGAATGGTTCTGCAAAGAGCAAGGCAGAAAAATCAATCAAACTATTATGATTCAGATAGGAAATAAAGGTTCCACCTGGCATTTCACCACCAAGGATGGTGAAGGGCAGATCCAAAAATTATTTAGGAAGAAAATTTGACAGGTCTCTCAATGACCAGCTGAATGGGGAGGAACTGGGTACACACAGATATGAAGATGAGAACAGTAGGCCAGGCACGGTGGCTCACTCCTGTAATCCCAGTACTTTGGGAGGCCGAGGCAGGTGGATCACTTGAGGTCAGGAGTTCAGGACCAGCCCGGCCAACATGGTGAAATCCCGTCTCTACTAAAAATACAAAAAAAATTAGCCGGGCATGGTGGTGTGCACCTGTAATCCCAGCTACTCAGGAGACTGAGGCAGGAGAATCACTTGAACCCAGGAGGCAGAGGTTGCAGTGAGCCGAGATCACGCCACTGCACTCCAGCCTGGGTGACAGAGTAAGACCCTGTCTCAAAAAAAAAAAAAAAAAAAAATGAGAACAGTAGACACTGGTCTCAAACTCTTGGCCTCAAATGATCCTCCCCCCCTCAGTTTCCCAAAGTGTTGGGATTACAGGGTGAGTCACTGGCCTAATTTTTCTAATATAAAGATATTTCTGGCTGGATGTGGTGGTTCACATCTGTAATCCCGGAACTTTGAGAGGCTGAGGTGGGCAGATCACAAGGTCAGGAGTTCGAGACCAGCCTGACCAACATGATGAAACTTCGTCTTGACTAAAAATACAAAAAAAATTAGCCAGGCATGGTGGCACGCGCCTGTAATCACAGATACTCAGGAGGCTAAGGCAGGAGAATCACTTGAACCCGGGAGGCGGAGGTTCCAGTGAGCTGAGATCGAGCCACTGCACTCCAGCCTGGGTGACAGAGTGAGACGCCTTCTCAAAAAAAAAAAAAAAAAAAGATATTTCTTAGACAAACAGCACTATAATAAATCATTGCTGCATATGTGTTCAATATTGGTCTTCCCAAATAATACTTCATACTTTCTTTCTTGTATTATAGTATCACCCATAATGATTCCTTTAATTTAGCATTTATTTACTTTCCTTTTTTTTTTCTAGACCTGTTGGAACAAGCCTCGCATGTCACTAACACAAATATTAGTATTCCCAGGTTATGTACCTGCTCCCTGGAATTGAGGTTAACAGAAAAAAATAACATATCAATCTGACCATTCCCCCAACCTCCAAAACAATCATATTCACAATTTTGTCTCAACACACATCTGTAATTGCTGCAATTGTGTGTCTTGAATGACTACATTTGTCTGTCTTGTTTCTATCTGACTTTAAGGGTCTCAAGGGATTTTCTGATATTCAAAAAGCATTTGTTGAGAAGGGGGCAGGAAAACAATATGATAGATAAAAGAATCACATGAAGACAGTCAGATCTGGGTTTGAATCCTGGTTCCCCTTCTTCTGGTTGTATCATCTAAGCCTCAAGATGTCCCTCATCTGTGAAATAAGAACCTCACAGGAGCAGTGTAAAGGTCAGTTAAGACAATGCATATAAAGTGCTTAGTGGAGTGCTTGTCTTTCAGCAACCTCTCAAAAAACATTATAAACCAGCTTCCAAATAGCTTTGTGCAGTCTCCCTCTTAAATGCAAACAGACAACCAAAGATAATCTGAGGAAAGCTTCTAATATGATAGACAAGAGGCTAAAAAAGAGAAAAAGGAACTTGAAGGAAACAGAGACAATATCACCAGTATGCTCAGAGATATAAAAGACAGGCTGGGTGTGGTGGCTCACACTTGGAATCCCGACACTTTGGAAGGCCGAGAAAGGAGGATTTCTTGAGCCCAGGAGCTTAAGACCAGCATGGACAACACAGTAACACCCCTGTCTTTACAAAAAATACAAAAATTAGCCTGGCATGGTAGCTTGTGCCTGTAGTCCTAACTACTTGGGAGGCTGAGGTGGGAAGATTGCCTGAGCCCAAGGGGTTAAAGTTGCAGTGAGCCGAGATCATGCCACTGCACTCCAGCCTGGGACAGAGTAAGACCCTGTCACACACACACAAAAAAAAACCAACAACAACAACAACAAAAAACCAACAACAACAAAAAAAAACGTACTGCACCCATGAAAAATACCAAAGGAATATTTAATAAATGGGAAGCATTCTGGAAATTATGTCATTTTTCATTAGGTAAGCAAAAAATGCAGATTTGGAAGATAAATTTGAGGAAATCTTCCAGAACTAGAATAAAATAACAGTGATTTTAAAAGAAATACAAGAAATGTAGATAAATCCAGGTTAATATCTAACTACTCCCCAGTATAACAGTGAAAAAGTCCTAAGATGTCGTTTATGCCAGAGGCCTAGAGCAGGGGTCCCTACCACGAACTAGGTACGGGTCTGTGGCCTGTTAGGAACCAGGCTGCACAGCAGGAAGTGAGCAGTGGGAGGGCGAGCATTATGGCCTGAGCCCTGCCTCCTACAGCGTTAGATTTTCATAGGAGGGTGACCCCTATCGTGAAGTGCTCATGCCAGGGATCTAGGTTGCATGCTCCTTATGAGAATCTAACGCCTGATGATGTGAGGTGGAACAGTTTCATCCTGAAATGATCCATTTCCCGATCCATCCACCCCACCCCACGCAACCCTGGTCTGTGGAAAAATGGTCTTCCATAAAACCAGTCTCTAGCGCCAAAAAGGTTGAGGACTGCTGGCCTAGAGAGAAACCATTCCAAAGTGGAGCAGGACACTTGTGGGCTCCAGGGGAGGAAAGGAACTGATGAATTACGAATGTGTTTAACTGTTTGAGGGGGATTTTTGAGAGCTAACAGAAAAGCCTAAGAATAATAATGATACATACATTGGTGGGGAATGAGGGAAGGTGGGGGGAGGACCAAACAAAATTAGTAATTATTAACACAAGAAAAAATTTTTTTAAAGGAAATGTGATGGGCCAGGCATGGTGGTTCACGCCTGTAATCCCAGCACTTTGGGAGGCCAATGCAGACGGATCATCAGGTCAGGAGTTCGAGACCAGCCTGACCAACATGGTGAAACCTCGTCTCTACTAAAAAATACAAAAAAATTAGCTAGGCACGGTGGCGCGCACCTGTAATCCCAGCTACTCAGGAGGCTGAGGCAGGAGAATGGCTTGAACCCAGGAGGCAGAGGTTGCAGTGAGCTGAGATTGTGACACTGTACTCCAGCCTGGGTGACAGAGTGAGACTCTGTCTCAAAAAAAAAAAAAAAAAGGAAATGTGATGATAATAATATAGGGCTCAGCTGCTAACATTGTTTACTAAGTTATAACACTGAATTCCGATCTAACTGTGATAGAGCTGACTGGGAAACAGAAAGATGGAAAGACGTTGAAAGGGTAGGTAAGTGTGCTTCCGAGAGGACGTGTTAAAACAGCTAAATCCTCACCTACCATATCAATAAGCTAGTAGATAGAGTCTGTAATGAAAAAGATAAAAGAACAGTTGAAAGAATGTTACTGAATAATAAAATACCACTTTGTACCCACTAGGAAGACTATAACAAAAAGACAGACAAAAGCTAGGTGCAGTGGCTCATGCCTGTAATCCCATCAACTTGGGAGGTGGAGGTGGGAGGATCACTTGAGGCCAGGAGTTCACGACCAGCCTGGGCCATACAGCGAGACCCAGTCTCTACAAAAAATAAAATTAGCTGGGCATGATGGTGTGGGCCTTTGTCTCAGCTACTTGGGATGCTCATACTGGGGATCATCTGAGCCCAGGAGTTCAAGGTTCCAGTGAGCTATGATTGTACTACTGCACTGGCCTGGGCAACAGAGTGAAACCCTGTCTCTAAAAATATTTTTCTAAAAAAATCAGACAGACAATAACAAGTGCTGATGCTATTCACAACAGCAAAGACATGGTAACAACCCAGCCCATCAGCAGTGGATTGGATACAGAAAATATGTTACACATACACCATGGAATACTACACAGCCATAAAAAAGAATGAAATCATGTCCTTTGCAACAATATGGATACAGCTGGAAGCCATTATCCTAAGCAAACTAAAGCAGAAACGGAAAACCAAACATCATATGTTCTCACTTACAAGTGGGAACTAAACACTGGGTACACATGGAAATAAAGATGAGAACAACAGACACTGGAGAATATAAGAGGGAGAGTGGAGGGAGGAGGGCAAGGGTTGAAAACCTACCTATTGGGTACTATGCTCATTACCTGGGTGATGAGTTCAATCATACCCCAAACCCCAGCTCACACAATATACCCTTTTTTTTTTTTTTGAGATAGAATTTTGGTCTTGTTGCTCAGGCTGGAGTGCAATGACGCAATCTCAGCTCACTACAACCTCCGCCTCCCAAGTTCAAGCAATTCTCCTGCCTCAGCCTCCCAAGTAGTTGGGACTACAGGCACGCAAAACCATGCCCGGCTAATTTTTGTATTTTTAGTAGAGACAAGGTTTCACCATGTTGGCCAGGCTGGTCTCGAACCACTGACCTTAGGTGATCCACCTGCTTCGGCCTCCCAAAATGCTGGCTGGGATTACAGGTGTGAGCCACGGCGCCTGGCATACCCTTGTAACAAACCTGCGCATATACTCCTTGAATTTAAAATAAAAGTTGAAAAAATAAATAAATAAATAAATAAGAAAAACCCAGAAGCAGTGTAAAGAGCAAAAACAAAAAACTTGCAGTTCAGAGCTGGAGATAATGTCTTTGAGCCAAAAGCCAATCACTTTATGATTATAATGTAGAACAGCTTAAAATGATTTTTCCCCCTAAAGTTGAAATAAAGATGTTAAAAAAATCCATCACTTAAAATGAAAGGCATTATATAAAATTATATCTAGATCAGTGAGCAAAAAGATTACGTAACTTTGAGAGACTGTAATGTGCAGATTCACCCACAATACATGTCCACTGTCCTCAATGAGTCACTGGCAAGTACAGTTCTGTAACTATGCTCATCTGTTACAGGTAAATTCTCCAACTGTCTATTGTCCAATTATAACAGCTTCAAATTCACAATTTAGAACCTGTAACCTCCAGTGATTTTGTCAATTGTTAAGCCATGTCACCCATACAGATGCCTCCCCTATGGGACAAAGGAGAAGATGACCTAAAATTGACAAATTTCCCTTAAGGGAAAGGTTGTAAAACCGGGCATAAACTTAGTAAAATCAGGGTCCACTGTCCGTAAGACTAGTTTGTTTTTCGTATAGAAAGGAAGTTCTTTTAGTAATTGCAGAGAAGATTGAATTACAGACTCACTTAAAAAAAAAAACTAGCAGAAATAACTCTGATTCAATTAGCCATTTTGTTTCATTTTTTTAATTCTTCAAAGACCTCCAAGTGATATCATGAAGCCTCATCTTAATATCTAACCAAGTTTGTACTGAAAAAAGACCAGCCATTAGAAAACAGCTTGCAAAATTATTTTACGAACTACTGGATTGGCATGTTATTTATCAAACTTATGTGCTTCATCAAAAAGATTCAATGTTCAGATTATTTTTTTGAGATGAGGTCTTGCTACGTTGCACAGGTTGGACCAAAACTCTTGGGCTCAAGCAATCTGCCCACCTCAGCCTCCCAAGTAGCTGGGACTACAGGTGCACACCACCACACCTGGCTAAATGCTCGGATTTAAGCAAAATTACTCATTGGCTGATATGATGAAGCCAACACAAACAACAATAATGTATCTCAACAGTTATATAACACATAAGAAAAATGGACTGTAAATTTAGGAGCTAAAGCTGTAAAAAAAAAAAAAAAAACTGACGATAGCTCTTAAATTCCAATAAACACAACCTGAGCAACTCTTTCAAATAGCAGTGGCCTCTTTTTTAATTTTTCTTCTCTTTCTTCTAGTTCTCGTTGGTATTCTCTCATCCTTTCCTTTTCGCTCTTTCTAAAATTAAAGAAAAGCAATGGAATTTTAAAAGATCATCTAAGAAATAAGAACTTACATATGTAACATTTAACTTATCAACTTGTACAAAGTCAATGAAAAAAAAGAAATAACATTTAGCTTAGCTGACAAATCAGAAATTATAAGCACAGTTCACAGTTTACCTCGATTCCTCTTCTATACCGGTTAATTCTCATGGAATGCAGAATAAAATCCTAGGTTCTGAGATCACACATATTATGCTCTAGGAATAGTCTGGACACTTTAATTTCTGAAATCCTCAAGGCATAAATATTTTAAGGGACTTCAAACTGCCCTGAAAAGATGAATGAAAGTCCTCTTGTCTCATTTATAAGTGTATAAAACCAAGAAAATTTTGGAACAAATTAGCTATCTTCTCTGTAAGGAATTTCTCCTGAAAACAAGACTTTGCTCTTATTTTTTATTATTATTTTATTGTTGTTGTTATTTACTTTTGTTTTGAGATGGAGTCTCATTCTGTTGCTCAGGCTGGTGCGGTGGCACAATCTCAGCTCACTGCAACTTCTACCTCCTGGGTTCATGCAATTCTCGTGCCTCAGCTTCCCGAATAGCTGAGATTACAGGTGTGCACCACCATGCCTGGCTAATTTTCTGTATTTTTAGTAGAGATGAGGGTTTCACCATGTTGGCCAGGCTGGTCTTGAACTCCTGACCTCAGGTGATCTGCCTGTCTTGGCCTCTCAAAGTGCTGGGATTACAGGCATGAGCCATTGCGCCTGGCCTATTAATTTTGAGACAGGTTCTCACTTTGTTGTCCAGGCTGGAGTGCAGTGGTGCAATCATGGCTGACTGCAGCTTTGACTTCCTGGGCTCAAATGATCCTCCCACCTTAGCTCTCGAGTAGGTGGAACTACAGGGGCATGCCACCACACCTGGCTAATTTTTTTAAATTTTTTGTAGAGATGGGGGTCTCATTATGTTTACCAGGCTGGTCTCAAACTCCTGGGCTCAAGCAATCTTCCTGCCTTGTACTCCTGAGGTGTTGGGATTACAGATGTGAGCCATGGCATCCAGCCTTTGCTGTTATTTTTTTCCCCTAAATAAGATCTCCTACAGGTTAGTGGCAAAGTTAATTCAATGGGAGCAAGTCAAAGGAGAAGTAAAGAGCATGGGAATACAACATAAAGAGAAACAGGAACCAAAATATATAAATTTACCGTAAGTGTTCTCACTGTTTGAGCAAGATCCTATAATAAATTAAACTACACTATTTTCTCTATGTAAGATATAATTGCTACCAAGATAAATAAGATTAATGGATTGGGGAAAATAATTATACTTTTAAATGATAATTAGGCTTAATTATACACAAGTTGGTGTTATGAAAAAGCTATTGTCCAGGCACGGTGGCTCACGCCTGTAATCCCAGCACTTTGGGAGGCCAAGGTAGGCAGATCACCTGAGGTCAGGAGTTTGAGACCAGCTTGGCCAACATGGCAAAACCTCATCTCTACCAAAAATACAAAAATTAGCTAGGCGTGGTGGTGAGCACCTGTAATCCCAGCTACTCTGTAAGCTGAGGCAGGAGAATCGCTTGAACTCGGGATCCAGCCTAGGTGACAGAGCGAGACTCTGTCTCAAAAAAATAAATAAATAAAAAATAAAAAGCTATTAATAGTTTACTTCCTAAGGGTAAGTAATCTATTTCTAAGAAACATTATGCTCACGTTCATCAAATTAAGCTCCCTTTATCAATGGATTAAAGCTAAATTATAAAAGAATACTCATTGTAATTAAAAGCACATATGCATATTTAGAAATCAGATTAAAAAGTAATAAATCACATTACTTACCTGGCTTTGAGGGAGATAGTTTCCTACTTAAACATCAACATTTTTATGTGCAACATCTGGAACACTGGTTTTCAAACTTTGTACTGCAAAATTCTAGTGAAGGGGTTCTAAGAATTCCGTGAATATTTTTATATTGAAACTAACAAAATGCAACACATACTACTAAACATTAACATATGTGCTAATGAACACATCACATAACCGATGTTTAACGTGTTAATTTGTGCTATCAGATTTCATCCAAACCTTAGAACAAAGCTCTTTGATATATCTGTTTACTGCAATCAAAAATAATATAAAGAACAAGATCAGATATTGGTATAAGATTATAACCATTAACTAAGGCCACAATAGAAAATGTCTGTATTCATCAACATAGCTTCATGGTTCTCACCATAAAGGTGAGTTTATATGTTGGTTCTCACCATGAGGTGAGTGTGTGTGCACTGAACACAAGTAACTGATGACAATTTAAATCCATAAGCTAAAACACTAATGCTATTTTCAATCTGCTCATATTTTACTATCTACTGATTAAAAAAAAAAGAGTTTGAAAACCAGTGGTCTGGAGATTCAAGATTTTTTCATGATACCTGAGACATTTTACTCTGGATTTAGATATTTGAGCTAAACTTTGATGTGAGTCATAAGCCTTAGCCCGGGTTGTCAGGAGTTTCTGCAATTCTTTCATTCTTTGCTTCTGTTTAGTTAGGATCCGATTTCTCTCTTCTTCCAACATTTTCTTTTCCTCAAGTGATCTCCTGAGGGTAACAAACTAAGGCTTAATCCACTTTAAGCCAATCAGAATGTTGTTTAGCAAAGATTTAACATGGGATAATTTGAATTTTGATAATTCAAAATTTGAAAAAAGGTAACCTTTTGAAAAGGATCTGACCTGTAAAACTAGAAATATTTATTTATTTATTTATTTATTTATTTATTTATTTATTTTTTTTGAGATGGAGTCTCGCTCTGTCGCCCAGGCTGGAGTGCCATGGCGTGATCTCGGCTCACTGCAACCTCTGCCTCCTGGATTCAAGCGATTCTCCTGCCTCAGCCTCCTGAGTAGCTGGGATTACAGGCACCCGCCACCACGCCCAGCTAATTTTTTGTATTTTTAGTAGAGATGGGGGTTTCATTATCTCGGCCAGGGTGGTCTTGAACTCCTGACCTTGTGATCCACCTGCCTCGACCTCCCAAAGCACTGGGATTACAGGTGTAAGCCACTGTGCCCAGCCAGGTAAAACTAGAAATCTTAAGACTATTATTTTCTAATCCCCCAAAATTTATAAATGAAAAATATATTCATTTCTTAGAATACCCTCTGACAAAATATCATATATTATATAGTAAAATATCTTATAGATACAATAATAATTTCTAAGTATTTTCAAATTTACCAACATAAACTCCACAGAGCTGCATACACTCATCTGGCAACCATGAGTCAGTCAGTACTGCGTCCTACTTACTTACCTTACGGCTTGTTCTCGTCCTCTGGAAGATACCGTGGGCACGGGAGGGTTGCAGTTACAAGGCACAGGGTTTACACCTGCACATCTTACTGGTGACTTACGCCTTGGAGACAAATAAGGCCAACGTGTTTCTTTTAAATTTTCTTCATCTGCTTCGATGTCTGCCAAAATTTTTTCTCTTTTAATAGATGCATGTGGAGATGCATGAAGATCAAATGGTTTACACACTGTTAAGAGTTTTGGAGACTTGTGTTCTGAGAGGTGTTTCTGGTATCTCTCAGGAAGGTCCTCAAAATCAGGAGTTGGGCACCTAACCTTGTGTTTACACTTCAACTTTACAGCCTGTTCAGGACACCTGGGGTTCCTGCATCCACAAGCTGACCTACAAGGCAGAGGAGATGAGTTCTGTAAATGCTCCTGGGCTCTCAGCTGTGTCCTAAGGTTTCGATAGAGCTCTTCTTCTTTTAACTTGTCATTGGTAGTTGAACCATAAGTAGATCGAGGAATGGGTCTGGCTTTAAATCGATTTGTTTTCTTTTTATACTTAAGAAAGTCTCTCAGCTGCTTTTCCCGGGCTGCTCGCTTCTGTTCCTCCCTTGCTATAAATTTAAATGGCTTTTGTGAGGCCAAAAGAGCTTCTTTGCTTTTCTCCTTCAGAGACCTTCTCCGTTCTTCTTTTTGCTTGACTAAATCATGGTAAAGGGGGAGAAAGACAGATGCAGGAACTGGATTGGCTCGGAATTTCTTCTTATACTCTGGATCCTCTTCTTGTTTTTTGAGCGCTTTATGTACCATTTCGATATCTGATTTAGATTTCATGGACTCTTCTTTTTTCTTCTGTTCTCTTATCATCATTTGAAAAGGCTCCGGTACTGTAATTGTGGGCACCCATTCTTTTCGTTTCTTCCTTCTTTTTTCAGCTGCATGGAAGCCAGTATCTTTACAGCGAATATAATCCTCAACACAAAAGTCTGTCCACATATTGTTGATGAGCTCCTTAGCATAGGTCATCATTCTGTTTTTCCTAGGATACTCTTTTTCTAGGTTGGGTAACTCCTCTTCAGAGGAGGACACATACAAGGAGGAAGACTGGCCTAAATCAGGCTCTGAAAATGATGTCATTAATGAGACAGGGTGATAGGAGTTCTTTTCTGATACAGATCTAAATGAGAAGAATAACTATGTTATACTTTCAGTTGTATGTGACCAAATATAAAAATTAAGAGTTACATATTTTCTTTTTTTTTCTGAGACAGAGTCTCACTCTGTTGCCCAGGTTGGAGTGCAGTGGTGTGATATCGGCTCACTGCAACCTCCACCTCCCAGGTTCAAGCAATTCTCCTGTCTCAGCCTCCCGAGTAGCTGGGACTACAGGCTTGTGCCACCATGCTCAGCTAATTTTCTGCATTTTTAGTAGAGACAGGGTTTTACCAAGTTACCCAGGATGGTCTCAATCTCCTGACCTCGTGATCTGCCTGCCTCCGCCTCCCAAAGTGCTGAGATTACAGGCATGAGCCACTGTGCCCAGCCAAGAGTTACATATTTTCTAAGATCAGGGTATAATCAGAAGCGAGGAGCTGGACAGGGCTTGTAAGAATCATCACTTTTATTTGGAATAGAGCTGGGCAATGCCCATAAATTATCCACTTTGACTCCTTCATTTTACAGGGAAGGAACCTGAGATGGCAGAGGGTCCTTGTGTCTAACCTCTATTAAATTCTCCCCACTTTCCAGAGTCACTGTCCTGAAGCATAGATCTGATCATGTCATTCCCCTGCTTGAAACTTTTTGATAATTCCTCACTGCTACGAAGTCAAGCCTAGATTACAAGCCCTTCGAGACTGGCGCCTATCTTTTCAGTCTTACCCCTCACCACTGGCTACCCCAGTCTCCATTCTGCATTCATATCCAGTCCTGTGAAGTTCCTCACACACGATATGATTTCTCATGCCATCTTGCCTTTGCATACATGGTTTCTGCTGCCTAGAAGGCCAATACTTATTCCTCCTCCAAGACTGAACTCAGATGTGACACTTTAGTGGAAAATTCTGGCCTGCATCCCTCTGAAAGCTTGGCATGACCAACTGCTTCTTCCTCTGTAACACTCTGTTACATCATGCTGTAATGCAATTTTTGGTTCTCAGCTAGTCTCTAAGCTCCTTGAGGGCATCTTGTTTTTGACTCCTCAGCGCCCAGGCATAGTCTGGCACAAAGGAGACATGCAAGCATCGCTGACTGACTAGATGTGTAAGTCTCAGAGCAGGTGAGTTCACAGCAGAAATGGGTCTTGAAATTGCAGACTATTTTGAAAACATAAATCAGATTCATGTCTCCTAGTCCTGAACTCTTTGTACTAGATCTTTAATGAGCTCATGTTAATCCACATATTATAAAGAGCTTTTAAAATTAAACTTTTATATTTACCAGTTAAAATGGCACAGACTAAGTATTTTGATACATGCCCTCAGTTCTATGGGTGGGTCAGAAAGAAAAGACCAAATGGCCACCAAATGACCCTCAAGCAAACGGTCATCCAGTAAGCTGATAAGCCATTAAACATTTTGAATAAAATCCTACCTCTGTATATCGTTGGGAGTACAAAGGGCTATTTAAGAGAAAATATTATGAAGTAACTTTGTTCTGTCCTTTTAAGGATACATTTTATTTTATACTCCACAAATAACATTGAGTTACAAGCTTACCTGGAAGAGTCACTAAGAGAGTCTTCTCTGATGACCACTGGCTGAACTTCCTTTAAATGTAATTTATCCTGGTACATTTTCTCTAATTTTGCCATAGTTTCTATGTGGGCAGCCTTCAACTCTTCTACTTTCTTGAAATACTCCTCATTAGAGTGGTGAATATCAGGAAAGTTCACAAAGTCCTCATAGCTTATCGGTGCATGTTCATCCACCCCAGAAAAGCTGGTGTTCAAATCAGCCTGGTGGGGAGAAAACACTTGATATATAGTGACTGGAGCTGAAAGACAAATTAAGCTGACACTGATCCAAAATGCTGCTTCTTAAAGAGTCCACCTAGTTAGGTTATACATTAATTATGGGCTATGCATATAGAATGAGTTATAGGTTATTTGTGGGCTATGTACATTTTCCCCAGTGATATTTTAAGAACGAGAGGGAGCAAGACCAAACTGTCAGAAAATAAATGTTATTTAATCCATTTGATAAAGGATGGTTCAATTCCCAGATCAACCAACAAAAGGTATAATAGGATAGAACCCAACAACCCTTTACAAAGTATTTCTATAAGGAGCCTCCTGAGTTGTAAGTTTTAACTGAGATGAAGAGGAACACGGTTCTACCTGCTGTAAACCAGGCAACCACAGCCCAATGCTCTCCCTCCAGCTGCGCTCCTGCAGTGTGGCTCCAAGGACTGCCAGTGGAGAGAAGGCAGGGAAATAGAGGAAATGGGGGCAGGGACAAAGTTCTCAGTGGCTTATCAAGGAGCCAGGGAGAAGCCCTCCTCACAGTGGGGCAAGACTTTGGGAGGGAGTAAGAGGACATGGGAGGGGGTAGGAGGGACTTTCAGGGTAGCTGCTTCTGTGGGCACAAAAGCAGTAGCTCCCATGGGTGACCGGGACTTTAGGATGACAACAAAGCAAAGAAGAAAAAATGCTGTAATTATTCAACATACAGATCATGTTTAGAAGGGTCTGACTGGCCTTTCTCCCTCACTCCCTTTACATACCTTTCAGTTTTTTTGTTTGTTTGTTTGTTTTTACGAGACGGAGTCTCACTCTGTCACTCAGGCTGGAGTGCAGTGGCACCATCTCAGCTCACTGCAACCTCTGCCTTCTCCTGCCTCAGACTCCCAAGTAGCTGGGATTACAGGCGCACACCACCACACCCAGCTAATTTTTGTATTTTAGTAGAGACGGGGTTTCACCATGTTGGCCAGACTGGTCTTGAATTCTTGACCTCAGGTGATCTACTCGCCTCGGCCTCTCAAAGTGCTGGGATTATGGGCATGAGCCACCGTGCCCTACCCTTTCAGTTCTTTTAATTGAAGCAACTAAAGAGATAAAACCCCATTTTCTCCATAAATATAAAATTTTTATTATGTTCTCAGTTGAGAAACAGTTGAAATTATTTATGATACTATGCATAAAAGGCTGCCAACCACAGTTTTAAATTTAGCCTACTGTCTGGAACAGATGCAAAATGAAAAAATTTGCTACAGAAAATTATAGATCCAATCTGATAAGACTCTAGAAAATAATCTGTTTAGCTTCTCTCAAAATAAAAATTCAGAAGAGTCAATTATAAATAGTAGTTATAGATGTGGTATTTTTGTTTCCCACTGGAGGCTTCTCAGAAGATATGGTATTTTTTTTAATACGCTAAAATCAGCATACAAGAGGACAATGTTGTACTACTTGGGGTAACTTAAAGAAAACAACTTTTAAAAAATCAGTCTTCAGAGGCCGGGCACGGTGGCTCACGCCTATAATCCCAGCACTTTGGGAGGCCGAGGCAGGTGGATCACGAGGTCAGGAGATTGAGACAATCCTGGCTAACATGGCAAAACCCCATCTCTACTAAAAATACAAAAAATTAGCCAGGTGTGCTGGCGGGCACCTATATTCCCAGCTACTCGGGAGGCTGCAGCAGGAGAATGGCGTGAACCTGGGAGGCAGAGCTTGCAGTGAGCTGAGATCAGGCCACTGCACTCCAGCCTAGGCGACAGAGCGAGACTCTGTCTCCAAAAAAAAAAGCAGTCTTCAATAGAACTTACGTGCAGAAATTTGCTACCAACAACTCTATGAATCAGAGAACTGCTTTAACTATGTCAAACAATTCAATTAAGAGAATTCTCTGATATCTTCTGCTGTTTCTTTATGTGCTTCTCACCATAAACTTCTTATCTGCAGGATGACTACTTTGTGAATTTCCTCATTCATTAAATATTTGGGGGCCATCCTGCAATCAGCTAGCTGCTAAAATGTACGTCAGATTTTTTTTAAACTCTACCTTTGAGGCCAGGCACAGTGGCTCACACCTATAATCCCAGCACTTTGGGAGGCCGAGGCAGCCAGATCACTTGAGGTCAGGAGTTTGAGACCAGCCTGGCCAACATGGTGAAACCCCCTCTCTACTAAAAATACAAAAATTAGCCAGGCATGGTGGCAGGTACCTGTAGTCCCAGCTACTCGGGAGGCTGAAGCGGAAGAGTCACCTGAACCCAGGAGGTGGAGGTTGCAGTCAGCCAAGATCGTACCACAGCACTCCAGCTTGGGTGACAAAGCAAGACTCTGTCTCACTTAAAACAAACAAACAAACAAAAACTCTACCTTTGAGAAGTTTCCAGCTAGCTTAGGAAAGGACATGTATATAAATAATAGACAGCTGACTTAGAATGAGACAGAACACCTGATTCCTGCCCACAAGCTACTTCCAGCTAAGCGGAGAGACAGATGTATGTCACAATGTCAGACACTAAGAGACAGAGGCACAATTCACAGAGGTGAGCCAGACTGGAGACACATGGTTGGACGAGGACAAAGTTTGCCAGATCAGGGAGGCAGTGAAAAAGGAATAAATAAATCCGAGGCATAGTGCTAGAACATCCATCGCCAGGAAACATGTGGATAAATGTCTGGAGACCTGGTGAGAAGGCTGGGCTGGAGAGCAGATACAGGAGCCACCAATCCACACAGAAGTAGCAGGTGCAGCCTTGGTTATGGACGAGGCTGCCTGGAGGGAGTGTGAGCAACAAGACATGAGAGGACCTGAGAATGGAGATGTTGGAGAACACCAACATTTAAATAAGCAGCGGAAGGAGGACTAATAGGAGGTAGAGAGTGGCATGAGAGATACAAAGACCAACTGATACGGGTCTTTGGAGCCTCTGATTGAGTATTCTGACACCACATCTGTAATTTTTCTCCTAAACCATGAGAACACTCCAAACTAAAAGTTATTTAACTCTCACCCAATGCTTTCACCTTTATAGGGTCAAAAGGGGGCTGAAACCAGGTGACCAGTGACCAGGAGCCAGTGGTAGACAGGAAATGGAGGGAGCTTTTGTTTCGTTTGAGTTTGGAAGATAGGGGAAGACTTCCTGGAGGAGGTAATATTTGAGATGAGTCATAAAGAATGGAGGCCAGGTGTGGTAGCTCATGCCTGTAATCCCAGCACTTTGGGAGGCTGCAGTGGGAGGACTGCTTGAGGCCAGGAGTTCCAGACCAGCCTGGGCAACACGGCGAGACACCATCTCTACAAATTTTTTTTAAAAAATTAGCTGGATGTGGTGGCTGAGGTGGGAGGATCACTTGAGCCCAGGAGGTTGAGGCTGCAGTGAGCCGTGAGCGCGCCACTGCACTTGAGCCTGGGCGACAGAGTGAGACCTTGTATCAAGAAAAAAGAAGGCTGGGCGCGGTAGCTCACGCCTGTAATCCCAGCACTTTGGGAGGCTGAGGTGGGTGGATCACCTGAGCTCAGTAGTTCAAGACCAGCCTGGCCAACATGGTGAAACCCCTTCTCTACTAAAAATACAAAAATTAGCCAGGCATGGTGGCGTGTACCTGTAGTCCCAGCTACTCAGGGGACAGAGGCAGGAGAATCGCTTGAACCTGGGAGGCAGAGATTGCAGTAAGCTGAGATCGAGCCATTGCACTATAGCTTCGGCGATCAAGCAAGACTCTGTCTCAAAAAAAAAAAAAAAAAAAAAAAAGAATGGAGAAATCTATAGGATCACAGAGTGTTTATGGGAAAGAAGGGGAAAGTACCCTAGGCAAAGGAAATGGCGTTAGCAAATGCGCAGGCTGGGGTTGGGGAGGCTGTGCATAGCAGAGGGCAAGGTGCACATGGCTGCCGGATAAAAGGAGAGGAAAACCCATAAAGCAGTTTTGGGAAGTAAACCTAGAAAGGGAGGTTAGGGCAAGCAAGAAGGGGTTTCCATCTCCTGCCTACCACTGGCTCCTGATTACTGGTCACGTGGTTTCAGCCCCCTTATGACCCTTCAAAGATGAAAGGGTTGGGTGGGAGTTAAATAACTTTTAGTTTGGAGTGTTCTCACAGCTTAGGAGAAAGATTTCAGATGTGACGTCAGGATACTCATACAAGCCTGGGCTCCGCACTTAGCAATGTGATGTGGGCATGAACTTCTTGAACATCAGCTTTAAGATATGTAAAGTAGGTGTGCCAGGTGTTAAACTAGTGTCTCTCAGCTCCAATGCCACCCTTCTCGACTCTGCTTTGCAATGCCAGAGCTGGAACTCTGCAAACCACACTTCTGCTTTGCCAGTGCTCCTCATCAGACTCTGCTAAAAGTGGAGTTAGAGGGAGATACAAGGCTAGAGGAGAAAGATGGGACTTACTCCTTTCTGTTAGCCCTCTGACTGCTTCCTGTCGGCTTGTGTCAGTCTAGCAACGGTTATTCATCTGGGCAGCAGCAGTTCGTTTTAGTAGCAGTGTCTGAATCCAGTATGCAGTTTTCACTCGAAAAATCAACAGAATTGGCCAGGCACAGTGGTTCATGCCTGTAATCCCAGCACTTTGGGTCACTTGAGGTCAGGAATCCGAGACCAATCTGGCCAACATGGTGAAACCCCATCTCTACTAAAAACAAAACTTAGTCGGGTGTGGTGGTGCATGCCTATAATCCCAGCTACTCGGGAGGCTGAGGCAGGAGAATCGCTTGAATCCAGGAGGCAGAGGTTGCAGTGAACCAAGATCGCACCACTGCACTCTAGCCTGGGTGACAGAGTGAGGCTCCATCTCAAAAAAAAAGAAACAAAAATCCACAGAATTACTTCAAGGCCTTTGCACTTGCTGTTCCCTCTCCCTAGGATGCCTTTTCCTCCAGATATCCACATGACCCACTTGCTCACTCCTTCAGGTCTTTATGTAAATGTTGTCTTCTCAATAAGGTCTTCCCTGACTCTCCTATTTAAAATTACAACTTCTCCCAGGACTCACTGTCAGCCCCCTTGTCTGTCTTATTTTTCCCAGAAGTACTCATCACCATTGACGTCCTACATATCTGTACTTGATTGTGTATTATATGCCTGCCCCTACCAAAAAGTAAACATTACAAAGGTAAGAATTTGCCAGGCCTGATGGCTCAGGCCTGTAATCCCAGCACTTTGGGAGGCTGGGGCAGGTGGATTGCTTGAGCCCAGGAGTTTCAGACCAGCCTGGGTAACACGTCAAGGCCTCATCTCTACAAAAAATACAAAAAATTAGCTTGGTGAGGTAGTATGCACCTATAGTCCCAGCTAGTTGGGGGACTGAGGCGGAAGGATCACCTGAGCCCAGGAGGTTGGGGCTGCAGTGAGCTATGATGGAGGCACTGCACTCCAGCCTGGGTAACAGTGTGACCCTGTCTCAAAAAAACAAAACAAAACAAAAAGAAAGGCAAGGATTTGTCTGCTTTGTTTAATGTTGTGTCCCCAGTGTCTAGAAAAGTACCTGGCTAATGGCAGATGTTCAAGGAATATTTACTGAATGAATGAATGAATGTACAGAAAAAAAAAATTCCACCTTGGGAAGAGGGCAGTTACTCCCTCCCAAAAGAATGAACCATGCAAAGAAATGCTGGCTGCTCTAAAGAGCTATATTCCACCAAGTATTAAGAAAAAGGCCTATGTTCCAAAAACTATAATTAAAACAGGGAGGGTATTTCAAAGAACTGTTTTTAAGCAAAAGAATCTATGCGCTCTCATTCATTCTTTTAGAATATCTCTTAAAAATCATGTCTTATAGCAGTCATTTACACAAGAAGGATCAAATTTATTTGGACCTGGAAGAACCGTTTGAAAACCATATAGAAGAATGAGTAGCTTCTGAAAGATGCGGCAGGTCTGATAAATTATACTTATGTACTGATTTTGCACTGGATCCATTCTGTTTTCAGCTTAATACTGTTAACGCTAGCTGAAACTTTTCAGATAAACTGATCTCACAGTGTTTAACCTAAAACAGATGAATGGCTAGTAAATGACCTCCAATTCTAATTTAATCTTTAATTGTCTCCACTGAGAAAATATTTAGTATACAAAATAACCTAGGCCATAGACATTATTTTTCCAAGAGCCTAAAATAGCATCCTCTCCCTTTAATCGGCTTTTTGTGGAATGTTGTAAATGCAGCCACCAGATTAGAGGATAATCTTCCCTAGATTGGCTTGACCCATTTAGATAATGAATCCTTCCAGTACCTGTTGCTTTATTAGTAATCAGCACCTATGAAGAATTATTTGTGCTGCAGCCTATATAGTTTCATCTGCAACCTGTAATTTTTGAAAAAATTTTTTTCGCTGAATTTGTAAAGAATGAGAGAGATCTACATGTACTAACATGGGTAAACTCCCAATAAATAAGAAAAAAAAGCAAGTTGCAGAACTATCTCCCTCTCTCTGTCTATATATATATTTATATATATATATCTATATATATTTATATATATATTTATATATATATTTATATATATATTTATATATATATTTATATATATTTATATATATATTTATATATTTATATATATTTATATATATATATTTATATATATTTATATATATATTTATATATATATATATTTATATATTTATATATATTTATATATATATTTATATATTTATATATATTTATATATATATTTATATATTTATATATATTTATATATATATAAATATATATATTTATATATATATTTAAATATATATATTTATATATATATTTAAATATTTATATACTTATATATATTTATATATTTATTTATATATTTATATAGTATGTACTGTATATTAAAATATATGGAGGAGATAGAAAAACGGCCAGAGAATAGAATACATATCAATTTTGAAACAGTGGCTACCATTAGGGAGGGAGTAGGTATTCATATTTTCTCTTCTGGGGGAGAGTTGTTAAAAGGGCCTAAGCGTCATATGTAACATTTGATATTTTAAGAGAAGAATGTCACCTGGTATGGTGGCATATACTTCTAACCCGAGCACTATGGGAGGCCGAGGAGGGCGAATTGCTTGAGCCCAGGAGTTTGAGACCACCCTGGGCAACATAGTGAGACCTTTATTTTACAAAATAAAAATAAAAATAAAAAAATTAGGCCAGGATGGTGGCTCAGGCCTGTAATCACAGCACTTTGGGAGGTCAAGGCTGGCGAATCACTTGAGGTCAGGAGTTCAAGATCATCCTGGCCAACATGGTAAAACCCCGTCTCTACTAAAAATACAAAAATTAGCTAGGTGTGGTGGTGTGCACCTGTAGTCCTAGCTACTCAGGAGGCTGAGGCAGGAGAATCACTTGAACCCAGGAGGCACAGGTCTCATTGAGCCGAGATTGTGCCACTGTACTCTAGCCTGGTGACAGAGCGAGACTCCATCACAAAAAAAAAAAAAAAAAGAGAATGAAATCATGTCCTTCACAGCCACGTGGATGGAGCTGTAGGACATAATCTTAAACAAATTAACAGAAAACCAAATATCACATGTTCTCATAAGTGGCAGGTAAAATAATGAGTACACACGAACATAAACATGGAAACCACAGACACTGCGGGCTACCACCAGGTGGGGAGGGAGGGAGGGAGGGAGGGCGGCGTAGGTTGAAAAACTATCTATTGGGTACCATGCTCACTACCTGGATGCAATATACCCATGTAACAAACCTGCACATGCACCTCTGTATCTAAAATAACAGGTGAATTTAAAAATATAGGCCAGGCATGGTAGCTCATGCCTGTAATCCCAGTACTTTGGGAGGCTGAGGCGGGCGGATCACCTGAGGTCAGGAGTTGGAGACCAGCCTGACCAACATGGAGAAACCCCGTCTCTACTAAAAATACAAAATTAGCCGGGCGTGGTGGCACACGCCTGTAATCCCAGCTACTTGGGAGGCTGAGGCAGGAGAATCGCTTGAACCTGGGAGGTGGAGGTTGTGGTGAGCCAAGATCACGCCACTGCACTCCAGCCTGGGCAACAAGAGTAAAACTCCATCTCAAAAAAATATATGTGTGTGTGCGTTCGTGTGTATGTGTGTATATGTGTATGTATGTATGTATATCGACAGTGGAGCCAGGCACAGTGGCTCACGCCTATAATCCCAGCACTTTTGGGAGGCCAAGGCAGGTGGATCACTTGAGCCCAGGAGTTCGAGACCAGCCTGGGGAACATGGTGAAACTCTGTCTCTACAAAAAATATAAAAATTAGCTGGGCGTGGTGGCATGCACCTTTAGTTCCAGCTACTTGGGAGGCTGAGGTGAGGAGATTGATTGATCCTGGGAGGTTGAGACTGCAGTGACCTGTGACTGCACCAGTGCATTCCAGCCTGGACAAGAGAGTGAAACTCTGTCTCAAAAAATAATAAATAAAAAGTGGAGTCAGAAGAAAAACAATAGGTTCTCTCCTATTTATTTTTAATCATTATAGGCTGTTCATTTCTTTCCCAACATTTCCCATCTTATAGTTATGTGTCTGTTCATTTTTTGTTTTTTGAGATGGAGTTTCGCTCTTGTTGTCCAGGCTGGAATACAATGGCGTGATCTCGGCTCACTGCAACCTCCACCTCTCGGGTTCAAGCGATCCTCCTGCCTCAGCCTCCTGAGTAGCTGAGATTACAGGCATGTGCCACCACGCCCGGCTAATTTTGTATTTTTAGTAGAGATGGGGTTTCTCTATGTTGGTCACGCTGGTCTTGAACTCCCAACCTCAGGTGATCCACCCACCTCAGCCTCCCAAAGTGATGGGATTACAGATGTGAGCCACCGCGCCCGGCCCTGTTCATTTTTAATTGTCTGATTTCCCTCACCAGACTGAAAATTCTGTGAGGATGTGAGCTATATATACACTGAATAGTTAATGACTAGCACTTAATAAATGTTCAATATTTGTTGAAAAGATAAGGTTGCCCCATTAGGAGTGAGATTTTATTTTTTCTTTTTATTTATTTATTTTTTTGAGACATAGTCTCACTCTGTTGCCCAGGCTGGAGTGCAGTTTTTGCATCTCAGCTCACTGCAACCTCCGCCTCCCGGGTTCAGGCAATTCTGCCTCAGCGCCCCCTAGTAGCTGGGATTACAGGCGCGTGCCACCACGTCCGGCTACTTTTTGTATTTTTAGTAGAGACCGGGTTTTGCCATGTTGGCCAGGCTGGCCTCAAACTCCTGACCTCAAGTGATCTACCTGCCTCAGCCTCCCAAAGTGCTGGGAGGAGTGAGATTTTAATTGCGAATTACAGAATACTGCGTTACCTGTGTCATCATCAGTCATATAACAGGATATGTGGACCAACATCTCTGACTAAGGCTAGATTCAAGGAACAGGCATCAGTGCCCAATATGGGCACTGCAAGGGGGGTGCGTGTGTATGCCAGAGCTGGGAGGGTGTATAGGGATGGTGCAGGGGTTGGGGGGTTGGGGGGCAGTGTGGGGTGGGATGAGTGGTCTGGCTTTGGCAAAACCAAAGAGCTGAAAGAGGCCTATTGTGATGGGTGGTTCTCAAATCAATCTTGTGGGTTAGGTATAATATTTGACTTTACTACATTTTATAGATAATAAGGTTAAGGCAAATTAACCTTTAAAAATCAAGATGGAGACCCAAGCCAACCAGTGAAGAAAGCAGAGCCTATTTCCTGCACTCTTCCTGCCTTCTTAATGCCTCTTCCCCCAGCCTGTGCCCCCTGGCTATCAGGCCCACTGTGGCAGCTTACCCAGCTTTACTTTTGGATCCCTCATGTGTGGTGGTCTCAGAACAGTACCAAACTCTTAAGACTTGGCTTCCTTTTTTTTTTTGTAGGATCCTGTCCTTTCCAAACTAGATTATTGTATAAACTGATCCCTCCTAAGGTAATAACAGTTTCTAACACAAATTTGCAGTTTAACAGGGCACTGTGGAAGCATATCTGCAACTTAGAAGTGACTGACTCCTTTACCACAGCAAGCCAAAGTTGAGTTTAATCTTTGGGAAGGCACACAAATGACACTCCCACTGGCAACTCATTTACATAGATTGCTCTTTAGAGGAGACACACATTCTTTCATTTGGTTCTCATAGAGCTGAGATGGGAAAAAAGAGACAATTATTATAGTTATTTTACAGATAAGGAAACTGAGGTTTAAGGAAATTATGTCCTAACACCACCTAGGAAGTGGCAGGGAATGGATCCTAATACAGAACTCTTCAATCCTTTTTCTCCATCACGTTGCCTTGTTGCCTACTGAAAATTGTGTTGAGGGGTAGCTTCATCATGAACAAAATCGGTCCTAGCACTCTGATCCTGGTTCATGTTCAGGGTCTCAGTCTGCCTTACTCTGGATAACTTCAAGTTGTTTGTCTGTTGGTGAAAGATTGGTCACAAAAGGTGTTGCTAAAGATGTTCTCATTAACAATTTTACTGTAGATTAAAGAGATCAGAATTCCAAAATATCCAGTGATTTCAGTTAGTCCTCAATCATAAGTTTGGTGTCTGAGAAGCTTTGGACACATGGTATTAGGAAATTTTTTCTATCTGCAGATTGCTAGTTTAAATTCAAGATTCCCATCTTTTTTTTTTTTTTTTTTTTTTGAGACTGGGTCTGAGATCTCAGCTCACTGCAACCCTCACCTCCCAAGTTCAAGCGATTCTCCTGCCTCAGCCTTCCGAGTAACTAGGATTACAGGGGCGCACCACCACGCCCGGCTAAATTTTGTATTTTTAGTACAGACGGGGTTTCACCATGTTGGTCAGGCTGGTCTCGAACTCCTGACCTCGTAACCCGCCCACCTCGGCCTCCCAAAGTGCTGGGATTATAGGCACGAGCCACCGCGCCCGGCCAAGATTCCCATCTTTTAAGTGAATTGAGCAGATGGCAGACCCTGCCCTCTACCTGCTGGACTGGTGTCCACAACAGATTTAACAATGAAAACTGATCAGTGAAAAGGCCGTCTCGCTGTACCCTAAAGAGCTGTTTAGGAAACACTGAAACCTCAGTGATTTGCTTATCTGTATCCGTGTCTGATTTAGCCAGTGAACACGTGATGGTTTTAAACACACATCTTTAGAGCACTATGTTGAGATCCGCTTATAACCAAGATCTTAAGGTAATAACGAAACACACCTGACAGAACAGTTTTCCTCAAATTACTATATATAGCCAGATATATCTCTATATATCCATTCCCGAGATGCTGGAGAGTAGAGAGTAAAATTCTATACTTTGCACTTGCCAGAAGCAGAGTAACATAAATGTTGTCTAGGAAGCTTTTACAACAGACTGGTGAAAATTAAAACACTTTTCAACGCCTCGATTTAGAGTAATTTTCGTGAGCGTAGAGAAGGGGCTGGGCCAGGACCACCAAGTAGGGACTATGTGCACAGGGACCCGCGTTTACCAGCCTGCCCTCAGCTGGGCGGGGAACCGGACAGCCCTCAGCCTGCACCCAGCCCATGCGAGGTCCCAGCCCAAGTCCCGCCCCAGTATTACCGATGCCCCAGCGGGCTGAGCCACTTTCTCCTCCTCTTCGTCCTCCAAGATCGCCTCCGCTGCCGCCAGGGCCTTTAAGGGGTCTTCGCGTTCGTACTGGGCGACCCGCGCTCCAGTGATGGGATTTACCGGGGTCTGGAGACTGGAGGCCACCAGCTTCGCCACTCGGTGGGAGGTGGCCATCGCCCCGCCTCCGAGGCCTGAGCGCCTGCGCTGGCCCGGGACGGGAAAGCTGGTGCGGCCCCTGGCAACCCGGGGGCGCCTAGCTAGGGAGCCGGTTGCTATGGGCGCCGTAACTGGGGACGCTACAGGAGCCGCCAGGGACCAAAAGTCACGCAAAATCCACTCAGGCTGCCAGAGACCCGAGTCGGGTGCTTACTGGATCATGGCAGTCAGTACCGAGTCTGTTGGCTGGTTCCGAAGGTTGGCAGGCTGAACAGGGCACTTATTCCACTCCTTTGCGTCTAACCGCCTGAACGCAGACTTCTCACATTATACAATGAAACAACTGCTTTTGTGAAGAAAAGAACGCTTTTTTATTAACTGCAATAACATGTTAGAAGGAGACAGTTGATGGAGGAGACGGCGGCGGCGGAGGAAAGCAGGGCGTGTTACTGGGTGGCGGTCTCAGAAGAGTGACAAGGTTGGCGTCCCGCTACCTAACATGTCTCCCGCGGGGGCCAGAGTGGGAAGGAGGGCGGTACATTCTACTCTGATTGACTTGAGGGCTAGCAGGAATCCACCAATCAGAAGGAGGCTCCCAGTTGTCCCTCTCGCTTTTTTCTTGACATGACCAATAAAAGCCCAGAGTTGGGTGGCGCCTGACCCTCCCACTAATGAGTGATAGTGCAGGTATTGTAAACCTGGCGTTTGCTTTGGGTTCTTCAGCTTGAGAGTGACAGGATTGAACGGCACAAGTGCCCAAGAGTCACCACAGACACATCCATCTCCCTCATCCGTATCTTCTCTTCCCACTCGGGATTTGGACGCATCAAATGGCGCCTTCCCTCTGCACCACGTGGCAGTAAGAGAAGCCAAACCTCAAAATAGCGGACGTGGTGCAGTCTCAGACATCTGCTCCCTGAGCCCCTGCTTACTGAGGCCGAGGCTGCCGCCCCCTATCTACTCCCTATCTACCCCCTCTCTATCCTTTGCCCTCCTCCTGCTCCCCAGCCCTACGACCGGCCCCCTCCGGTCAGTATTTTCCTCGTTATGCGCTGCACATCGTCGAGAACCCGTCTCTAAGGTCTGAGCCCTTACCAAACCTTTGTTCTCCTGTCTGGGTGTGAGCACCTACAAAGTCTCCTACGTCCCCACTTCCTTCAGGCTGCTCTTGGTTTTAGCTGAACAGTTGCTTCCCATGCTGGAACAGATGCTGACTGGGTTCTAAGCAGAAGCCAGAGCCAGAACCATGAGATATGCACCGCCAGGTGTGGCCAAGTTTCCAGGGGAGCAATTTCCAGTCAGACACGGCAGCCAGTTTTGTGGCTACAAAACTGCCTCAGCCTCCGGAGTAGCTGGGATTACAGGCGCACTCCCGGGAGGCGGAGGTTGCAGTGAGCCGGGATGGCGCCACTGCACTCCAGCCTGGGCAATAAAGCAAGACTCCGTCTCACCACCACCACCACCAACAAAAGTATTGATAAGGAATTATAGCAGATGAATTATAAATAATGAAATATCCTATTCTCTTTACTGTAAATTCCTCATAGACAATTGCTTCTCTCAGAATGCTTTCGTTGGTTTATGCTGTACTCCTGTATTTGTGGCCAACTTATGGTTGCAATTGTTTAACAACCTAGTTCCAACATGAATGTTGGTTAATATTTTTGTTTTTATTTGTGATTAAGATGAGAGTGACATATCCAAGATCTATGTCAGAATTTCACTTGTCAATGTTATGAGCAACTTCTTTGCTGAAATAGATAATCATTTTCTAACACTGGAATAATTTTTCTTAATTTTTTCTGCAAGTCACAATGTAAAGGCTACAGATAACACAAACTTTTAAGTTTACTCTGCATTAATATTTTCCACATCCGTTTCTTAAGTTTAAATGTCCAATGTTTAGCTTTTGCTGATTTCCATGATGTCAATATTCCCATCATAGCCAATTTCAAGCCACCAATGTGACATCACTTAATAAGAATTTGAGAAAAGATGTCTAGTAGCACACCATTATATAGTATTTCCACCATACAGATACAGTAGATGCAAGGAACATAAAAGAAAGTGAAGAGTTTTAAGAAATTATCTTTGTTTTTGACATAATTTATTGTAATTAACAAAACAATTTTTTTTTTTTTAAGATGGAGTCTCCTTGTCACCCAGGCTGGAGTGCAGTGACGTGATCTCGGCTCACTGCAACTTCCGCCTCCCAGGTTCAAGCGATTCTCCTGCCTCAACCTCCCGAATAGCTGGGACTACAGGTGCCTGCCAACACGCCTAGCAAATGTTGTATTTTTAGTAGAGGGCAGGGTTTCACCATGTTGACCAGGCTGGTCTTAAAATCCTGACCTCAGGTGATCCGCCTGCTTTGGCCTCCCAAAGCACTGGGATTACAGATATGAGCCACCACGCCCAGCCAAGTTAGACATTATAAAAGAAAAATAACTAGAAAAGCCTTTTTAGTTGGGAAATTTAAAACTCTTCAAAAAACAATTTGTGCATTACAGAAAAAGTCATGGCAGAAATTATCTAGAGAGTCAAATAACAACAAAAATACAATGTGTCAAAATGTCTTAAATGTAAAATGGTGCAGCCACTTTTTAAAAGTTTAGGCCTTCTTTCTCCCACCGTCCCTCATGTTCTTCCTTTCCATCTTGGGCCTGGCAGAATGGCTCCTGCAAAGAAGGGTGGCAAGAAGATGAGCTGTTCTGCCATCAACAAGGTAGTGACCCAAGAACACACTTGGGTCACTAGCTCACATCCATGGAGTGGGCTTCAAGAAGCATGCTCTGTGGGCATTCAAAGAGATTCAGAAATTTGCCATGAAGATGGGCACTCCAGATGTGTGCATTGATACCAGGCTTAACAAGGCTATCAGGGCCAAAGGAATAAGGAATGTCCCACACCATGTACATGTGCGATTGTTCAGAAAACATAACAAGGATGAAAATTCACCAAACAAGCTCAATACTGTGGTTACCTGTATACCTGTTACCACTTTCAAAAATCTAGATAGTCAGTGTGGATGAGAACTAACTGCCAATTGTCATATATGTCAAATAAAGCTATAAACCCGCTAAAAATAATTGTGACGGCTCCTCTGAAAGTTGAATATACAATTACTATATGACTCACTCCTAGGTATATACCAAAGATAATTGAAAACATGTTCACACAAAAACTTGTGCAGTGTGGAAGAAAATGAAGTAACTAAGGTGAAGGCTTTCTAAAGTGGAGTCAGGAGATTGCTAGGGGATTGCATTCACACCTGCTAAAAAGTCAAACCACCGAATAGACCTGTAGAAACAACTGAAGTCAGTAAGTATCTGCCAGCCTTCATCATCTCTCAGCGTGAGTACCCTAATTAACCAACCAATCAGAATGGGTTTGAGATTTAAGAGTTCTACCCAGCCAATGAACTGCCTCTGAAAACTTCTTGTGGGAATCCCCTATTTAAAAAACCCTCTCCTGTGCTTGCCTTATGAGACACTATTCAGGGCTGCTCTGATTCACTGTACGTGAATTGCAATTCTTTGTTTCTCAAATAAATTAAATGCTATTTCCTTTGACCTCTGTGTCTCAATCTTTTTTCTTTTTTTTTTTTTTTTTTTTTTTTTGTCGCCCATGCTGGGATGCAGTGGCATGATCTCAGCCCACAGCAACGTCTGCCTCCCGGGCTTGAAAGATCCTCCCATCTCAGCCTCCAGAGTAGCTGGGACTGTAGGCGCGGGCCACTACACCCAGCTTATTATTATTATTATTATTTTGTAGGGTTTCACTTATGTTTTCACTTATGTTGCCCAGGCTGGTCTCGGGCTCAAGCAATCCGCCCTCCTCAGCCTCTCAAAGTGCTGGGATTACTGGCATGAGCCACCATGCCCAGCCTCGATCTTTGTTGTAGTTAACACAAATGTTCAAAGCAGCATTAATAGGAGCCAAAAGATGGAAACACTTCACATGTCCTTCAGCTGTTGAATGGATAAACAAAATGTGGTGTATGCATATAATGAAATGTTACTGAGCCACTCCCCCAACAAGTGGGCTTTCCCTCTGGTCCAGGAGGTCCAGTGCACTTTGGGTTAGGCAGCAATCTCAGAGCTCAGAAGCAAAATGACCTTCCAAGAAACAAGTGCAAGACAAGATCATTGGTTCAGCAACAAATAGATGCTACTGAAGGAGCTGAAATTTGCAGGATGCCTAGAAAAAAGGCAGACATAAGCAAAGTAAATTTGGAGGCTAATAAAGACTTAGATAACAATATGAATAATGGAAATCCTTGGGTTTGAAGAAGATGCCGTGATTGAGTTTATATTCAACCAGGTGGAAGTGGAGACCTGAACCAAAATGGAAGTTATTCCTTGCATCTCAAGTATAACATCATCATTGTATTAGGTCTCAGCAAAATGAACATCCCAATGTCACACTGCACTCCCTTATGTGTTTGGAAAATCCAGACTCCAAAATGATACAAAGCAATCTGACTGGGTTTTTGAATGAAATTACTAGAGAATTATGGGAGAACTGTAGTCCCTGCTGTTAAACGCACAAGAAGACATCACTGGAATCTCTTCTGCTTTCCTAGAACTGAAGAAAGAAGAAAAAAAAAAAAAACAGAGACAGACAGAACAAGAAAAAAAAAACCTGGTGTCTATGAAAAAGCAATATAAGGAGAAAAATAAGGATAAAGAAGAAAAAAGAAAGCAGAGAAAAAGGGGAGAGGTCTTAAAGCCCAAGAAAATGTAAATTCAGATCTCCTTCTCCTAAAAGAGGATCCTACCCTGTCAGGAGCAAGAGAATGCACAGTCATTTTCAATCTCCCCATCACAGAACCAAGAGGCAGAGACCTTCCCCAGCTGCAGAAAAGGAGAAAACTCCAGCGCTACCAGAACCTTTCAAGAAAGTGAAAGAACCTAGTACAAAAGGCCACTTCTACTAGTGCCATCTGAAAGTTCCCAAACCTGCACTTGTACCAGAGCAAGTAACGAACCTTCTCCAGAAACAAACAAATCTGAAAAGTTAAAGAAGATTCAACCAAGATCTCTGTCATTTTCCAAATCATTATCACAGATGCGTCTGGCTTTCCTTATCATACTTGCTTTAGATGGCGCCATTGATCCCATCAAGATGATATTCACCTACAAGAACAGCAGAGTCAATAAAGTGGCCATCTCCTTGAAGGATTCCACCAAGCCATAGCGGGAGCAGATCTCCAGTGAGATGAAAAAGGCACTCATCAGCATCGTGTGTAGGAGTAGCTCGTTGTCCTCTTGAGAAGCTTCCCAAGACGACATCCAGCGCCCCCTGAAAAACTAGTAAGTTCTTTCCTTCAGCAAATCCTTGAAGGTGAATGTGCACTGGCTGTTGCCTCCAGCAACTCCACTGCCAAAAATGCATCATTCCCCAATACCCCAGCAGCCAACTATATAAGAAAAAGTTGTGGTTTTGCAGCTCCACGAAGAACTTAGTAAAGTGACAAAATGTGAAGGTACTTAGAAAAAGAGTCCCCTTCATCAGCACCCAAAGCCTAGAAAAGTTGTTATCCGAATCAGAAGATAAAGGTAGCAAAATGGCTGCCACAGATTCTGTGCAGCAAAGATATCAATATAGATGACAAAATTAGCAGTCTTCATCTGACTCTGCTCCTCTCCTCAGATGATGGTGAGCGACTCAAGAAGTCCCGTGTGAAAAATAGGCAGGCAGGCAGCTCCCCAGAGTGCCTCTTCATCACCGTGAAAGCACCGGAAGACATCCTCTTATGCTAGACGGAGGAGAAGTCCCTCCCCAACACCCACCAGAAGGCACATTTTCCTTCTTTCACTCCTCCTCAGCTGCAGCGCAGGTCTCTTGATACCACCACCAGGAAGGGCTGCTTTTCCTTCCCACATCAACACTCACCTTCCTCAAGAAGATACTCTCCTCCAGAACAGAGGAGATACTCTTCTTCTCCACTTCACCTTCCAAAACAAAGGGCATCACTTTCTCCACCCACAAAGCACAGGATCTCCCATTCTTCACTTCCCAAACAAAGGATTCCCCAAGTCCCCAAGAGATGTTCTCTTTCATCATCATCAAAGCACAGGAAAGGGTCTACCTGGAAGGCACAGCTACCACAACCAAATGAAGCTCCTCAGACCTCCTCAAGTCCTATCCCGTCTGTCTCACGATCTCCTGAGCCAGAAGCTGAAAAAGAAAAAACAAAACACAAACAACCCAGAATCTCCATCCTCTGTCCAGTCTTAGTCATCCTCTACTCTACAAACTGGTCACCAGTGTGACTGCTCAAACATCAAGCCCACCACAAGCAAGGAATTCCTATGAAGAAGGAGTCAGAAAGACAAAGAATGGGACAAGCAACATAAAAAGTATAAAAAATACATGAAGCACAAAAAACATGAGAAGGAAAAGGCTGTGGTGGCAGCTAGCCTTAATGGCCTAATGGCTGTAATTCCTGAAGCCATTGCTGTTCCCACAACAACTCTGGTGCTGTTCAGCACAAGAAAAGATCTCAGATCTTCCCCTGAGATCAAATGGGGAAGGCTCAAATGCTCCCAAAGTCTTAGATGGAAATGTCTGTTATTGTGTAAATTTTATTTGGTTTGTATGCAATTAATTTCAAAATTGCAAAACTGTGTTTGAGCTTCAGACTATAACATTTGTTGTAATAATTGCTATGTTTGCTGGGTGCAGTGGCTCATGCCTGTAATCCCAGCACTTTGGGGAGCCGAGGCAGGTGGATCACCTGAGGTCAGTTTGAGACCAGCCTGGCCAACATGGTGAAACCCCGTCTCTACTAAAAATGCAAACAAATTATCCGGGCGTGGTGGCGGGTGGCTGTAACCCCAGCTACTCAGGAGGCTTAGGCAGGAGAATCGCTTGAACCCGAGAGGCGGAGGTTGCAGGGAGCTGAGAACGCGCCATTGTACTCTAGCCTGGGTGACAAGAGTGGAACTCTGTCTCAAAAAAAAAAAAAAAAAAAAAAAAAAGAAAAGAAAAGAAAAGAAAAAAGAAAAATTGCTATGTTGAAGTTCACCATGTTTAAAAAAAAAAAAAGATGCAGGGGTTTACATTGAAAAAAAAAAAAAAAAAAAAAAAAGGCATGAACTTCTGATACCTGCTCCAAGGTGGATGAACCTTAAAATACAATGCAAAGTAAAAGGTGCCAGACACAAAAGGCCACATATTATATGATTCCATTTATATGAAATGTTCAGGATAGGAAAGTTCATAAAGACGGAAAGTATTTAGTGGTTGCCAGCGGCTGCAGAGAAAGGAAATGAGGTGTGATTGTTAAGGAGAATGGAGCATCTGTGTGGGAGGATGAAAATGTTCTGGAATTAGATAGTGGTGATGGTAGTTGTACCACCCTGAACATACTAAAAACCACTAAATTGCATACAAAAACAAACAAACAAACAAAACCTTAAAAAAGTGTTTTGTTGGCCAGGTGCAGCGGCCCACACCTGTAATCCCAGAACTTTGGGAGGCTGAGGCAGGCAGATCACTTGAGGTCAGGAGTTTGAGACCAGCCTGGCCAACACGGCAAAACCATTTTAGTCTCTATCAAAAATACAAAAAAAGTTAGCCGGGCATGTTGGCGTGCACCTGTAATCTCAGTTACGGGGGAGGCTGAGACAGGAGAATTGCTTGAACCCAGGAGGCAGAGGTTGCAGTGAGCTGAAATTGTGCCACTGCACTCCAGCCTGGGTGAATGAGTGAGAGTCTGTCTAAAGAAAAAAGAAAAAGTGTTCTGTCTTTTGACAATTTGACTAGGAGGATCTAAATATGGATCTCTTTAAGTTTGTTGAGCTTCTTGGATGAGCAGATTCATATTTTTCATCAAATTCAGGGAGTTTAAAGTACTCATGGCTGGGCACGGTGGCTCACACCTGTAATCCCAGCATTACGCCTATAATGCAGTGGATTTGGGAGGCCGAGGCAGGTGTATCACCCGAGGTCAGGAGTTCAAGACCAGCCTGGCCAACATGAGGAGACCCTGTCTCTACTAAAAATACAAAAATTAGTTGGGCGTGGTGGCGGGCACTTATAATACCAGCTACTTGGGAGACAGAGGCAGGATAATCACTTGAACCCAGGAGGCAGAGGTTACGGTGAGCCAAGATCGTGCCATTGCACTCCAGCCTGGGCAACGAGAGCCAAACCGTCTCGAAACAACAACAAAACAAAACAAAACAACTCATTCTGCCCCTTTTTCTCTCTCATTTCTTCTGGGACTCCCATTATGAGTATGTTGGAACACCTGATGGTGGTGGGGGGGGTCCCACAGGTCTCTGAGGCTTTGATCATTTTTCTTCATTCTTTTTCTTCCTGTTCTTTCAAACCTGGTCATCTCAGTTGACCTACCTCCAAGTGTGCTGATTCTCTTCTGCAAGTTCAAATCTGCTGAGTGCCTTCAGTGGATTTTTCATGTCAGTTATTGTACTTTTCAACTTCAGAAGTTTTGTTTTTTAAATTATAATTTCTATCTATTGATATTCTCTTTTTGCAAGACATCATTCTCATGAATAATTTGGTTAGGTCTTTAACCCTGGTTTCCTTTAGTTCTTTGAATATATTTATAGTAGCAGATTTAAAATCTCTATTATATGCACAGCATCCGGGCTTCCTCAGGGACAGTTTATATTGACTGTTCTTTCCCCCCATATATGAGCCATACTTTCTTGTTTGTGTAGCTCAAAATTTTTGCTAAAAACTAGACATCTTGAACATGCCAGCCCCAGATGTTCCCAGTTAAATGCAGCCACATACGTGATCTCAGAAGAACTGCCCATCTGTGTCCAGGTGCCCCACAAAATCATATGAAATAATGTTTAAAGCCACTAAGTTTGAGGGAGGAGTTGGTTATATATGAATTGATCACTGATACACCATTCTACTACACAGACATTGAGTTGTTTACAGCTTTTCATTATTACAAAAACAAGTTTTTAAGCTACCCCTTGCATACTGATGGGACAGCTATATGTTGTCATCCATCCTCCGGAGATCCTTATGGGATCAGGCTTAGGCCAGATTCCAGAGGAAACCTTAAGATTGCTTCACTTCTTCCCCTATCTTGTGCTGCTTCTCTCCCTTCTAAAACTCCGTTTTAGATTTATCTTGATGCCACTTACTTAATACATTAAAGAGAAAAAGTTACATGGAAAATTTGAGAAAGTAATGGCTACTTTGAAAATAGAGATCTTAGTTACACTGGGATTATGGGTGCATTGGCTCATGCCTGTAATCCCAGCACCTGGGGGACAAAGCAGGAAGAAGTATAGCTTGAGCCCAGGGGTTCAAGACCAGCCTGGGCAACATAGTGAGACATCAGCTCAAAAAAAAAAAAAATGTGGCTATGGGCCCAAGCCCATACAATTCACTGGTCTTACCATGTTCCCCATCACTCTGATATAGCTTTTTGTTGTTTTTTTTGAGATGGAGCCTCGCTCTGTTGCCAGGCTGGAGTGCAGTGGTGCAATCTTGGCTCACTGCAACCTCCGCCTCCCAGGTTCAAGTGATTCTCCTGCTTCAGCCTCCTGAGTAGCTGGGACTACAGGCACGTGCCACCACACCAAGCTAATTTTTGTATTTTTAGTAAAGACGGGGTTTCACCATCTTGGCCAGGATGGTCTCTATCTCTTGATCTCGTGATCTACCTGCCTTGGCCTCCCAAAGTGCTGGGATTACAGGCATGAGATACGCCTGGTTTTAAAGAACAGTGGAATAGCTTTTTAAGACTCAATTACAGTGCCAGCTAGGTGGCAACACTTTGCAGGGCTGGGACATTCTCCAGAAGGCTGTATACTCTGAATTAGCACCCAATATACAGTGTTGTTCTCTCATAGCCATAATTCATGGGTCTAGGAATCAAGAGGTGAAAATGGGAGTGGTACCATTCACTACTACACCCAGTGACCCACTAACACAATTTGTGCTTCCTGTTCTTGTGACTTTGTGCTCTCCTGGTCTAGAGGTCTTAGTTCCAGAGGGAGGGATGCTTCCACCAGGAGACATAACAAAGATTCCACTGAAATGAAAAGTTAAGTTGGCCAGTTGGCCATGTTTGGCTCCTTATGCACCTTTGAATCAACATGCAGAGGGACCTACAGTGCTGGCTGGGGTGATTGATACTGACTACCAAGGGGAAACTGAACTACTTCTCCACAATAGAGGAAAGGAAGAGCATGTCTGGAATACAGAAGATCCCGTAGAGTGTCTCTTAGTATTACCATGCTCTGTGATTACGGCCAATGGAAAATAACAACCGCCCAAATAAGGTAGAACTACTAATAGCCCAGGCCCTTCAGAATGATTTGGATCACCCCACTGAGGAAAGGACCACAACCAGTTGAGGTGCTTGCTGAAGACAAAGGGAAAACAGAGCATGTAATAGAAGGTAGTTATCAATAGCAGCTACAACCAAAATCACATTACAGAAACGAGTGCTGTAATTGTCATGAGTAGTTCCTCACTTGTCATGAGTATGGATGTGGATATATATACATATACTGTCCTCTCATTATTTCCTTATCCTGTAATAATGTAAGGTGTATTTTTTGTATTACAGTATTTTGGTTATGGGGCATCAAGAAGAGTAAAACTTCACTCAGTGACTTTAACTCTTCTTCTGAGGAAGGGGTTAGTGTGTTTTTGGTCCTACACAGGATAGTTGTATCATGTCAGCTGGATTTATGACCATGTTATTACCTTATTTGACGGTTTAAGTATGGTTTAAGATGTATGGCCGGGCGCGGTGGCTCATGCCTGTAATCGCAGCACTTTGGAAGGCCGAGGCGGGTGGATCACGATGTCAGGAGATTTGAGACCATCCTGGCTAACATGGTGAAACCTCGTCTCTACCACAAATACAAAAAATTAGCTGGGCATGGTGGCGGGCACCTGTAGTCCCAGCTACTCGGGAGGCTGAGGCAGGAGAATGGAGTGAGCCCGGGAGGCGGAAATTGCAGTGAGTCGAGATCGCACCACCGGATCTCAACTGGGTGACAGATCGAGACTCCGTCTCAAAAAAAAAAAAAAAAAAAAAGATGTATATGATGGCCAAGTTGACAGTGGGTAGATTTATGATGCCTAATGTGTCAACCTGGCCAAGGGATATTTGGTTAAAACATTTCTGGGAGTGTCTGTGAAGGTGTTTCTGAAGGAGATTTAACATTTGAATTGGTGGACTGAATAAAGCAGATAGCCCTCCCCAGTGCTGGTCAGCATCATCCAATCTGTTGAGAGGCTGAGTAAGAAAAAGGTGGCTGGGTGTGGGCTCAGGCTGGGCATGGTGGCTCACACCTGTAATCCCAGTATTTTGGGAGGCTGAGGCAGGTGGATCAACTGTGGTCAGGAGTTCAAGACCAGCCTAGGCAACATGGTGACACCCCGTCTCTACTGAAAAAAAAAAAACAAAAAACCAAAAATGAGCTAGATGTGGTGGCACGTGCCTGTAATCCCAGCTACTAGGGAGGCCGAAGCACGAGAATGGCTTGAACCTGGGAGGCGGAAGTTGCAGTGAGCTGAGATCACACCATTGCACTCCAGCCTGGGCGACAAGAGCAAAACTCCATCTCAAAAAAATTAAAAAAAAAAAAAAGACACTCTAGAGCAAGCTTGTCTAACCTGCAGCCCACAAGCCACAAGCAGCCCAGGACAGCTTTGAATGTGACCCAACACAAATTCGTAAATTTTCTTAAAACATTTTATATATGTATTTTTTTTTTTTTTAGCTCATTAGCTATTGTTAGTATTAGTGTATTTTATGGTTTGGCCCAAGAGAATTCTTCTTCCAACGTGGCCCAGGGAAGCCAAAAGATTGGACACCCCTGCTCTAGAGATTGTCAGAAAAATCTGAACACGGATTGGGTGTTGGACATTACAGAACTGTTTTCTTACAATTGTTTTCTTTTTTCTTGAGATGGACGTATTAATACAGTACTTCATAACCATTTAACATGGGTAAAACTTATTAGGCTTCCTTTGTGCTAAAGTTTTTGGGTGTTGTCTCCATTTTGCATACTGCAATGACTTCTGTTACCTAACTATGTAACAAAAGGTCAATTAATAGCTAAATCTAAGTGGAGGGTAATACAATGTTCATACTACTCTTGAAACCTCCCCAGTAGCTGGGATTACAGGTGCCTGCCACTATGCCCGGCTTTTTTTTTTTTCCTACCTTTAGTAGAGACGGGGTTTCACCATGTTGGCCAGGCTGGTCTCAAACTCCTGACCTTGTGATCCACCCGCCTCGGCCTCCCAAAGTGCTGGGATTACAAGCGTGAGCAACCACGTCCGGCTGGAAGAATTCGAAGAATGCTGCTATACACACTATTTGTATTATTTAGGCATAACCTATGAACAAAAAGCTTTGTGCTGTTAGGCTGGGCATGGTGGCTCATGCCTGTAATCCTAGCACTTTGGGAAGCCAAGGTAAGGATAGCTTGAGCCCAGGAATTAAACGCCAGCCTGGGTAACACAGCGAGACCTCGTCTCTGTGAAAAAAAAATACAAAAATTAGCCAGGCATGGTGGTGTGCGCCTGTAGTCCCAGCTACTAGGGAGGCTGAGGTGGAAGGACTGCTTGAGCCTTGGAAAGTTGAGGCTGTAGTGAGCCATAGTTGTGCCAATGCATTCCAGCCTGGGCGACAGAGCAAGACCCTGTGTCAAAACACATAAAACAAAAACACTTGGCTGGGCATGGTGACTCATGCCTGTAATCCCAGCACTTTGGGAAGCCGAGATGTGCGGATCACGAGGTCAGGAGTTCAAGACCAGCCTGGCCAACACGGTAAAACCCCATCTCTACTAAAAATACAAAAACTGGCCGGGTGTGGCAGCGTGCACCTATAATCCCAGCTACTCGGAAGACTGAGGCAGAACTGCTTTAAACCTGGGAGGCGGAGGTTGTGGTAAGCCAAGATGGCACCATTGCACTCCAGCCTGGGTGAGAGCGAGACTCTGTCTCAAAAAAACAAACAAAAAAAACTTTCTGCTATCTGGGTGCAGTGGCACAGGCCTGTAGTGCTAGTTACTTGGGAGGCTGTGGCAAACTTGAGCCCAGGAGTTTGAAGTTATAGTGAGCTATGATCTTCACACATGAATAGCCACCACTCCTGCCGAAGCAACATGGCAAGGCACTGCCACTGAAAAAAAAAACATCTTGTGCTGAGTAACTGACAGATGTTTAAATATGGATTAGGTATTTTGACTTATGATTTTAGGATATACCTGATTCAACTGTTTTATGGCAGCTAGAATTAACATATTTCACGTTCTTATCAAAGTGAGGAATAAATTGAAGTACTAAATTCCAGATAATACAGAAATCTTTATCTAAAAATATTAGACACTTACCAAGTTAGTTAACTATTTCAGTTTCATGATGAACACAAAAGGAGCTTCAGACTGTTTGGCTGAAATCCTTTCTCCACAATGCTAGAGGGGCCTAGTTGCTTTCATGAAACTCCTTGTGAAATACTCAAGGAGATGGTAGCTGAAATACCAGATTGTTTAGGCCAAACTTTTGATCGACCTTAAAAGGTCTAGCCTTTACTCAAAGGTATGAAAGCTTTTACAAAAAGAGTGCTTGACTAAGTGCCTTTAATCCCAGGGCTTTAGAAGACCAAGGCAGGACTGTTTAAGGCCAGGAGTTCAAAACCAGCCTGGGCAACATAGTGGGATCCCATTTCTGAAAAAAAAAAAAAAAAATATATATATATATATATATACACACACATATATATATAGGGATGGTGGCACATACCTGTAGCTGTAGCTATTCTAAAGAATAAAGCAGGATTCTTTATTCTTAGCTCAAGTCCAGGAGTTCAAGGCTGCAGTGACCTATGATCACGCCACTGCACTCCAGCCTGGGTGATGAGCTTTTCTCTAAAAAAAAAAAAATCACTAGACTTCAATATGTGCGAAATAAATAGATTGGAAGGTGGCTAAAGGGAAGAGACTAGTTACAGATTTGACACTCTTCATGGTGAGATGACACTGATGCTTAGATCAGGACAGTGGCAATCAAGATGTTTAAAATCACTGGAACAAGACATTAGTTAAGAAACCCTTTTGTTTAAGTAAGATTTGCTACATATATGTATACACTTTTATTTGCAGAAGGAATCCAACACAGCAGTCATTATTACTGGGAAAAGGAATTAGGATGATAGGATAAAAGGAGGCTTTCATTTTTCATTCTCTTTCTGTACCATTAACTTATTTTTGTTTTAACTGGGCAGCCTCCCAAGCCAAAGTAGGTTCAGAGAGGTGCCACTTGGATCATTAACTTTTAAGACAGCATATATATTATATGTTGGTAGTTTTTAAGGCCAGGGAGCATTTATCAGTGATGAGCATATTGGGCCATTTTTTTCCTCAACATGTAAACTCACTTTTTACGCTTCTTTTATTAGTTTTTATTAGTTTTTCAAAAGTATCAGAAATAACAGAATGTTGGGAGAAGATAAATCTGCCTTTTGAAACCAAATATTTAATATTTTCATTAAATTGTTTCAATACAACTTCAGGCAAATGCCAACTGGAAGACCAAGCCCAGAAATTCAGAGGAAATAATCTTCCAAACAAGGAACACCAAGGTGATCTTCTTCCATTCCAGCCACAATACTGGTGATCATAATGGTGCTAGTCAGTTATCCAGATTATCGAGTGTTTACCTGATAAGAGAAAAACTTAGATTTCAAAACCTGTAATGACAGAATTTTAAAGCTGGAAAATGTTTAAGGCAATTAATAAAAGGAAAACCTGTATTAAGAACTGCTGTCACCTTGATGACTAGCAAATATTTATCAAAAGTAAAAACTTGGCCAGGCACGGTGGCTCATGCCTGTAATCCCAGCACTTTGGGAGGCTGAGGCAGGTGGATCACAAGGTAAGAAGTTCGAGACCAGCCTGACCAACATGGTGAAACCCCGTCTCTACTAAAAATACAAAAATTAGCTGGGTGTGGTGGCACATGCCTGTAATCCCAGCTACTTGGGAGGTGGGAGACTGAGGCAAGAGAATCGCTTGAACCCAGGAGGCGGAGGTTGCAATGAGCCGAGATCATGCCACTGCACTCCAGCCTGGGCAACAGAGCAAGACTTCGTCTCAGAAAAAAAAAAAAAAAAAAAAAAGTAAAAACTTTTAAAAAAACAATGGCCAGGTGTGGTGGCTCACACCTGTAATCCCAGCTACTCAGGAGGATGAGACAGGAGAATCACTTGAACCCCAGAGGCAGAGGTTGCAGTGAGCCGAGACTGTGCTACTGTGCTCCAGCCTGGGCAACAGAGCAAAACTTTGTCTCAAAAAAACCAACCAACCAACCAAACAACAACAACAACAAAAAACCTTTAAAAAATATATGCCTTTTTGACCTCCTAAGAAAATTTGCAACCTGGAAACACTTACCACATCATCTATTTTCAGAATGCTCCGAACAGTTTCAGTTGCAAGAGTCAGAGCACTGACTGATACCAACAGAGGCTGGACAACCAGTTCCTCCAAAATGTTGGAAATACCACCCTGCAAATCAAATCAGCACAAGTTGCTTTTAGTGTCTGTGATAATACACATCAGCAGCCACGTGGTTACCAGTGTACCTCAAGACCTAAATCTAGTTTTCTTTCTGTCTAAGAAGATTAGAATATGATACTCTACTAAGCTTTTCTCTACACTGTGGGATGTTATTTCAATTAAAATTTGGAAAAACTGAATTAATGCTGTAGTCACCCAATCCTAACTACAGGCGCCCACCACCATGCCCGGCTAATTTTTTGTATTTTTAGTAGAGACAGGGTTTCACCGTGTTAGCCAGGATGGTCTCATCTCCTGATCTCATGATCTGCCCGCCTTGGCCTCCCAAAGTGCTGGGATTACAGGCGTGAGCCATGGCGCCTGGCCACTTATTTTTAAATATTGGCAAAATTAGCAAAATGATCACAGTAGTTAAAAATTATGATATCTTGGCTAGGTGCGGTGGCTCACGCCTGTAATCCCAGCACTTTGGGAGGCCAAGGCAGGCAGATCACGAGGTCAGGAGATCGAGACCATCCTGGCTAACACGGTGAAACCCTGTCTCTACTAAAAATACAATAAATTAGCCAGGCGTGGTGGCATGCACCTGTAGTCCCAGCTACTCAGGAGGCTGAGGCAGAAGAATCGCTTGAACCCAGGAGGCGGAGTGCAGTGAGCCAAGATTGTGCCACTGCACTCCAGCCTGGGTAACAGAGTGAGACTCTGTCTCAAAAAAACAAAACAAAACAAAATATTATCTCTTTAATGTTTAAATCATCTCTGAATTTTAATTCTTAATTAGATCAACCCCAGTCTACTCTACAGTCTCATATTTGCCACCTTAAATTCTTCATTGCACCATCCTACTTCCCTTTATCCCGGGATTACTCCTGATGGCCTCTTACAGGCATCCTTGCTTCCAGTCTTCCCTTCTTAAAATATTCCTGTCCTTAGCCTCTTGCTTAAAAAAATCTCATCCTACTTCCCTTTATCCCGGGATTACTCCTGATGGCCTCTAACAGGCATCCTTACTTCCAGTCTTCCCTTCTTAAAATGTTCATGTCCTTAGCCTCTTGCTTAAAAAAATCTTTAGGCCCCGCACCGTGGCTCACGCCTATAATCCTAGCACTTTGGAAGGCTGAGGCAGGTGAATTGCCTGAGCTCAGGAGTGCAAAACCAGCCTCAGCAACACAGTGAAACACCATATCTACTAAAAAATACAAAAAAATTAGCCCGGCCTGGTGGTGGGCGCCTGTAGTCCCAGCTACTCAGGAGGCTGAGGCAGAATTGCTTGAACTTGGGAGGAGGAGGTTGCAGTGAGCTGACAGTGCTACTGCACTGCAGCCTGGGCAACAGAGCAAGATTCCGTCTCCAAAGAAAAAACAAACAAACAAACAAACAAAAAACACTTCAGTGGATCCCAACTACGGGAAGGAAAAAAAAAATGGCTGGCTCAATAATCAGGGGCCTCCTCATTCTATTAATAGTTTTTTTTTTTTTTTTTTGAGACGGAGTCTCGCCCTGTCGCCCAGGCTGGAGTGCAATGGTGTGATGTTGGCTCACTGCAACCTCTGCCTCCCCAGTTCAAGCGATTCTCCTCCCTCAGCCTCCCGTGTAGCTGGGATTACAGATATCCGCCACTTCGCCTGGCTAATTTTTTTTTTTGCATTTTTAGTAGAGACGGAATTTTGCCATGTTGGCCAGGCTAGTCTCAAACTCTTGCCCTCAGGTGATCTGCCCACCTCGGCCTCCCAAACAGCTGGGATTACAGGCGTGAGCCACCACGTCAGGCCTATTAATAATAGCTTTTATCTGATCTTTCCAACCTTAAAGCCCACTATACCACTAATATATAATCCCAGCTCTACACAGGTGAAGAACTGCTTGGTCCTTCTCACCTGTAAAACCACTGCTTACCCATCTGGAATTTCCTCATCCCCTACCAACCAAAAGTGCATCTTCATAAAGCCTTCCCTAAACAGATAGTTCCATCATTTGGCGTTCTGTACCATACAGACAATATAAAGTTGGACTGTCAGTTCTTTCCCATCATGTGTTTAATTTGTCTCCTCAACAAAACATTAATAAAAAGTGATATTATTACCATATGATTACCTTACACAACTACATTAGCTCATGCTAACTAGGGCAATGATTTTTTATACAGTCTTTAGTATATGCCAAGCATCTATCTAAGAGCTTGTTAACTAGAAATGCATTTAATTCTCACAACAGGCCTATGAGGGAACTATTAATCATCCCTGTTTTTACACCTGAGGAAACTGAGGAACAGACTAAGTAACTTGCTAAAAGCTAGTCAGTAAGTGGCAGATTTAATGAACAAATAATACTTCCCCCTAAGGTGTCACCATCTTCCTTCTCACTCAATGGCATAGATTAATTAACATGCAGCAGGCCTCATATTTAAATCCAAGATTATGCTTTTCATTACAGAGCTTTCCATTCAACAGATGACTACAAAGCTTTTAATATTTTAAATTAATCAATATTTTCTACATTAGAGATTAAATGATTACCTTTCGGACATTAATGCCTGCAGTTTTTTCTCCCTGGGCATGCCGGTTTCTTAGTTCTGTTACTGTAGAAATGGGATTCAGGCCGGCATTTTCAGCTAGTGTAGATGGAATGACCTCCATAGCATCTGCAAAAGCACGAACGCAGTAGGATTCCATACCACTCAGTGTTCGTGAATATTCAGTTAATCGTAGGGCCAACTCTATTTCTGGAGCACCACCTCCTGCAATAAGAGCCCTGAAATTCACAAATATATTTTTAGCTTATTTTATCCAAAAGAAAATTATTTTTAATAATTTGCTATTTATATCTTTAAAAAATAGAATATAATAGTTTTAATGTTCAAAATGTTACTTAATAATGTAACACTGACATTACCTCTTCTTCACTAAACAACGAATAACACATAGGGCATCATGAATGGAGCGCTCAGCTTCTTCAATCACCAGTTTGTTAGAACCACGAACAACAATTGTAACTGTTTTTCCAGGGCTGGCACAGCCTGTAATCTTCAGTAAACAAATTCCAAATTAAGTATTTGAAGGGTCAAAAAAACCCCACACCCAGGCCGGGCACGGCGGCTCACGCCTGTAAACCCAACACTTTGGGAGGATGAGGCGGGTGGCTAACGAGGTGAGGAGATCGAGACCATCCTGACTAACACAGTGAAACCCCGTCTCTACTAAAAATACAAAAAATTAGCAGGGCGTGGTGGCAGGCGCCTGTAGTCCCAGCTTCCCGGGAGGCTGAGGCAGGAGAATGGCATGAACCCGGGAGGCGGAGCTTGTAGTGAGCCAAGATCATGCCACTGCACTCCAACCTGGGCGACAGAGTGAGACTCCGTCTCAAAAAAAGAAAAAAAACAACCTAAAACCCCATACCCAAACCTAAGCAAATAAAAATTTAAGTGTAATACTGTTACCTTGAGCAGTTTGCCAGAACCATTTAAATTGACCTCCTCAGCTAACTCAGCAGAACCCAGCATGTCAGCAGTAAATTGGTCAATATGAGCAACTGGCTTGGTTCCAATTGTCTGGAAAAAACAGTCAAATCCACAAATTAAGACATTTATCTAATTATCAGACATTTTCCACAAATACAGATGTTAATGTTTTACCTTACAAATGAATTCAATGTCTTCTCTTTCAATATCCTTAATCACCATGATCTTCATTTTATTCAGAAAGTGTAATGCAAGATCACTAAGAGCATCTCTAAAATACAAAATCAGTGATTATGTCAATGCTAGATTAAAAAAATTTTGCTCTTCAAATGCCTTTAAGGTTTTAATTACTGTTTCTTAAATGGCCAATCATTATTTCTGAAGAAAAATGCTTTAGTTTACTAAGTTCGTAAGGTCAAAATTAAGATTTCCAATTCTATTGGAAATTTTAGTACAATTCCAGTATTAAAATGTACTCTGTCCCCAATGACACTATAAAACACACGAAATAACTAGGTCATTATTTTTTCCCCATTTATTTATTTATTTTTATTTTTTTGAGATGGAATTTCGCTCTTGTTGCCCAGGCTTGGAGTGCAATGGCACGATCTTGGCTCACTGCAACCTCAACCTCCTGGGTTCAAGCGATTCTCCTGCCTCAGCCTCCCAAGTGGCTGAGACTACACGCTCCCGCCACCACACCTGGCTAATTTTTGTATTTTTAGTAGAGACGGGGTTTCACCATGTTGGCCACGCTGGTCTCGAACTCCTGACTTCAGGTGATCCACCCGCCTTGGCTTCCTAAAGTGCTGGGATTACAGGCATGAGCCACTGCACCCGGCTCATTTATTTATTTTTAATAGAGACAGGGTCTCCCTATGTTGCCCAGGCCGGTCTTGAACTCAGGGCTCAAGTGATCCTCCCACCTCGGCCCCACAAAGTGCTGGGATTACAGGCATGAGCCACTGTGCCTGACCTCATTTTTCTTAACAAATGAGCACATCTTGGGAAGTGAAACCTTATTAATACTTCATGAATTTAGAAGTATTAATTCAGACTCCACAAATTTACACTTCCCCATGAACTGTGAATAACAACTCTGTGATACTAGAAAGGTAGATATTACTACTATCCCTATTATACGGATAAGCAAACTGAGTTTGGGGGGCAATTTACTCAAGGTCAGTAGCTATTATATGATTGGGATTAGAACCAAGTCTTCTGAGTCTTCAAAGACTATATAAAATGAACATCCACAGTACATTCTGGCACATTAATGGAGTAAATGGGAATGCGTCTATTAGGAAAAAATACTGGCCAGGCACGGTGGCTCACATCTGTAATCCCAGCACTTTGGGAGGCCAAGGGGGGGCAGACCACGAGGTCAGGAGTGCAAGACCAGCCTGACCAACATGATAAAACCTCATTTCTACAAAAATTAGCCAGGCGTGGTGGCACGTGACTGTAATCCCAACTATTTCAGGAGGCTGAGGAAGGAAAACTGCTTGAACCTGGGAGGCAGAGGTTGCAGTGAGCTGAGACTGCGCCATTGTACTCTAGCGTGGGTGACAGAGTGAGACTGTGTCTCCAAAAAAAAAAAAAGAAGGAAAAAAGTGATCTGTCAAACTTCAGAGAATTCTTTTCATCTATGGACTATGCAGAGCATTCCCCCAAAAAGTACCTCTAAATGACAAGGCAAGCAATTGCATAGACCTTTAAATAAATTCCACTTTTAACTAGGTAATTAATTCTGCAACATGGCTTTTAAAAGAACAAGGCTTGATGTTTAGGACCTTGGTCTAGGTAAGATTATATATCCTACATTTAAAAGGGAAGATAGGGCCGGGCGTGGTGGCTCATGCCTGTAACCCCAGCACTTTGGGAGGCCAAGGCTGGCGGATCACCTGAGGTTGGGAGTTCAGGACCAGCCTGACTAACAGAGAAACCCCGTCTCTACTAAAAACACAAAATTAGCTGGGTGTGGTGGCACATGCCTGTAATCCCAACTACTCGGGAGGCTGAGGCAGGAGACTTGCGTGAACCCAGGAGGCGGGGGTTGTGGTGAACCGAGATCGCACCATTGATTCCAGCCTGGGCAACAAGAGCGAAACTCCATTTCAAAAAAAAAAGGAAGATTACGCACTTTTTATCAAAACATAATAATGCTTTTCCAGCTTGTAACTGCAAGGAAAAATAATGATACTGCTAAAAAAAAAAATGCAGATTTCTGGTGGTTTACCCAACTCAAATGTTTCTATAAAAATTGCTCTTAGAGGCTGGGTGCGGTGGCTCATGCCTGTAATCCCAGCACTTTGGGAGGCTGAGGCGGGTGGATCATGAGGTCAGGAGATCGAGACCATCCTGGCTAACATGGTAAAACCCCATCTCTACTCAAAAAATACAAAAAATTAGCCAGGTGTGGTGGCACGTGCCTGCAGTCCCAGCTACTCGGGAGGCTGAGGCAGTAGAATCACTTGTTGAACCCAGGAGGCGGAGGTTGCAGTGAGCCGAGATTGCACCACTGCACTCCAGCCTGGATGACAGAGTGAGACTCTGTCTCAAAAAAAAAAAAAAAAAAATTAAAAAAAATTGCTATTAGAAGTGTGGTTTAGACTCTAAAAACTGCATGCTTTCTTGGCCCTGTTCCTTAAGGGCTCCACCCTGAAGCCAATAATCGAAGAAATAAGTTTTTTAAAAGGCCAAAACACAACATTCTGGCAGTTAGTTGGCTATTTTAAAAAACCTACTTTTTTTTGTAAAAGAAAATTACACCTTTATTGTTTTGAATTTACAAGTCATATATTTGTTTAAAATGCTTTTCCTAGACATCTTAACTGAACTTATACCATTTTTTCCCTTGGTCTGAGCAAATGATGGTACAATATTGAGGCCTAACATTTTACCTGTGCTTTTAAAATAAAAATTCTCCATTTCGTTTCACCTAAGAGTTGTCTGTTAAGAAATACGAACTTAGAGTAAGTGCTTAAATCATATATTTTATCAGAAAAAATAAACTGCTAGTGGAGATCCAAAATTATCATTAAGGGATGAACAAAATAAATAGCCCCACACCTTAGAATAGATTTCTGTATGAGAAGGACATTACATCCTGTTTTTTTAATTTGCTTCACTAAATTTAAAATATAGGCTCTCTCTTCTCGCAGCACTCGGTCCATCTGGGCATAGTCAGAAACCACTATTTGATTATCCATCTGTTCAGAAAAAGAACATCATAATTTGCATTGTAAGATATTTTAAGTTTAAAAGTAGAATTTTAAGCGAAAATACTATGTGTTGTATAAATTCAACCAAAACTATATCAAGTAATAAATTATATAGACATGCATAGAAAAGAGTCTGGATTAAGATACACATCCCAAACTTGAGTCTTTTATTTTCAACTAAGTACACTGGTATCTTACATTTTGCAAGTAAATTTTTTATAACCAAAAAATATAAAATGGTTACCCTAGTTGTTTTCAAAAGATAGGGTCCCTCTCTAATCTGTGTGAATTTGTAAATTAACAGCAACAGTGAAAAGATGGGGTCCCACTATGTTGCCCAGGCTGGAGTGGAGTGCAGGGACTATTCACAGGTCATGGAATAGCACCCTGCAACCTCAAACTCCTAGGTTCAAGCAATTTTTCTGCTTCAATTTCCCAAGGAGCTGGGACTACAGGCATCGTTGCAAATGGCTAGCTCTCAATTTCAATATCCCAACTGAGGATACAGACTTGTCACTTGTGGCACCAACAATTACTATTTTTGTCTCAATTCTAGTAAGTCTTTTGAGATCTGCTTTAAATCACTAGTAGTATTTTCTATTTTTAATAAAGAAATGCCTGAGTTATTAAAAAGTTAAACACAGAGAACCAATTTCATTTGGATTCTACTTACGTCTGTTTTGGGAGCAGATAAGCAAAACTGAATAAGCCCAATCTTGGCCTTTTCAACTCTGGTTATGCCAGAATTTGACACTTTTTGGGTGAGAACCAGCCCTTCCACCAACTCACAGTCATCAATTGTCCCACTAAGGATAAAAGAAAACAAAGAGGGGTAGTTAAGAGGGAGTGGACATCTGTACGTTTAATAGATGAACAGATTAAAAGTCATCAGTCCAATAAAATATGATTCAGCCTCACATTTATTATTGCCCCACTCCTGGATCTCTTTGATCCACTGCTGCCTTACTATCATAAGGTAACATAAACAAAATCTCCAGATGCCCATACTAATACAAATTCTCACGAAAACAAAACCAAAAAGAGAAAAGAGAGCTTTGTGACTTTCATCTAGGTGTTTTTATTTATTTTTGGCAATCTGATGCTCATTTTCAAATTTTTATTCAAGTTGTAATTAGAGATGCTTACCCAAGCTTCTTAACTATTTTAATATCTCTAAGATCTACACTGGTGGCTGTGGCTGGGTCAATCACTTTCATCACTGCATTTACACTCATTGGAGAAAGCAGACTTGAATACTGAGAAACCACCTAGAATTATTAAAAAAAAAAAAAAGTTACCTTCACAGTAGAAAAAAGTCCTAATTTTTCAATGACAAAGATACTTAAGAAAGACTCTTATAATTTTTGCAGTGGGGTGTGGGTATGAAGAGGGAAACACTCATGAGAAGACAGTCCATAAAGTGTCTTTTCCATTCAGGTTGTCACCAGGGGCACAAAATAAAAACATGTATGCTTGCTTTTTTCTTTTATTAATATAATAGCCGGGACTGTAGAATATCAAAGTTTTACAGGAAATCCAAAAAGCATAAATTTAATTTTACGTGAGTATTTTCTATCTAAAATGAATGTGTGATGAGGCATCAATGTTATGTATGTACATTCCTGATGAGGGGTTGATAAAAATTGCTAACATTTATCAATCACTTAACATATGCCAGGCAGTGGTCTTAGAACTTTACATATTAACTCATTCAATCTTCAGATGGAGAAACTGAAGCCAAGAGGTTAAGTCATTTGGCCAAACAGCGTAGTTAAGTGGTGAAGTCAGTACTGAACAAACACAAGCAGTCTAGACTCAATGCCTAGTGCTTGTAACCATTACGCTATACTATCTGTATTAGTTCTAAGGACATCCAACAGTATCACTTAGTGTCCCTAACACTACCTAACATTCAAACAAAATGAATGTATGGACTTAATACTGATTTTTAAAAGGAAAAAGGATTAGGGGAAGGAAGGGATAAACACAGGATATTACAGAAAACAAGTGACATGAGTTCCAAAGAAATTTAAAAGCACAACACCGCTTTAAGTTTGGTAAATAAGAAAAGCAGCATAAGTATTAGTTAAGGGATGGACCACGATGGGCAGCCTGTCCTGGGTTCAAATCTCAGCTGTTTCTGTTAGCGGTCCTTGGATAAGTTACTCCTCTAGATCTACTCTTTTCATCTATAAAATGGGGATATGACTATCTGAGGGCCTTGAAGAGGACAATAAATGTAAAAAACTTATCACAATGCCCACCATATTAAATATTCAATAAAAATTAGCTATACTGCCAGTAATCTATGGCAGTCTTTCTGATTTGGTGGAGGAAAAGGTTTCTTATAGGCAAATTAAAATATCTAGCTTTATCAAAACACTGTTACAATGCATTAAACAGAAAAGTGGAAATGGATATAGTATATATTAAATATCCTAACTCCTTTGTTAGCCTTATGGCTCATTTCCTCTCTTAATCTTAAACCAATTCAATTATACAGATTATAACAGTTACCTAGCCACTCTTGAGATTTAGTATTTATGTACCGTATAGCATCAAGAATCATAGAGTAACACACTTTTAACTAATTTGACAAGTATCCGTTAGTGTTTGTCTCACCTTTGAGTTCAGTGAAGTGGTTGCACTATTTAACAAAGTTTCTCTGTCACTCAGTTCCACAGGTCGAGACATGTCAGTCAAGATTTCAATGCCCTTTTCCAGGGCCTTCTGGAATGACTCAGAAATGATGGTTGGATGAATCCCTGTAATTTGTGAAAGTCTAGTTATTTAATTGTAACAGGTAAACTACACATTTGACATGGCTTAAAAATTTTCTACTCAATGTCAAAGCAAGCACAAATTTAACTATTCTTAATTACAAACTTATGCTTCAGTTGTAATATAGTGGCTTGAATAACCTGCTAACTATGGCTAATAATTTACTTCCATCCAACTTAAAACAGATTACACACTTATTAATGGTCTTGACTAAAACCAAATTTTATACTTTTTTTTTTTTTTTTTTTTTCTGAGACAGGGTCTTACTCTGTCACCCAGGCTAGAGTGCAGCGCCCTGATCTCAGCTCACTACAGCCTCAACCTCCCAGGCTCAAGTGATCCTCCCACCTCAGCCTCCTGAGTAGCTGGGACTACAGACACACGCCACCACACCCGGCTAATTTTTTTTGTATTTTTTTTTTTTTTTTTTGGTGGAGACAGGGTTTTGCCATGTTGCCCAGTCTGGTCTCAACTCCTTGGGCTCAATTGTTCTGCCAGCCTCAGCCTCCCAAAGTGCTGGGATTACAAGTATGAGTCACCGCACCTGGCCGATACTTCTCAAAATATCACAAATCTACATTATAAGTAAAATAAGTGATTGGATAGTCACTACTATAATTAAATACCATTTACTAAAGCAAAGACAATCCTGACTTTCTCTCCCAAATCTTCTTTCTTGTATAAGAGTCCAAGATTAGTAATATTTCTACCACTCATTTCTTTTTTTTTTTTTGAGATGGAGTTTGCTCTTGTTGCCCAGGCTGGACTGCAATGGCATGATCTTGGCTCACTGCAACCTCTACCTCCCGGGTTCAAGTGATTCTCCTGCCTTAGCTGGGATTACAGGCACGCGCCACCATGCCCGGCTAATTTTTTGTATTTAGTAAAGACTGTGTTTCACTGTTGGTCAGGCTGGTCTTGAACTCCTGACCTCAGGGGATCCACCCACCTTGGCCTCTCAAAGTGCTGGAATTACAGGCATGAGCCACCACGCCCGGCCTCTACCACTCATTTTTGAACAGCAAAATTCAATTGAGTTCCATTCAAAAAGGAGCCCAGCAAATATCAGAAGCCAAGGAAAATTTCTTCTAATCTCTATTATAAATATAGCAAAATCTAACTTTAAAAATTCTTGGTAAAAAGATTAGTTATTCCAAATTAAATCTTCAATCCCATATTACTTATGAATAACTTGGCTTTTCCTAAAGTTTGTTTTTTAAACTTTTCTTTATTCAGTAATAAAGTACATCCTACCCACCTTTCTGAAGAAGCTTGGTACAAGAATCTAAGAGGGAGCCAGCAATGATGACTACTGATGTGGTGCCATCTCCTGCTTCTATATCTTGAGCCTTAGACAGCTCCACCAGCTAAGTGAACAGAAAATGCCAAGTTGCTCAATGAGAAATGACAGAACCCAGTAACACCTAATTCAAATAATCGCACCAGTGTCACAAACAGAATTTGAAGATGCAACATGATTCCTGATTTCTTCTGATTTGTTGTCTACCTTGGGTTTCATTTAAAATTAAAGACTAGTAGATGATCTCCAGTTCAGATTGTGGGTTGTCATCTCCCCCTGCCCTGCTACTCAAAAGTTCTAATTAGAAAGCAAAAATATATCGTAAGTACTCTATAGAATTGGAAGCTAAGAAAAGGGGCATTCCAGATGAGACTAGAGTATCAAACTTTTTTTTTTGAGACAGGGTCTTACTCTGTCACCCAGACTGGAGTATAGCAGTGCAATCATGGCTCACTGCAGCCTCCACCTCCTGGGCTCAAGAGATCCTCCTGTCTCAGTCTCCCGAGTAGCTGGGGCTATAGGTGCACACTAACACATCTGGCTACTTTTTTTAAAAAGTCTTTTTTGTTCGTTTGTTTTTAGAGACGGGGCCCCATTATGTTCCCTAGAATGGTCTTGAACTCCTGGGCTCAAAGGATCCTCCTGCTTCAGCCTCCCACAGTGCTGAGATTACAGGCATGAACCACCATTCCCAGCCTCAGAGTATCAACTTAAGAGTCTTTTGCCAAGTTTATTTGAGTAGACCCCTTGTAAGTATAACCTGATTCATTAAAAAGCCATCTTTTCATAACTGGTGGATGGCACAACATATGAAGCCTCAGGACTATCCAAGAAAACAGCAAAACTTCACGTAGCAGTGAAGTTTTGTTTTATTTAGCAATGCTTTCTTATTTTATGTTCCAAATAAGATGCTTATTTTCCTATAATAATCATTTTTTTCAACATTTTAATAGCAATATTATATATAGAGACTTTTGTCACTTCTGGATAACAAAATTTTTTTGTTATCCTGTCGAACTCCTGACCTCAGGTGATCCACCCGCCTCAGCCTCCCAAAGTGCTGGGATTACAGGCACGAGCCACTGCGACCAGACTGATAGAAATTTCTTTCTAATGAATTTGTTTTTGCTCATATGACTTGACACCAGGTTTATGTTTTTAATCTCCTTATTCCTCAATAGTACCACATACTATTTGTAAAATAGTATGTGGTAATTATACAAAATTTGGAAAATACAGAAAGAAATTAAAATGTGTCAACTAAATATTTTTGAAGCAAAGACCATTAATATTTGTATACAGTATGTTGGTTTATTTCCAATCATTTTCTATTTTTTAAGTAAGCTCACAGTATATACGTAATTTTATCTTTTTTCATGTAATGTTTCATTAGTGTTTTTCCTCATAAAAATCTTCATAAACAATTTTTAATGGCTGTATGATTAACATGCTGTGGTATACTGTTTAAACATTTTCTTATCATTGGATATTTTGCCTATTCCAGGTTGTTTCCATTATAAATAAATTTGATCAGTATCTTTGTAAAAAAAAAAAATTTTTTAAAAGCCATCTTTACACAACTCAGAGGGATTTTTTTGATAGAAGTTCCTTTTTTTTTTTTTTGAGACGGAGTCTTACTCTGTCACCCCAAGCTGGAGTGAAGTGGGGCAATCTCGGCTCACTGCAACCTCTGCCTCCCCGGTTCAAGCAATTCTCCTGTCTCTGCCTCCGAGTAGCTGAAATTAAAGGCATGCACCACCACGCCCAGCTGATTTTTGTATTTTTAGTAGAGATGGGGTTTCACGATGTTGGCCAGGCTGGTGTCGAACTCCTGACCTCAGGTGATCCACCCGCCTCAGCCTCCCAAAGTGCTGGGATTACAGGCACGAGCCACTGCGACCAGACTGATAGAAATTTCTTTCTAATGAATTTGTTTTTGCTCATATGACTTGACACCAGGTTTATGTTTTTAATCTCCTTATTCCTCGAGTGTATGCCAAGTTTCCATGGACTAGTATAAGGTAAAAGAAGTAAAATAATTACTGTTTCCAGTAGATTATATTTTTAGACAATGAATTTTCTTCTGTGGACACATGAACTGCTATGCACCATACCCTAATAAGAACACAATAATCATATGAAAGGAAAAATAATCATTTCTGTGGACAAGTATAAGGTGACTTGTGTTTCTTTCTTTTTTTTTTTTGAGACAGGGTCTCGCTTTGTCACCCAGGCTGGAGTGCAGTGGCGCAATCACAGCTCACTACCTCCCCTGGACTCAAACAATTCTCCCACCTCAGCCTCCTGAGTAGCTGAGACCACAGGTGCGCACCACACACCCAACTATTATTTTTTGTATTTTCAGTAGAGACAAGGTCTCGCCATGTTGGCCAAGCTGGTCTCAAACTCCTGAGCTCAAGCAATCCTCCCACCTTGGCCTCCCAAAGTGCCGGGATTACAGGTGTGAGCCACTGTGCCCAGCTTTTTTTTTTTTTTCTGGGGTTTCACTCTGTCACTCAGAATGGAGTGTTGTGGTGTGATTATAGCTCTCTGCAGCCACAAACTCTTGGGCTCAAATAATCCTCCCATGTCAGCCTATGGAGTGGCTGGGACTAAAGGCATGCACCACTATGCCTGGCTTGATTTGTGTTTTATTATCACCTCACACCAAAAAGCACAATGTTAGGCACACAATGTATCCTAAAAATATGCCTGTTCAGCACGAAAAGTGTTCATCGTGCTTAAATATCATGTGATCAAATAAATTTAACTGTTTACCAAGTATCAAACACACTTAAAAAAGAAGACTCATCTGGCCGGGCGCAGTAGCTCATGTCTGTAATCCCAGCACTTTGGGAGGCCAACGTAGGTGGATCACAAGGTCAGGAGTTTGAGAACAGCCTGACCAACATGGTGAAACCCGTCTCTACTGAAAATACAAAAATCAACCAGGCATGGTGGCACGAGCCTGTAATCCCAGCTACTCAGGAGGCTGAGGCAGGAGAAATGAATCTGGGAGGCAGAGGTTGCAGTGAGCTGAGATTGTGCCACGGCACTCTAGCCTGGATGACAGAGCAAGACTCTGTCTCAAAAAAAAAAAAAAAAAAAGACTCACCTAAAATTACACTTACCATTCTGGCTGCTGGATGTAATACTTGCATTTGTTTCAGAATGGTAGCACCATCATTTGTAATGGTTACATCACCTTTTCCATCTTGAATCTAGAAAAAAAATTTTAAAGTTATATTTCAATGTCACACCTTAATAGTTTTATTAAACTTTTACATTTCAAAATAGAGAAGTTAATTTCTGTTTGCAAAGTACTTAATTTTAAATTCTCTTCCCTTACATTAGCATAATAGTTTAAGAATACGCAATAACAGTCCAACTTTACAAAAGAAAAAAGTGGCTTTGTTGCAGGGTAATCTAAAAGTGAAGAAATGTAGACACACACACACACACACACACACACACACACACACACACACAAAAGGAAAAATATTATAAAGAAGCACTTGCTATCTTTAATGATTTCTTATTAATCAGAAACACGATTTCCACCATGGATGCCCCTAAAGCAGTACCATGCCATGCGGTGAACACAATTCTTACAGTCAACACAGTAACTTTTTTCCTTTTTTGTCCTACAAAAAGGACAATGGCATTTTTGGGAAAGATAGATTTTTGAATATCCAGAGCGGAGAATAATCTATAGTATCATCCAGATGATCCTCCATATTGTTTTATCTCACAGAGACCCACATTAAGATACAAAGTTACATCCATAAGGAACACTAAACTGAAGTCCCAACACCTGGATTTATAATAGTTTCCACTTAACTACATAATAGATATCTATATTTGGGTGTGCATTCTCATTGTTTAAGAAGCATTAAACAAAATATGAATTATAGTTTAGTCCTGTTGACTCCAAAGTAACCTCTCCTTCCTCTGAATTCCAGGTACCCAACACTTTTTACTTTTTTTTTGGTTTGAGATGGAGTCTCGCTCCATTGCCCAGGCTGGAGTGCAGCTGCGCGATCTCGGCTCACTGCAACCTCTGCCTCCTGGGTTCAAGTGATTCTCCTGCCTCAGTCTCCCACCTCCTGAGTAACTGGGATTACAGGTGCCCGCCACCATGCCTGGCTAATTTTTGTATTTTTAGTAGAGACGGGGTTTCACCATATTGGCCAGGCTGGTCTTGAACTCTTGACCTTGTGATCCACCCGTCTCGGCCTCCCAAAGTGCTGGAATTACAGGTGCGAGCCACTGTGCCCCACCCACTTTCTACTATTTTTATTTTATTTATTTTTTTTTTGAGATAGAGTTTTGCTTTTATTGCCCAGGCTAGAGTGCAATGGCACAATCTCAGCTCACCGCAACCTCTGCCTCCCAGGTTCAAGCAATTCTCCTGCCACAGCCTCTCCAGGAGCTAGGATTACAGGCATGAGCCACCATGCCTGGCTAATTTTGTATTTTTAGTAGACATAGGGTTTCTCCATGTTGGTCAGGATGGTCTCCAACTCCTGACCTCAGGTGATCCTCCCCTCACCCTCCCAAAGTGCTGGGATTATAGGTGTGAGCCACCACGCCCAGCCCCACTTTTTAAACAGCACATCTAACCCTTCAACAAGATCTTGTAGTGTGAACAGCAGTGCTCAATTAGTAGTATTCAATGACTCAACTCTTTACCATTTTATCCATTCCTTTTGGTCCAAGGCTTGTTCTAATAGCATCAGCAACCGCTGCAGATGGGGGGGAAAAAAAAGAAAACAAATTAGAACTTTTTTTTTTTTAAGAGACAGGGTCTTACTATATTGTCCAGGATGGCCTCAAACTCCTGGGCTCAAGCAACCCTCCCACCTCAGCCTCCCAGAATAGCTGGGAGTATGGGAAATCAAGACTTCTTAAAGAATAGAGTTTTTTTCCCCTCAAATGATCATTGTGTTCTTATTAGGATATAGTGCATAACAAATCACCATGTCCACAGAAGAAAATTCATTGTCTAAAAATAATCTATTGGCAACAATTATTTTTCTTTTAAATGTATGATGCTTCACTTCTGTTAGTCAACGTACACAGTATTATTATTATTATTTTTTGAGACATGGTCTCACTCTGTCACAAGGCTAGAGTGCAGTGAGGCAATCTCGGCTCACTGCAACCTCCGCCTCCTGAGTTCAAGTGATTCTTCCGCCTCAGCCTCTGGAGTAGCTGGGACTACAGGCACGTGCCACCACACCCAGCTAATTTTTTTGTATTTTTTAGTAGAGATGGGGTTTCACCATGTCGGCCAGGATGGTCTCAATCTCTTGGCCTCAAGATCCGCCTGCCTCGGCCTCCCAAAATGCTGGGATTACAGGTGTGAGCCACCACGCCTGGCCTAGTATTTGTAATCAGCTTATGGCAGAATACATTTTGAGGATTCATCTCATCTTCCTTCAGATGTCAAAATGGTACAATCTAGTTAGGAGCTCTGAGAATTGCTATTTCCTCCATTCCTAAAACAGGACAAGCAGCAACAGAACTGTCTAGATCTAAAATACTGATGGAGGAGTATCCTTTTTCCAAAATGATTAGGACCAGAAGTGTTTTGAATTTTGGAGTATTTCAAATTAGGAATGCTCAATTTACAGATAATTCACTTATTTGTTTACTCTGTCTAGTATGTAATCTCTGAGAGCAAAGACTTTTGTTCACTAATGTGAACATGGTAGATAGGTGGCCCGCCAACACCGCCAAAAGGGCAAACCACAATGGAAATGCTACAGAGCAAGATACTCTTCTAAAAAATCCAACAAGGCTGGGCGTGATGGCTCACACTTGTAATACCAGCACTTTGAGAGGCTGAGGCGGGCAGACCACCTAAGGTCAGGAGTTCGAGACCAGCCTGGACAACATGGCGAAACCCTGCCTCTACTAATACAAAAATGAGCCGGGTGTGGCGGTGCGCATCTGTAGTCCCAGCTAGCTACTCGGGAGGCTGAGGCAGGAGAACCGCTTGAACCCAGGAGGCAGAAGTTGCAATGAGCAGAGATCACACCACTGCACTCCAGCCTGGGGGACAGAGCAAGACAGACTCCATCTCAACAAACAAACCAAACCTAACAAACCAAACAAAAACCAAAACTCTCAAATCATAGCTTTTGGTCATCATCAGTATGTTATAAAACATCTCTGGGGCCGGGTGCGGTGGCTCACGCCTGTAATCCCAGCGCTTTGCGAAGCCAAGGCAGGCCGTCACTTGAGGCCAGGAGTTTAAGACATAACGGGTCATCTTCACAGATAACTTAGGTGGCCTTTCCTTCCCACATGCACACCCTCCTCTGTTGTTTCAGTTCTTTGTCTGCTTTTGTTTCAAAGGTTGCTAAATTTCCCACTTATTTTGTTTGTTGAATATCAACCATATTATAAACTCTCTTGGCCCCCAAATTTATCTTTTTTTTTTTTTGAGACGGAGTTTCGCTCGTCACCCTGGCTGGAGTGCAATGGCGCGACGTCAGTTCACGGCAACCTCCGCCTCCCAGGTTCAAGCTATTCCCCTGCCTCAGCCTCCCGAGTAGCTGGGACTACAGGCCTACGCCAACACACCCACCTAATTTTGTATTTTTAGTAGAGACGGGGTTTCTCCATGTTGGTCAGGCTGGTCTTGAACTCCTGACCTCATGTGATCCGCCAGCCTCAGCCTCCCAAATTGCTGGGATTACAGACGTGAGCCACCCTGCCCGACCCAAAATTTATCTTTCAACATTCTGTTCCTAATCTAATAAATGTAAGCTTCAACTATGGTCCCTAGACAATTATCCTACAAACCTTCGTTTCCAGGTGTATTATCTCCTAAACTTACAAATGACTCCTAAATCTGGCCATTCTGACCTTTCCAACTCATTAGGACAAGTTAGAAACTATTACTTTTTCTTACATCCAGCGTTACCTATCTTAGCGCCATCACATTCCCAGTTACTTGGGCTGATGACTGCAAACACATGTAAGGTGTACTTTATATACGTGGGTCTTTATATGCTTTCTCACTGAATCCTCACAGCAAGCCTACACGATGGCTAAAAAGAAATGATCCCATAGCTGGGGGAGATTAAGCCAAATACTTTCCAGGACACCAGGCCTTTAACATCTGCCCCAACCTAGCTTTCTAATCTCACCTCTTCTGTAAACATACTACTATTCTCCAACCCAAAAGAACTACTATACTCAATATACACTCGGGCAAGATCTCTAAACCTCTGTCCTGACTTTTCCTTCCAGATTTTTCTATTTCAACTCGATTTCTCTTAATCTTAACTCTAAAAAGCAAACATTTTCCTCCAATTTTATAAGTGAATCTTTGGCACAGAGGTTACAGGTCACTAAGACATGAAGTAACGGAAGCAGAGAATGAAACTCTGGTCTTCCTGATTTCCAACGTGTGCCACACACTTCCACAAAAAAAACAAATAATTGTTTCTTGATTTGCCTATGTTTCACTGCACATGCGGAGACGACATCAACGTAACTTTTCCGCAACTATTTCAAACACGACACGTAAGTCGGTTCCCACATCCATCCCAGTACAATGGGCCCCGCCCCAATTTAGACTCGGAGAGTTCACCCAATTCGTCTCAACAGTTGTGCCAAGTGAAGTTTATTTAATAGTTCTTTAAATAAGAATAACAAAGCTGAAAGATACTGTGCATTCTACCAGTTCCAATAAGCAATAAGCGACAGCCCTCAAGCGTCAGATCCCTAGTGAAGACTGCATGCAATCCTCGGCATTTTGAACTGCTTTCGGCTCCAATATGAATGATGCACAGTGCAGGATGAAAAACTAAGGGAGATTAAGATGCAAAATGGGGCAAGTCCAAAGGCCTCCATACTCCGGGTTGGCGATCATCGGCAGAAAAACAGAAATAAGGATCCCTCCACTGGGCTGCTTCTATAGGGAGGACAAGAGAGGATCACCCGAAGAAATGGGAAATGAGCCAAACCCGCTCAAGCCCACGATGAGAGCGCAGAGCACAACCCCGCGGCGCCGCGGGTCAGGCCATGAGAGTGATACCTTTGGCGGCGGAAATGTTGCTGAAGCGGATCTGGGCTGGCTTGTCGCGGTCCTGATAGGCGCCTTTCCCGCGGCCGCCGGCAGCCCCGGCAGTCGCCCCGCTCCGGGGTGCCACATTCTCGGGCATGGCAAACTCCGCTGTGTCTGGGTTGGCTCGGGAAGGACGGATGGACCCGGATTCTGGCCGGCCGCAGTGTAATAACGGTAAGCCCTCACTGCCTTCACGAACCTTCCAGAAAGCGGCGCCGGCGTCGGGAGGAGGCGGAGGCGGAGAAGGGGGCCTTCCTTGCCGCGCGGCGCTGGCGTGACGTAGGAGGCTGTCCGCTGCGCGCCGGGCGAGGAGGATGCGTGCGGTGGGCTCCGGGCTGGCGAGATTGTACGCCCGGGGCGCTGTGGGTGAAGAGCGCCGGGGGAACCTTTACGCGAGGCAGCAATGACAACGCGCGATTTTAAAGGCGAGTGGTGAGGACATCCGCATTTCCTCACTCCACCTTGCACGGCTATGAGGTCCCCTCCTTTTTTTTTTTTTTTTTTTCTTTTTTTGGATACAGTCTCACTCTGTTGCCCAGGCTGGAGTGCAGTGGCGCAAAATCTCGGCTCACTGCAGCCTCCGCCTCCCAGGTTCAAGCGATCCTCCTCAGCCTCCCGAGTAGCTGGGATTACAGGCGTCCGCCACCATGCCCAGCTAATTTTTGTATTTTTAGTAGAGACAGGGTTTCACCATGTTGGCCAGGCCGGTCTCGAACTCCCGACCTCAGGTGATCCACCCGCCTCGGGCTCCCAAAGTGTTGGGATTACAGGCGTCAGCCACGAAGCCCGGCCTTTTTTTTTTTTTTTTTTTTTTTTGACAGAGTCTCGCTCTGTCGTCCAGGCGGGAGTGCAGTGGGGCGATCTTGGCTCACTGCAGCCTCGACCTCCGGGGCCCAAGCGATCCTCCCGCCACAGCCTCCCAACTAGCCAGGACGACAGGTGCCCGCCACCATGCCTAGCGAATTTTTGTATTCGAAACATAGCGAGACTGGGTTTCGCTGTGTTGCCCAGGCTGGTCTGACCTCCCCGGCTCAAAGCGGTCCACCCTCCTCAGCGTTTCAAAGTACTGGGATTACAGGCGTGAGCCACCGCGCCCACCCGGAGGTGCCCTCCTTTAACTCCGGCTGGATCTATCCGCGAGGTGGGGTGGGCGCCGGAATAACTCTCTAAGGGATATGACTGAGTCTGTTTTTGCCCGGCCACATAGACCTGCATTTTATGCAGTTTTGTTCATTTTGAAAGGGAGTCAGAAAAGGGAGATTTGGAATGAGGCGAGGTTAGTTATCTCGTATTGGTTGATACTGGGTGGTGGAGGTTTGACAGACTGCCAAATCAGGTCTGTCTAGTTACCACCGCCCGCTTGTTCTACACTAGTGTCTCCTGCATGACGTAGCCACTGACTCTTAGGGAACGTAAACATTATAATAAAGATCATTTATTTCCGTTATCTGCTAAGCACAGTGCTAAACCTTTACACGTTTTATATCTCGTTTAGTCCTCACAATAATCCTTTACTTAAAAGGTGAGAGAACTGGAGCCCAAAGAAGGAACTGAAGCCCAGGGTAAACGAGTCAGTAGATAGAAGCAGTATTCCAATACAAAGCAAGGACCAGAAGCCATGAGCTAAACTGCTGGTCTCCTATGACCACTATATTTCAGTAGGGAAGTTTATGAAATGAGGTTTGTTGAATGTTCGCTCACAATTATTAAGCACCTGCAAAGTGACAGTTGCGTGTGGTAGGTTCAGAAACAAATGTTCAAAGGTACTTAATCTTGTAATTATGAGGTGGTGGTGGTGTTGTTTGTTTGTTTGTTTTTGTTTGTTTTTGAGACGGAGTTTCACTCTTGTTGCCCAGGCTGGAGCAGTGGCACCATCTCGGCTCACCGCAACCTCCGCCTCCCGGGTTCAAGCGATTCTCCTGCCTCAGCCTCCCCAGTAGCTGGGATTACGGGCATGCACCACCATGCCCGGCTAATTTTGTATTTTTAGTAGAGACGGGGTTTCTCCATGTTGGACAGGGTGGTTTCGAACTCCCGAGCTCAGGTGATAGGCCCGCCTCGGCTTCCCAAAGTGCTAGGATTGCAGGCTTGGCGAGAGCCACCTCGCCAAGTTGTTCTTTAACACACATTTAGCATATTAGCACTAGGGGCCTGGCTCAGTAGCTCACGCCTGTAATCCCAGCACTTTGGGAGGCCGAGGTGGGTGGATCGCTTTAGGTCAGGAGTTTAAGACCAGCCTAGCCAACGTGGCGAAACCCCGTCTCTACTAAAAATCAAAACATTAACCGGGGGTGTAATCCCAGCTACTCGGGAGGCTGAGGCAGGAGAATCCCTTGAAGCCAGGAAGTGGAGGTTGCAGTGAGCCGAGATTGCGCCACTGCACTCCAGCCTGGGTGATAGAGCAAGACTTTGTCTCAAAAAAAAAAAAAAAAAAAAAAGAAGGATATTAGCACTAGGAAATGAAGATCCATAAACCTCTGAGGCCGACTTCTCTTCAGAGGACCAGAATACTCCCAAGTAGCACATAAATTCTATGGTTATTTGTTTAGACAACTGATGTAATATGTTGGAAACAAGTGGGTGATGAGGAAATGCATTAATTTTGGGATGTAAAATACTGGATTTGAGTTTATTAATAGCTCTGCTACTTATTAGCTATGTGACCTAAGGAAGGCCACTTAAATCCTTTGGGTCTCATTTTCCTCATCTGTAAAATAGGAGGGTTGAACTAGATGATCTCTAGGGGCTTACTAAACTACTAGTTCTACCAGTGTAAGGAGTCGATCTGTCAGCCATAAAGGACAGAGCAGAATTTGGAAGATGCCATTATTGGCTTCTTGGGAGAGTCTTAAAGTTTTGAGACATGCTTTAAGTATCTGAAATGTTTCAAGTTACAAACATTTCTTTTTCTGTGAAATTGGAATTATTTTTGTTCGTGGGATTAGGCAGTAAATAAATGTTAAACATCGGCTTTCATCAGAGTGTTAATGTACATTATTTCTCCATTAAAATGGGATTTCAACAAATATTAAAACCTAAACATGGCCGGGCGTGGTGGCTCACACTTGTAATCCCAGCACTTTGGGAGGCCAAGGTGGGTGGATCACAGGAGTTCAAGACCAGCCTGGCCAAGATGGTGAAATCCCATCTCTACTAAAAATACAAAAATTAGCCAGGCGTGGTGTCAGATGCCTGTAATCCCAGCTGTTCGGGAGGCTGAGGCAGGAGAATCACTTGAACTCGGGAGGCAGAGGTTGTAGTGAGCCGAGATCATGCCACTGCACTCCAGCCTGGGCGACAGAGTGAGACTCCATCTCAAAACAAAACAAAAACATAAACACTTGTGTAGAGTACTTTAAGCAAAGCACTGTTGCTAATGAAGGGTAAAAATGTTTTTAAAACTTTCTGATATTTATTTTTTATTTATTTATTTATTTTTGAGATGGAGTCTCGCTCTGTCACCCAGGCTGGAGTGCAGTGGCACAATCTCGGCTCACTGCAAGCTCCGCCTCCCGGGTTCACGCCATTCTCCTGTCTCAGCCTCCTGAGTAGCTGGGACTACAGGCGCCCACCACCAAGCCCGGCTAGTTTTTTGTATTTTTAGTAGAGAGGGGGTTTCACCGTGTTAGCCAGAATGGTCTCGATCTCCTGACCCGGTGATCCGCCTGCCTTGGCCTCCCAAAGTGCTGGGATAAAAGGCATGAGCCACCATGCCCGGCCAGCTTTCCTATATTTAAAAAATACTTTCCAAAACAAAACAAAACCAAACAAACAAAAATACTTTCCTGTCAGATCCAAGCAGACGTAAGGCATATGTGGGAATGTTGGCAATAACAATACAATTTCCTTAATAATTTATGAAATAGGTTTTACAAAACAATAATACTTTGTCAGCCATCCAAATGAAGGTTCTCTTTAGAATGAATAGCCCACGATGTCCTAGACCCTCAATAATAGGACTGAGCCAGGAACTGGTTAAGGTTAGAAAAGAAGAGAGGAGGGGCCAGGTGCGGTGGCTCATGCTGTAATCCCAGCACCTTGGGAGGCGGAGGAGGGTGGATCAGCTGAGGTCAGGGGATTGAGACCATCCTGGCTAACACGGTGAAACCCTGTCTCTACTAAAAATACAAAAAATTAGCCCGGTGTTGTGGCATGCACCTGTATTCCCAGCTACTGGGGAGGCTGAGGCAGGAGGATCGCTTGAACCTGGGAGGTGGAGGTTGCGGTGAGCCGAGATCGTGCCATTTCACTCCAGCCTGGGCAACAAGAGGGAAACTCTGTCTCAAAAAAAAAAAAAAGAAAAGAAAAGAAGAGAGGGCTGTATGTATCTTATCTCTCTTAGGTTTTACTCCAATTCAAAGACAGTGTTTGTTGTTATTTTGTATTTTTCTCTGCATTAGTTTATTATCGAGACCACCATTAAGCCCCGTTTTCCTAAGCCTTACTGTTTGCATCGTTCTTTTTTTTTCCCCCCTGAAACGGAGTCTCGCTCTGTCGCCCAGCCTGGAGTGCAGTGGCGCAATCTCAGCTCACTGCAACCTCTGCTCCACGGGTTCAAGTGATTCTCCTGCCTCAACCTCCCGAGTAGCTGGGACTATAGGCATGCGCCACCGTGGTCGGCTAATTTTGTATTTTTAGTAGAGACGGGGTTTCACCATGTTGGCCAGGCTGGTTTCGAACTCCCGACCACAGGTGATCTGCCCACCTTGGCCTTTCAAAGTACTGGGATTACAGGTGTGAGCCACCATGCCTGGCCTCATTCTATGTTTTTAAGTTTAGCTTGCAATAGTAACATGAAGCAGAGGCCTTGTTTCATTAAGTATATTTTGATTTTCCTAATTTTCCTAGAAAGGTTTCTAGTTAACATTTTTGTTACTTTCTAACCTTCCCAGTTAAAATATTTGTCTGAAAATGGGAAGAGGTTGATTGTTGGCAATAGTAAAAAATAAAAATTTAAAAGTTTAAGAAAAACAAATAAAAATGAAAATGGGAAGAGGAAAAGCCAAAGGAGGGTGCTGGCAAACTTAGAAGTTTTGTGATGTGTGAGTAAACAGCCAGGTTTTCTATCGAAAAACAGGAATGAACTAAACTTTCATTATTGTAGTACTAACAAGAGTTACAGGCCGGGCGCCTTGGCTCACGCCTGTAATCCCAGCACTTTGGGAGGCTGAGGCAGGCAGATAGCTTGAGGTCAGGAGTTCGAGACCAGCCTGGCCAACGTGGTGAAACCCTGTCTCTACTAAAAATACAAAAATTAGCTGGGCATGGTGGCACATGCCTATAATCTCAGCTACTCAGGAGGGTGAGGAAGGAGAATTGCTTGAACCTGGCAGGCGGAGGTTGCAGTGAGCTGAAATCACACCATTGCACTCCAGCTTGGGCAACAAGAACCTCCATCTCAAAAAAAAAAAAAAAATTGAGAAAAATTGCAAATTTGTGGGCAAAAGACATGAGTGTTGTTTTAGGGGTCCAGGATGTGGTGGGGCACAATACAAAAAGTAAGGCAAGCTGGGCACAGTGGTGTGTGCCTGTAGTCCCACTACTCACGAAGTTCAGGTAAGAGAACAGCTTGAGCCCAGGAGTTAAAGGATGCACTCTTATGATTGTGCCTGTGACTAGCCATTGAACTCTAGTCTGGGCAACATAGCAAAACCCCATCATTGTTTTTAAAAAGTAAGACAAGCTGACTTTATTTATTTATTTTTTTGAGATGGAGTCTTGCTCTGTCACACAGGCTGGAGTGCAGTAGCACGATCTTGGCTCACTGCAACCTCTGCCTTCCAGGTTAAATGGATTCTCCTGTCTCACTCAGCCTCCCAAATAGCTGGGACTACAGTATCGTGCAACTACAACTGGCTATTGAATTTTTTTAGTAGAGATGGGTTTTTGCCATGTTGGCCAGGCTGGTCTTGAACTCCTGGTCTCAAGTGATTCACCCGCCTTGGCCTCCCAAAGTGTTGGGATTACAGGCGTGAGTCACCATTCCCAGCCTAAAAAAGTGAGGCAAGCTGACTTTATACACATCCTGCTGGAAGAATGAAAAAAAAAAAATATTAATCAAGTTCCTAGATCCAACTACCAATGTATGGGTTTACAAGAAATACAAGGATTTCTTGTATTTGTTAATGTGAAATGTGACGTAAATGTGGACTAGAAACGTTTCAAGGAAAATTAAGAAAATCAAAATATACTTAATGAAACTAGGCCTCTGCTTCATGTTACTATTGCAAGCTAAATTAAAAAAAATAGAATGATGATATATATATATTTATATATTTTTTAATTAAAAAAAAAATTTTTTTTTTTTGAGATGGAGTCTCACTCTGTAGCCCAGGCTGGAGTGCAATGGTGCGATCTTGACTCACTGCAACCTCCACCTCCCAGGTTCAAGCAGTTCTCTGCCTCAGACTCCCAAGTAGCTGGGATTACAGGCATGCACCACCACGCCCAGCTAATTTTGTATTTTTAGTAGAGGCAGGGTTTCACCACGTTGGCCAGGCTGGTCTCAAACTCCTGACCTCAGGTGATCCACCTGCCTACCAAAGTGCTGGGATTACAGGTGTCAGCCACTACACCTGGTCTAGAAGAATATATTTTTAAAATAGTACCATGAGGATGCAATCAGTAAAATGTAGAATGTGAAAAACTCTTTAGGACAAATGACCTATAAATAAATTGCAAGAAAATTAACAATAGCAACAATGAAGATGAAAGGGTAACTTATGGAATAAGAGAGATTTAAGAAAGTGAGAGATTTAAGACAGCCAGGAGAGTGACATCAGCAAAATGGGAGACCAGGAGCTGCCTCACTTGTGTCTCCCCACAGCGACAATAGTTTTTAGCTTTTCAGCTGTCCACAGATAAAAGTACCTCTGTTGGGAACTAGGTAGGAGACTGTGAAACACTTGTGGAGCCCAAGATCCAGGAAGGCTGTTTTGAGACAGCAGAACCGCACCCAGGTAGCAGACTCGTTGATCGAGGTTGCAGCTCCAGACTTGGAAATGGTGCTACCTCCCTGTGGACCTGGCTACAGCCCTCTTTGGCCTTGGTCCTGCTACTAGACCATCTGCTTAGGGATCTGGAGGAGTCATAACTACTTGTGTCTCAGGTGGCAAGGCCCACCAACATCAGTTTCATAGCAGACCCTGCAACAGCTCTAAGTCTCAGCCCCAGCCCTCCTCTGAGAGCAATCCTGCCCGCAAAGAGACCCAGGGGTGATATGCTACCCATGCCCCAGGAAGCAGGCCTGCAGATTTCACTTTTGCCTGTGGACCCTGAAGCAGCCCAATGACTTGGTTCCAGCCCCTCTTAACTACCGTTAGGGCCAGTACTGCCTGCCCAAGGACTCACCCAGTGACCTAGCAGGAAGCTTACCAGGAAACAGGAGGAAGCCACACCAGTCTGTGCATCTGGTAATAGGCGCATTGTCTGCAGACCTCCATCCCAACACCAGCCCTACTGACCAAGGTCCTAGGGGCAGTCCAGTCCACCCATGGACCAGACAGGATCCACACCCATTAGAGCCCATGGTAACAAGCTTGCCAACTGTGAACTCCACTGTGGACCCAGCTCCAACCCCATTTGAGTGCCATCCCATCAATTCAGGGACCCAATAGGAGAAGGCCTTTTCCTGCTAAAACTAGTCTATAAAGACTGGAAGAGGTGTTTGTTGCTTTAAATACATAAACACCAATGCAAAGTTACATGGATAACAAAGACTCAGGTAAACATGACACCATCAAAGGAAACTGCTATGGTTTGAATATCTTTGTCCACTCCAAAATTCATGTGTTGGAAACTTAATCTCCAATGCAACAGCGTTGGGAAGTGGGGCCTCCTCCAGTTCCTTTGCCACACTGCTACCACAGAGGGATCTTTTAAGAACTCAAATCTGGCTGGGTGAGGTGGCTCATGCCTGTAATCCCAGCACTTTGGGAGGCTGAGGCAGGAGAATAGCTTGAGCCCAGGAATTTGAGATCAGCCTGGGCAACATAGTGAGATCCTGTCTCTAAAAAAAAAAATTAGCTGGGCACAGTGATCTGCACCTGTAGTCCTAGCTACTCGAGAGGCTGAGGCAGGAGGATCCTTTTGAGCCTAGAAGTTCGAGGTTGCAGTGAGATAGGATCACACCACTGCACTGGGTGGCAGAGTGAGACCCTATCTCAGAAAAAAACAAAACCCCAAATCTGATCTTGTTATTACTCCTCTGCTTACAACTCTTCAGGGACTCCTGAAGTAGTTGAGAACACACCACCCCAAATAAGCTACTCTGGTTCTTATTGATTATTTTGAGTTAAAAGCACCTAAAAAACAGCAGATGCATAAAGGGTACTCTGACTTGACTTTTTCTTCCTGAAAGCAGAAGCAGAAGATAAAACTCACATATGAAAGGTGTTCTTTTTCCTTTTCTTTTTTTTTTTTTTTTGTTTTTTTTAGACAGTCTTGCTCTGTCGCCCAGGCTGGAGTGCAGTGGCACCATCTTGATCTCGGCTCACTGCAACCTCCGCCTCCCAGGTTCAAGTGATTCTCATGGTTCAGCCTCCCGAGTAGCTGGGATTACAGGTGCCCGCCACCACATCTGGCTAATGTTTGTGTTTTTAGTAGAGATGGGGTTTCACCATATTGGCCAGGCTGGTCTCGAACTCCTGACCTCAAGCAATCCACCCACCTCAGCCTCCCAAAGTGTTGGGATTACAGGCGTGAGCCACTGTGCCCACCTAGAGGATATTCTTAACACCAGAAATAGGGAATCAAGGCCATAAAAAATCTGTATTAAAAAACCTTGTTAAATGAATTCTTATCTTCCTGGTCACTTCTCCATGATTAACTACCCTAGACCAAGTCCATATTTTCACAATTTACTACTCTTTGTCCCACTTAGCATATAATCATATGGCTCAAACTGCTTCTTTGGGTCATTTCCTTATGAAGGCTCCTGTGTCATGTAAAACTTATATTAAACAAATTTGTATGCTTTTCTCTTGTTAAGTTGTGTTTTGTTACAGAGCTCCAGCCAAGAACCCTAAGATGGGAAGGGGAAAGATTTTTCCTTCTCTACACTTCCCAATGGTTAAGTATAAAAATTGGCATTACTTGGGAGGCCGAGGTGGGTGGATCACCTGAGTTCAGGAGTTTGACACCAGCCTGGCCAACATGATGAAATCCCGTCTGTACTAAAAATACAAAAAATTAGCTGGGCGTGGTGGTGCATGCCTGTAATCCCAGTTACTCAGGAGGCTGAGGCAGGAGAATCGCGTGAACCCAGGAGGCGGAGGTTGCAGTGAACCAAGATTGCGCCACTAGACTCCAGCCTGGGCAACAAGAGCAAAACTCTGTCTTTAAAAAAAATATATATATATTGGCCATTACATGTAAACTCTTTATCCCTATGTCCTAGGCCCTGTCTGTTTTTTCAGATTTATTACCCTAGGCTCCTGGTTCCATTCTTGCTATACTATTTACAGAGGACTCAACACCTCACTCTGTTTCATGCCTCCATATATAGGGACGAGTTATTTCATCTGCAGCATATTCTGATATTCACCATTAAGCCTCTCCTGACCTACTCCAGCTGAATTAATGGAATCTTCTTCTACCAGCAAACCTGATAGCTACTTTTAGGTACTAAGTAATAACAACTCAGTCCATTGTATTTTAATAATTTATTTACATGTAATTTTCCCTTACCAGAATGTAAGATTTTAAGGCAGAGACAGTCATTCATTTCTGTATCTCCTGGAGCCAAGAAGAATGGATTGCAAATGCTCTCAACTAATACCTGTTGCTGGGGCATGGTGGCTTACACCTGTAATCACAGCAGTTTGGGAGGTCAAGGTGGGAGGATCACTTGACCTCAGGAGGTGGAGACCAGACTGGGCAACATGGTGGGACTCTGTCTCTAAAACAAGTTTAAAAATCAGCTAGACGGGCTGGCACACATCTGTAGTCCCATCTATGCGGGAGGTTGAGGCAGAAGGATAGCTTGAGCCAGGGAGGTTGGGTTTGCAGTAAGCTGGGATCACGCCACTGCACTGCAGCCTGGATGACAGAGTGAGACCCTGTCTCAAGAAAATAAAATCTGTTGAGTGGCCAGTTGAGCGAAGGGTGAATGTTAATAACAGCAGAATTGGAGAAAGTAGAATGGAGACAGAGGGCAGGTAGAGCTCATTGTAAAACTTTGGGGCCCTTGGGTTTGCACACATTTCAGTTCACGTTTTATATAATATTTTAATGTTTTCAGAGGTGGAAAACCTCATTAAAAAAACACCTATTACTTGCCTGGGACCAGTTGCTTAATGGAACTTAGGATGAAAACCTATTTGGCCACAATAGAAAGGAAACCTGTTTACAAGGAGGGCTTAGTTAGGTATTTATAATTTCCCTTTGCATCAAGGCTTCAGGGTCTTTTTCTTACCGTTTCCTTGCCTTAGACAATTCTTTTAATAGGCCTATACCCAGCTTTGTTATCTACAAAATAGGTTGTTTTGAGAGTTAATAAAATAAAACTTTGTACTTGGATCCTTTTGCTTGAAAGCCATTCTAAAAATGCAGCTGCTACCAAGTTTCAACAGTTACATTGGCAATAGCAGCCCCTGGTGGCACAGGAATTTATGTTATTGCTCACTCTGATATTTTGGAACGTGCTGTAGGCTCAGGCAGGCAGTAATATGTCCAGTGATATGTGGCAGAATATGCTATCCCAAAATATGCCACTTTGGCATAAGGATTATTTTGAGCTAAAGACACATTAAAAAAAATAGGTGCAAGAAGGGACTCTGATTCTTCCCCTTTTCTTCTTTAAAGCAGGAGATAAAACCCCCATATGGAAGATGTCCTCCCTTTACCAGAAGGAAGGCAACATTCTTATTGTCAAGGATGGGAAGTTGAGACTGAGAAAATTCTGTACAAACAGACCTTGTTAAAATAATTTTTATCTTCCTTTAGCCTCCCCACATAGTTTAGTTACTTTTCTGCCATTGCCTGTCTTTGTTCATCCTAATATAAAAGCATTTAAGTGTTCCCACTTTTGTGGGTCTTCATTTACTTATGAGGGCTTCCATGTCATACATTATATTAAATAATATAAACTTATATTAAATAAGTCTGTATGTCTTTCTCCTGTTAACCTGTCTTAATGTTAAGTTTAATTCTCGAGTCCAGCCAAAAAACCCTAAGAGGGCAGAGGTAAAATTTTGCCTCTTCTACACATACATTTGAGTAGGAGTTAAATAATGATAGCAATGTTTTTGGTTGTTCTTGTTGTTTTGTTTGTTTGTTTTTTTGAGGCAGAGTCTTGCTCTGTCGCCCAGGCTGGAGTACAGTGGCGTGATCCCAGCTCACTGCAACCTCAACCTCCCTGGCTCAAGCTATGCTGCCTCAGCCTCCTGCATAGTTGGGACTACAGACGTGTGCCACCCCACCCAGCTAATTTTTGTATTTTTAGTAGAGACAGGGTTTTACTGTGTTGGCTAGGCTGGTCTTGAACTTCTGATCTCAAGTGATCCGCCCACCTTGGTTTCCCAAAGTGCTGGGATCACAGGTGTGAGCCACCGCGCCCAGCCTGTATTTTCACTTGCTTCTAAAAGAGTAATGTATTTCTTGTGAAGGTTAATTAGAGCTGGGAGTACTCAGGAGTTCTTAGTCATGTTAAAAGAAAAACCAAACTCTGTAAAATTTTTTAGATATTTATTCAGGGCCAATGTGACTGATCACAGCCTGGGAAAGACACAAACCCAAGGAACTTTGAGTAAGTGGTCCTGAGGTGGTCAGATTACAATTTTATGCATTTCAGGGAGGCAGGAGTTACAGGCAAAGATGTAAGTCAACACATGGAAGGTGTACATTGGTTCGGTCCAAGAAGTCAGGATATGCTGAAGTGGGGACTTACAAGTTACAGGTGGATTCAGAGATTGTTTAATTTGCAATTGGTTAAAGTCATAAGGCTCTGTCTAAAACTTGGAGTCAGAAGAAAGAAATGTTGAAGATAAGGATGCTATGTCAGAGTTAGCCACAATATTTTGCGTCAAAATGACCTATTCAGCAAGACTGATGGCCTGCAGGCATGACTTAACTCTTGCCTTGCATGGCCTTAGGTCTTTCTATAATTTGGTATCTTATTGCCACAGAGTCTTATGATCCCTATTTTAACATTAATGCCAGTCAGTTGTGTCTAAACTCTAAAAGGGAGGAAGTAGAAGGATGAATGTCTGATCTCTTCCTGTTATGGGTGGAAACACAATTTTCAGGTTTCTCTGGGGTCCCCTTGGCCAAGAGGAGGTCTGTTCACTCAGTGGGAGGCTTAGGATTTTATTTTTAGTTTACAGTCAGGACCCATGGAAAACTAGGGGGTTTATAGAAAGACTTCTGAGGGATAAAGTAGCCAATAGATATTGTAGGCTACATTTGGTGGGTGTTTATATTTTGGGGAGAAAGTGTCTGAGGCTTTTATCAGATTCTGAAAGCATCTAGTAATATCAAAAAGTTTAAGATTCATATTCAGTGGACATGGAAAATAAAAATTTTAAATTAAAACACTTTTATTTTTATTTTTATTTTTGAGACAGTCTTACTCTGTCACCCAGGCTGGAGTGCAGTGGCGTGATCTCGGCTCACTGCAACCTCCACCTCCTGGGTTCAAGCAATTCTCTTGTCTCAGTCTCCTGAGTAGCTGGGATTACAGGCACCTGCCACCGCACCCAGCTAATTTTTGTATCTTTAGTAGAGACAGGGTTTCACCATGTTGGCCATGCTGGTCTTGAACTCCTGACCTCAGGTGATCTGCCTGCCTCGGCCTCCCAAAATGCTGGAATTACAGGTGTGAGCCACTGCGCACGACCAAAACACATTTTTTTAAAAAAAGCAAGGTTCATGGCTTTTCTCTGCAATGTAGAATACACATGTCCTTTAAAGCTTTCATTGAAAGATTTTTATTGCTGGGGGCAGTGGCTCATGCCTGTAATCCCAGCACTTTGGGAGGCCGAGGTGGGTGGATCACCTGAGGCCAGGAGTTCAAGACCAGCCTGGCCAAGATGGTGAAACCTTATCTCCACTAAAAATACAAAAATTAGGTCAGCGTGGTGGTGTGCATATGTAATCCCAGTTACTAGGGAGGCTGACACATGAAAATTGCTTGAATCCAGGAGGTGGAAGTTGCAGTGAGTAGAGATCCTGCCATTGTACTCCAGCCTGGGCAACAGAGTGACACTCTGTCCCCCCACAAAAAATAATTTTATTTTAGGACCTACTACTTATTTAATTTTTTCATTAAATAACTTTTTATTACAACAGTATTACATGTACACTGTAGATATTTAGAAAAATCAGATAAGCAGAAAGCCATCCTCAGTTACTAAGAGATGTACACTATAACTATGTTGGTGAATAAACTTCCAGACTTTTTCTACGTAGGTTGATAGATTTGACTCTATTTTATTTTATTTATTGAGACGGAATCTTGCTCTGTCACCAGGCTGGAGTACAGTGGCATGATTTTGGCTCACTGCAACCTCTGCCTCCTGGGTTCAAGCGATTCTCCTGCCTCAGCCTCCCAAGTAGCTGGACTACAGGCACGCGCCATCACGCCCAGCTAATTTTTGTATTTTTAGTAGAGATGAAGTTTCACCATGTTGGCCAGGATGGTCTCGATCTCTTGACCTCGTGATCCACCCACCTTGGCCTCCCAAAGTTCTGGGATTACAGGCGTGAGCCACCGCACCCGGCCTAGATTTGACTATATAAACATGGAGAAAATATTTGCATGTAGGTAACAAGCACTAATATTTCTATGCATAAAGAGCTCTTAGAAATCACTGAAGTGTCCGGGCACGGTGGCTCACGCCTGTAATCCCAGCACTTTGGGAGGCCGAGGCAGGTGGATCACGAGGTCGGGAGTTCGAGACCAGCGTGCCCAAGATGGTGAAACCTTGTCTCTACTAAAAATACAAAAATTAGCCAGGTGTGGTGGCGCACGCCTGTAGTCCCAGCTACTTGGGAGCCTGAGGCAGGAGAATCGTTTGAACCCGGGAGGCGGAGGTTGTGGTGAGCCGAGATCATGCCATTGCACTCCATCCAGCCTGGGCGACAAGAGCGAAACTCCACCTTAAAAAAAAAGAAAAGAAATCACTGAAGTGACAGAAACCCCTATAGAAAATGGACAAGGAAATAGGAAGAAATATAAGCAGCCAATAAATATAGTAAAAAAAATTTACTCTCAAAATTTAAGAAATGCGAATTAAAACAGTGAGATAATATTTTTCATGTATCATATGGCAAAGGTTATAAAGAATAATATAGCTGGGTACGGTAGTGTGTGCTCATATTCCCAGCTACTTAGCCTGAGATCGGAGGATAACTTGGGCCTGGGAGGTCGAGACTGCAGTGAGCCAACATCGTGCCACTGCACTCCAGCCTGGGCAACAGAGTGAGACTCTGTCTCAAAAATTAAATTAAATGAAATTAAAAGAATAATATCAGTCAGTGTTACTAAGGTTTCATAGAAATAGGTGCAGCCTTTCTGGTGGGTAATTTGTAAATTACGTGTTTAATAGTGCTTTTTCTGCTTGCCACCTTTTGATTTATGCTTTTTCTTTTTCACCAACCATTCTCTGCAACTTCTGTAAGTACATGTAAAACAATCTATAGTTTGTCACTAAGTTTGGTTTACTTGGAGCCATGGAAGCAACTCTGAATTTGCCTTTTATAAAATTATTTTAGGAAAAGAAATATATTTTTTCTATTGTAAAAAATGCCTCTGGCCAGGTACAGTGGCTCACACCTGTAATCCCAGCACTTTGGGAGGCTGAGGTGGGTGGATCACCTGAGGTCAGGAGTTTGAGACCAGCCTGGCCAACATGGTGAAACCCCTTCTCTACAAAAAATACAAAAATTAGCTGGGCGTGGTGGCGCATGCCTATAATCCCAGCTACTTGGGAGGCTGAGGCAGGAGAATCACTTGAACTTGGGAGGTGGATGTTGCAGTGAACCGAGATTGTGCCACTGCACTCCAGCCTGGGCAACAGAGTAAAACTTTGTCTCAAAAAAAAAAAAAAGAATACCTCTTTACTGGATAAACATTAATTAAAGTAGTCTAGATGAGTAGATTCTCAACAATGTGGCACTGCCTTGAAAGGGGCATTTCAGTTGTCACTTTTTTTTTTTTTTGAGATGAAGTTTTGCTCTTGTCCCCAAGGCTAGAGTGCAGTGGCACCATCTCTGCTCACTGCAGCCTCTGCTTCCTGAGTTCAAGCAATTCTCCTGCCTCAGCCTCCCGAGTAGCTGGGACTACAGACATGTGCTACCATGCCTGGCTAATTTTTGTATTTTCAGTTTCACCATGTTGGCCAGGCTGGTCTCGATCTCCTGACCTCAGGTGATCCACCCACCTCAGCCTCCCAAAGTGCTGGGGTTACAGGCGTGAGCCACCATGCCCGACCTCAGTTGTCACTTTGAAGGAAGGGTAGGAATGGAATAGGTGGGAGAGAGGTCAGATATATAAGACATCTTCCCATGCAGGGTACGTTCATAAAGGTGAAAAACCTGTTTGTTATTATCTAAGCCTAAAGTCAAACTCTATTTTATATAGAAACACAATGTATTATTATTATTATTTTATTTTTTTGAGACGGAGTCTCCCTCTTTCACCCAGGCGACAGAGTGCAGTGGCGTGATCTCGGCTCACTGCAAGCTCCACCTCCCAGGTTCATGCCATTCTCCTGCCCCAGCCTCCCGAGTAGCTGGGACTACAGGCGCCCGCCACTAGGCCCGGCTAATTTTTTTGTATTTTTAGTAGAGATGGGGTTTCACCGTGTTAGCCAGGATGGTCTTGATCTCCTGACCTCGTGATCCGTCTGCCTCGGCCTTCCAAAGTGCTGGGATTAGAGGCGTGAGCCACCGTGCCCGGCAACACAATGTATTTTTAGTTTAGCATTAATATATACAGAATATTCCAGCTTTGCAATGACTGTAGAGTGAGGAAAGAGTGTTTTTTGTTGTAAACTTTACCAACTGTTGTTCACATTTCAGAACATCAGTTCTTAACATTTCAGAACATCATGTTACCAGAAGCAACTGCCCTCCCTCTGGAGTCACCAATACCACACACCTGTATCAATTTGCATTTGTAGAAGTCACAGGTGGTTCTACATAAAGATGTAAAGATGCAGACATCTGGCTACTTTGTATGTCTTTTAGTCAACTAGTATAGGTGTACCCAAACACACATATTATATTATAAATTCCTTTTCATTTTATGATAAATTACAATTAGGTCATTAAATTGATTTTTCAATTGAGATATTCACATACTGTGAAACTAATCTTTTAAAGTGTACAATTCAGTGGGTTTTAGTATATTAACAAGGTTGTGCTTCCACTTCCGGAATGTTTTCATCATGCCCCAAAGAAACTCTGTACCTATAAACAGTCACTACCCATTCGTCCCCTTCTCCAGATTCTGCCAACTATTACATTACTTTCAGTCTCCATGGATTTGTCTATCCTGGACATTTCATATAAATGGATGTCCAATATTTGGCCTTTTATATCTGGCTTCTTTTACTAATCCTGTTTTTAAGTCTCATTCACGTTGTAGCATGTATCAGTACTTTATTCCATTTTATGGCTGAATAATATATTGATTTTAAAAAATTATATGGGTGGGAAGTTATATTAGCTATGCATTTCATTTCAGGATAGTAAATAAGGTGTTAAAATATTTGTCATATAAAAGAACATTGGATCAGAGCCACTGATCTAGCTGGAAAGACAAGTGTATATAAAAAGGCAATTAACAACCCAAAGAAAAACATTATGTAATCAGGAGATAGTTAAACTTCCTGAAAAAAAGGATGACAGGTAAGGATTAGGCAGAGATTAAATCTGAGTGATCGATCCTATTCAGTTAATGGGTTGGCAAGTCCTGGAATGAGATACAGCCATCTAAAAATTAAACTGCCAAACTTATAGGCTGCTACCCCATCTCCAGTAATCTCTGCGAGCAATCTTTCTTTCCAGTAGGCTCTGCAGTGATGAAGGGGATCAGGGGAAGCAAAGTGACCCTACTGGAACCAAACGGATATTTCCGTGGAGGTATCCTAAGGGGATGGGTGTTGCAGAGCAAAGCTGTAAGCTGCCAACTCTGACCCCTGGGGAAGCCTTGCCTCCAGGTTCCCCGAGGTTCCCCGTGGTGGTTTTGCACAGGCTATTTAGGCACATCTCGGCCGCCGTGGCGGGGCACGGCTCAGCTGTTGCGGGGCGGGGCCTTCGCAGAGCATGGCGGCGGGCGAGCTTGAGGGTGGCAAACCCCTGAGCGGGCTGCTGAATGCGCTGGCCCAGGACACTTTCCACGGGTACCCCGGCATCACAGAGGAGCTGCTACGGAGCCAGCTATATCCAGAGGTGCCACCCGAGGAGTTCCGCCCCTTTCTGGCAAAGATGAGGGGGATTCTTAAGGTACTGCTCTTTTCTGTAGTCTCCGGCTTGGAGCAGAACCCCTTGGCCGCTGGCTTCAGACTCTCCCCCCCTTGCCTTCCCCTGTCCTCACAAGCCGAAAGGCTTTTCCCTCTCAGACCTCCACTCCGTGGGCTCCACATCGGGCTCCTTCAGATTTGCTCGTTCTGTCGCCCCTTCTCTCTTTCCTAAGGGGGACTTTTTCTGCTGAAGTTCCCAGTCCCCCGGTAGACTGACACCCACAGGGGTTTTTCCTTCAAGACATTTCTGTCTCTTGGTAACAGTCGCGTTTCCTCAGCAGATCTGTGGGATCTGGTGTTTTTAAAATTAAGAGTTTTAGGTCGCTAGCTTTCCCCGGTTGTGGAAGTTGGGAGCGTTAAAATGAGCCAGTGTCTGCTGGATAAGGGGTGGCTTAGCCCGAGTGACATCTGTCAAGCAGTCCACTGCGTGGTTAAAAGAGCATAATTACCAGCTTGAAGTCAAAGTATAGACTAGATCGTCCAATAGAAATATGTGAGCCAAAAAGGTGAAATTAATATTTTAGTAATATATCTTATTTAATCCAGAATAGCCAAAGTATTATCACTTCACATGTAATCAATATACAGAATATTGACAAGATTTTTTGTTACTTTTTTCACTAAATCTTCGAAATCCAGTATTTTACACTTAAAGCACATATCTCGGACTTGCCAAATTTAAGTGCTCAGTAGTCACATATGGCTAATAACCATCATATTGGACAACTCTATTTAGACCGAGAACTAGTTATAGGAATGTAGTGTCAATGTACTCTAGAGACAAACTGTAAAAAAATTACTGACTTTTATAGGTCTCCTATGTGTTAGGAACGTACTGAGATGTTTTACATGTTGTTTCATTTGTTTCTTGAAAAAAAAACCTTATATAGTGGACACCCATGGTAAAGATTTAAGAAACAGGTCCAGGGAATCTAAACAGCCTAAAATTCATTTTGATTAAAGTCAGTGTTGAAATTTAATCCACTATCCTTTTGAATTTGCTATTTTTTCAAAGCTGTTTATTCTTTAAAAGGCACTTCTGTATTTTTTTAAACTGATTTTGCCTACAGGATTTGAATCCAGAAAAAAAGCAAATGAAAACAAATATTTCACACAGTAAATGGATTGTCTCATGGAAATGTAAGGAGTAATATCTCAGGTGTGATCCTAGACATTCTAAGTAATCTTAGTTGATATCAGTCATAAATCACTAGTGAATGCTTTCTATTTCTTTTGTTTTTTCTTTTTTTGAGACGAGTTTTGCTTTGTTGCCAGGCTGGAGTGCAGTGGCCCGATCTCGGCTCACTGCAATCTCCACCTCCTGGGGTTCGAGCCATTCTCCTGCCTCAGCCTCCCGAGTAGCTGGGGTTACAGGCATGCGCCACCACACCCAGCTAATTTTTGTATTTTTAGTAGAGACTGGGTTTCACTATGTTGGCCAGGATGGTTTTGATCTCCTGACTTCGTTATCCGCCTGCCTCGGCCTCCCGGAGTGCCAGGATTACAGGCGTGAGCCACCCGGCCCGGCCAAATGCTTCCTATTTCTATCAAATTTTACTCTTTGAGCAGTCCAAGAGAGTTTCCTAGAAAATTTGACATCTGGGTTTTTGAGGTGTTTGGTCTCCTATGGGGATGAGGCCTATATCTCTTCTGCAGGCTAAGAAGAGACAACAGCACATGTGTAGGTAATGCTTTAGAATCTCCAAACATTGGGGGCTACTTCTCCTCTCTAGGTGGACGACATTTTGATTCATTTGTTTTGTTAGGAGATAAAACAGCAGGATACCCAGGGAAGAGTTTGCCTGAAAACTCTCTTATTTTATTTTTATTTTGAGATGGAATTTTGCTTTTGTTGCCCAGGCTGGAGTGCAATGGTGTGATCTCCGCTCTCTACAACCTCCGCCTCCCGGGTTCAGGTGATTCTCCTGTCTCAGCCTCCTGTGTAGCTGAGATTACAGGTGTCCACCACCACGCCTGACTAATTTTTTTATTTTTAGTAGCGACAGGGTTTCACCATGTTGGCCAGGCTAGTCTTGAACTCCTGATAGCTGATCTGCCCACCTTGGCCTCCCAAAGTGCTGGGATTACAGGTGTGAGCCACTGCATCCGGCTTTACTTTATTTTAAATACATTGCTGAATAATAATATCCAGGATACTTGAAGTTTTCAAGTGGCTCTGTGTTGTGGAGTGGCATGGCTCTCTTGGTGTTGGGAGTAGGCAACAGAAGATTTGCAGGTGCCTGGCAGCACACTGATTAGTCTGAGGAACGAAGGGATATGCCTTTGATTGTTTTACATAGGGCTGAAACCGTGGGCTCAGGATGACATTCAGTTCCAATCTTTATTGAACTCTTTTTTTTTTTTTTTTTTGAGACGGAGTCTCGTTCTGTTGCCAGACTGGAGTGCAGTGGCGCCATCTCGGCTCACTACAACCTCCACCTCCCGGGTTTAAGTGATTCTCCTGCCTCAGCCTCCCGAGTAGCTGGGACTGCAGGCATGCACTGCAGCGCCCAGCTAATTTTTGTAATTTTTGGAGAGATGGGGTTTCACCATGTTGGCCGGGATGGTTTTGATCTCTTGACCTCATGATCTGCCTGCCTCAGCCTCCCAAAGTGCTGGGATTACAGGCGTGAGCCACTGCACCCAGCCTTTATTTAACTTAAAAGCAACACTGAGGGTTAAATTTCTCTAATTATTATTTTTTGAGACGAGTCTCGCTTTGTTGCCCAGGCCAGAGTGCAGTGGCGTGATCTCAGCTCACTGCAACCTCTGCCTCCCGGATTCAAACAATTCTCTGCCTCAGCCTCCCGAGTGGCTGGGATTACAGGCACCAGCCACCACGCCCGGCTAATTTTTTTGTTTTTTTGTTTTTCAGTAGAGACGGGGTTTCACCATCTTGGCCAGGCTGGTCTTGAACTCCTGACCTCGTGAGCCACCTGCCTCCACCTCCCAAAGTGCTGGGATTACAGGCGTGAGCCACTGAGCCCTGCCAAATTTCTCTAATTCTTATGGAAACATAAAAAACAAACATGATTTTAATTTATTTTTGTTTTAATATTATTTTTTGAGACGGAGTATCGCTCTTGTTGCCCAGGCTGGAGTGTAAGTAATGGTGCAATCTCGGCTCTCCGCAACCTCTGCCTCCCAGGTTCAAGCAATTGTCCTGCCTCAGCCTCCTGAGTAGCTGGGATTACAAGCATGCACCACCACACCAGGCTAATTTTGTATTTTTAGTAGCGATGGGGTTTCTCCACGTTGGTCAGGCTGGTCCCGAGCTCCCGACCTCAGATGATCTGCCCGCCTCGGCCTCCCAAAGTGCTGATTACAGGCATGAGCCACCGCGCCTGGCACAAACATGATTTTTACACTGAAAGGTTTTGCAGATAGAACCTCTATCTGCAGTAAGAGGGAACATACACAAATAAGCATGATGCAAGGATGTGATTGTATTTGTAAATAGAATTGTGAGTAAGCACCTGAAGATAGATTAAGAGATATCAGTTCTTTCTGGCAGGCTTCTTAGATATGCCATTTTTGCTGCCCTTGAAGAAAGTATAGCATATTTTAGACTGAGATGAAGGGTAGCCGTATACAGGATTCTGAGTTAAGAACATAGCATGGGTGGGGTAGGAAAAAAGCAGGTTCAGGAAATGGTGAATAGTCCAGTTTGATCACAATATGGGGGTAACCAATGTGGAGTATTGGTGGAGGAGGCAAGAAAAAAATGAAACAACCTTTTATTCTTATAATCTTGCTAACTTCTATTGCTGCTCTTAAGCAGGATGTACATTTTTCATATAAATGACAACAGAGTTCATACTTTCAGTTATCTATGTAATATCATGGTCTGTGAAGAAAGTGAAAATGAAGGGTGACAAGAGGGTAGAAGCAAAGGAAGGAAGGAGGGGACATGTACTTCCCAGCAGGGGATACAGCGGACACACGTGTTAACAGCCTCCTTATTGCCAACTGCCTGGAAATATATTTCACAGGCCATGTTTTCAGGTTCAGGTGCTCCCTGAGCTGTAGCCCTTCCCTCTGACTTTCATGTTGTGTGCCAAGGTGTTATGTAGTGATTCCTGGCTTTTGTACTGGTTCTGTTTTCTGTTTAGAATGGAGCCCTCCTATCCTACTTGACTGGGACATTGACCCTCTCTAGCTTTGCCTGTTAATCACAAAAGGACAAACCTTTCACCTGCTTGTAGATATGCGAAGCTGGCCATTCACTTGCTCTAGTTTTTATTTTTGGGTAGACCCTAAGGAACAATGAAGTCAATGAATTGGGAATGGTGTGTTTATTTAAGGAGATAACATCCTATAGATAAATACTCTTGTATTTATATATAAAATATATAAAAGGCAGTTGCTAAACACTGCCCCCCCCTTTTTTTTTAAGACGGAGTCTCACTCTCTTGCCCAGGCTGGAGTGCGGTGGCTCGATCTTGGCTCACTGCAACCTCTACCTCCTGGGTTCAAGCAATTCTGCCTCAACCTCCTGAGTAGCTGGGATTACAGACACCCGCCACCACACCCAGCTAATTTTTGTATTTTAGTAGAGATGGGGTTTCACCACGTTGGCCAAGCTGGTCCCGAACTCCTAACTTCAAGCAGTCCACCCTCCTTGGCGTCCCATAGTGTTGGGATTACAGGTGTGAGCCACTGCGTCCGGCCCAACACTGCTATTTTAATCTACTTTTTTTGCTCACATTATAATTCAACTTCTTATAGGTATGAGTTTGCGTGATCTTTATTGCTATTGCTGTTAACCTTGTGGATATGCTCAATTCCAGTAAATCCCAGTTTACTGAAAGAGCATAATCTAACTATGAAGATCAATCACCTTTTGTATACCTTAGTCTGTATTCACTACTGCCCTCTGGTGATGATTTTGTATTTCCTCATTGGAATTTTAAACAAAAAATTTTAGGCCGGGCGCCACGGCTCACGCCTGTCATCCCAGCACTTTGGGAGGCCGGGTCAGGTGGATCACCTGAAGTCCCTGGTTCAAGATCAGCCTGACCAACGTGGAGAAACCCCGTCTCTACTAAAAATACAAAATTAGCCAGACATGGTGGTTCATGCCTGCAATCCCAGCTACTCGAGAGGCTGGGGTGGGAGAATCACTTGAACCCGGGAGGCGGAGGTCGTGGTGAGCCGAGATCGCGCCATTGCACTCCAGCCTGGGCAACAAGAGCGAAACCCCATCTAAAAAAAAAAAAAATTTTTTTTTTTAATGAAAATTCTCCTTTTGTGTTGTCTATTACTAATTCATATACTCTAGTACTCATTTATATCAATCAAATGTTAATTTATCCAGGCTGGGCTCAGTGGCTCACGCCTGTAATCCCAGCACTTTGGGGAGGCCAGGGTGGGCGGATCACCTGAGGTCAGGAGTTTGAGACCAGCCTGGCCAACATGGTGAAACCCCGTCTCTATTAAAAATACAAAAAATTAGCTGGTTGTAGCAGCAGGTGCTTATAATCCCAGCTACTTGTGAGGCTGAGGCAGGAGAATGGCTTGAACCTGGGAGGTGGAGGTTGCAGTGAGCCGGGATGGCACCATTGCACTCCAGCCTGGGCAATGAGCAAAACTCTGTTATTTATTTATTTATTTAGAGACAGGGACTCACTCTGTCACGCAGGCTGGAGCGCAGTGGTGCAGTCATAATTCACTGTAGCCCTGAACTGACCACGAGTGATCCTCCTGCCTCAGTCTCCCAAAGTGCTGAGATTACAGGCATGAGCCATCCTGCCTAGATCCTATTTTAGAAGTCTAGAAATACTTGCAACAGCATATAGTGGCCTTCCTGTTCCACTCCTGCCCTCTACAGTCTGTCCTCTGCATAGGTACCAGTGATCCTTTAAAAAAGTGCGTTATACCTCTTTACTCTCCTGCTCTCAACTATTTCATGTTCCTGGCTTCACATCAAACTTAGAATAAAATTCAGTCCTTCTGCCCTAGGCCACAGGTCCTTACATGATCTTACCCTTACTCACTTCTCTGATCTCATTTTCTCATTTCCAGCACTCTAATCTTGTCCTTATTTAATCATGTGAAGTGTTTTTCCTGTAGATATTCATGTGGCTTGTTCATTTGTTTAATTCATTCTCTACCTGAACGTCATTTCCTATGAGCTCTTCCCTGACTTATATTATAAAGACCCTCATTCTTCCTTCCTCTTACTTTTTACCTGGCTTTACTTTTTCTTCATACTTAGTATTACCTGAAATTATATTATGTATTTATCAGCTTATTTATTTGTTAACTATTCTACTAGAATGTAAGCATTAGGAGGGCAGGACTTTATTATTATTATTGTTTCTTCTTTATTCCTTATACCTAATATTGTGTCTGGCATGTAGTAGGCACTTAGTAAAAGTTTGTAGAATAAGTGAATGAATTGAGAGTGTTTAAATGTGGAGATTGCTATTAAAAAGATTGGCATAGAGAGAAAACATATACCACTTACCATATGAGGAAAGCTAGGAAATGTAGTACTCTAAACCAGGGGTCAGCAAACTATGTCCTTTGGGACTAATCTGGCCTGTTGCCTGTCTTTAGAAATAAAGTTTTATTTTAGGCCAGGTGCGGTGGCTCATGCCTGTAATCCCAGCACTTTGGGAGGCCAAGGCGGGCAGATCACGAGATCAAGAGATGGAGACCATCCTAGCCAACATGGTGAAATTCCATCTCTACTAAAAATACAAAAATTAGCTGGGTGTGGTGGCATGTGCTTGTAGTCCCAGCTACTCAGGAGGCTGAGGCAGGAGAATTGCTTGAACCTGGGAGGTGGAGGTTGCAGTGAGCCGAGATCGTGCCACTGCACTCCAGCCTGGCGACAGAGCAAGACTCCATCTCAAAAAAAAAAAAAAAACAGTTTTATTGTAACATGACTACATGCTCATTTACTTATATCTTGTCTGTAGTAGCTTTAGCCACTCTAATAACAGAATTGAATGGCTGTGATAGAGGTCATGTGACCTTCAAAGCCAAAAATATTTACCATCTGAACGTTTACAGAAAAAGTTTGCTGACCTGCGTGGTGGCACAGGCCTGCAGTAGCAGCTACTCAGGAGGCTGGAGTGAGAAGATTGCTTGAGCCCAAGAACTCAAGGCTGTAGGGCAGCATGGTTTTGCTTGTGCATAGCCACTGCACTCCAGTCTAGGCAACAGAGGGAGACTCCATCTCTAAAAATTTAAAAGAAAAAAGTGGCCAGGTGCAGTGGCTCATGCCTGTAATCCCAGCACTTTGGTAGGCCAAGGTGGGTGGATTGTGAGGCCAGGAGTTCGAGGCCACCCTGGCCAACATAATAAAACCCCATCTCTACTAAAAATACAAAAATTAGCTGGGCATGGTGGTGTGCACCTGTAGTCCCAGCTACTCGGGAAGCTGAGGCAGGAGAATCCCTTGAACCTGGGAGGCGGAGGTTGTGGTGAGCCAAGATCGCACCACTGCACTCCAGCCTGGGCAACAGAGTGAGACTCCATCTCAAAAAAAAAAAAAAAAAAAAGAGAAAAGTGGCCGGGCATGGTGGCTCATGCCTGTAATCCCAGCACTTTGGGAGGCCGAGGCAGATGGATCATGAGGTCAGGAGATCGAGACCATCCTGGCTAAAATGGTGAAAATACAAAAAATTAGCTCTACTAAAAGTTGGCTCTACTAAATTAGCTCTACTAAAAAATTAGCTCTACTAAAAATTGGCTCTACTAAAAATTAGCTCTACTAAAAATTGGCTCTACTAAAAATTGGCTCTACTAAAAATACAAAAAATTAGCTGGGCATGGTGGCGGGCTTCTATAGTCCCAGCTACTCAGGAGGCTGGGGCAGGAGAATGGCATGAACCCGGGAGGCAGAGCGTACAGTGAGCCAAGATTGCACCACTGCACTCCAGCCTGGGCAACAGAGCGAGACTCCATCTCCAAAAAAAAAAAAAAAAAAAAAGAAAAGTGTGTTAACCTCTGTTCCAAACATCTGTTCTCAAACTCATAATGTTTATTATAATATTTGGAACCCCCCTGGGTGCGGTGGCTCACGCCTGTAATCCCAGCACTTTGGGAGGCTGAAGTGGGCGGATCATGAGGTCAGGAGATCAAGACCATCCTGGCCAACATGGGGAAACCCCGTCTGTACTAAAAATACAAAAAAATTAGCCACGTGTGGTGGTGGGAGCCTGTAGTCCCAGCTACTTGGGAGGCTGAGGCAGGAGACTGGCGTGAACCCAGGAGGCGGAGCTTGCAGTGAGCGGAGATTGCGCCACTGCACTCCAGCCTGGTCAACAGAGGGAGACTCCATCTCAAATAAATAAATAAATAAAATTGGAAACAATATAATATATAAATTATGTTTTGAAGTTGGTTACTTGATAAATATCTACAAATTGGAAATGGGGACTATTTGCTCTTTGAGGAATTTCACTAGCTTGTTCTTTAGACTCCTGAGATCTGTAGTAAATTAAAAATGACCTCTAGCCTGGCCAGCATAGTGAAACCTTGTCTCTACTAAAAATACAAAAATTAGCCATGAAACCTTGTCTCTACTAAAAATACAAAAATTAGGCATGGTGGCGTGTACCTGTAGTCCCAGCTATTTGGGAGGCTGAGGCAGGAGAATTGCTTGAACCCCAGAGGTGGAGGTTGCAGTGAGCCAAAATTGCACTACTGCACTCCAGCCTGGGCGACAGACGGGACTCTGTCTCAAAACAAAAAATAGTAATAAGATGTTAAGAATGATAATAGGAAAAGATTATAAGAAATAATTGTGGTTGGGCGAGGTGGCTCATGCCTGTATTTCAGCACTTTGATTTGTTTTCTGGGGTTTTTTGTTTTGTTTTTTGAAACAGAGTCTCACTCTGTTGCCCAGGCTGGAGTGCGGTGGTGCAAACTTGGCTCACTGCAACCTCCGCATCCTGGGTTCAAGCGATTCTCGTGTCTCAGCCACCCGAGTGGCTGGGATTACAGGTGTGTGCCACCACGCCTGGCTAAATTTTGTGCTTTTGTTGAGACAGGGTTTCACCATGTTGGTCAGGCTGGTCTCAAATTCCTGGCCTCAAGTGATCCACCCACCTGGGCCTCATGTTTGGGATTACAGGCATGAGCCACTGTACCTGGCCAAATTCCTTTCTTTTCTTTCCTTTTTTTTTTTTTTTGAGATGGACTTTTGCTCTTGTTGCCTATGCTGGAGTGCAATGGCATGATCTCGGCTCACTGCAACCTCTGCCCCACCAGGTTCAAGCAATTCTCTTACTTCATCCACCCAAGTAGCTGGGATTACAGGTGTGCACCACCATGTCTGGCTAATTTTTGTATTTTTAGTAGAGATGGGGTTTCGTCATGTTGGTCAGGTTGGTCTCCAACTCCTGAGCTCAAGTGAACCGCCTGCCTTGGCCCCACTAAGTGCTAGGATTACATGCGTGAGCCACTGCACCCAGCCCGGATTATTTTATCTCTTTTTTTCTATTCTCTTTCTTGCACTCTGATTTTTCAAATGTTAGACCTCCTAGACTGATTATTCTAATTTTCTCTTATTTTCTACCCCATTTTTCATGTGTTTTTTTCCCACTTTTTGATTGACTTCCTTAACTTTATCTTCTAGCCTTCAAACACATTTAAAAATTGATTAAAAATTTCTTAAGAGACATAGTCTCACTCTGTCACCCAGGCTGGAGTGCAGTGGCATGATCATGTCTCACTTGCAGCCTTGACCTCTTGGGCTCCAATGATCCTCCCACCTCAGCCTTTTGAGTAGCTGAAACTGTAAATGCTCACCACCATGCCTGCCTAATTTTTTTATTTTTATCTTTTTTTAGAGACAGAATCTCCCCATATCGTCCAGGGTGGTCTCAAATTCCTGGGCTTAAGCAACCCTCTCTCTTTAGCCTCCCAATTGCTGGGATTACAGGTATGAGCCACCACGCTTGGCCTTTTATAGCCTTTATTTAACTTATTTATTTTATTTAGTTTTTTTGATTATTAAAAATAAAATAGAGATGGGGTCTTATGTTGTCCAGGCTGGTTTTCAACTCCTGGGCTCAAGTGATCCTCCTGCCTCAGCCTCCTAAAGTGCTGGGATTACAGGCATGAGCCACTGCGCCCAGCCTATTTATTTATTTATTTGAGACAAGGTCTCACTATGTTGCCCAGGCTGGAGTGCAGTGGTGTGCACATGGTTTACTGCAGTCTTGACCTGTCGGGCTCAAGTGATTCTCCCACCTGAACCTCGATCTACAGGTGTGTGGCACCACTCCTGGCTAAATTTTTTGTATTTCTTTGTAGAGATGGGTTTCACCATGTTGCCCAGGCCGGTCTCAAACTCCTGGACTCAAGTGATCTTCCTGCCTTGGCATCCCAAAGTGCTGGGATTACAAGCCTGAACCACCACACCTGGTCTCTTCTGGCCTTTTAATTGAATTTTTCATTTAATCATGTTTTAAATTTCCAAGAGTTATCTTCTCTTAAGAACAATATACTACTATGTTTAGCCAACAGCCTTTTCTTTCTTTCAGACACAAGGTGGAGTATACTGTACATAACTTTCTGCATTTTGCTTTTTAAATTTTATTTATTAAAGATGAGGTCAAGCTCTGTTGACCAGGCTGGAGTGCAATGGCGTGATCATAGCTCACTGCAGCCTTGACTTCTGGGGCTCAAGCGATCTTCCTACTTCAGCCCCCTGAGTGGCTGGGACTACAGGTGTGTGCCAACATGCCCGGCTAATTTAAAAAAAAAATTTTTTTTAGCGACAGGGTCTCCCTATGTTGTCCAGGCTGGTTTTGAACTCCTGGGCTCAAGTGATCTATCCACCTCGGCCTCCCAAAGTGCTGGGATTACAGGCATAAGCCACCATGTCTGACCTGTATTTAGCTTTTTAAAAATTTAATCGTCTCAACTGTGATTTTAAAATGCAGTATTTGGAATGTAGTATTAGGAATTTAGTCCATTTGTACCCAGCACTCGAAGTTCTTTTTAGAGGATTTTGACAAACATTTTATTGCTAAGACATTTTGGGGTATGATGTAAATTGTGAAGAAGTTAAATGCCTTCATTTAACCTCTTTATATTTTAAATATTCCAGTAGTTTGGTGTTTTGCATATTGTAGTATTATTTTAAAAGCATAATTTGATCCTGCTTGCTAAATACCTGGGAAATTTTTATGGAAAGCAATTGCAGTAAAAACAGAAGCTTAGAAGTGCATTTGGGGCCGGACACAAAGGCTCATGCCTGTAATCCCAGCACTTTTGGAGGCCGAGGTGGGTGGATCACTTGAGGTCAGGAGTTTGAGACCAGCCTGGCCAACATGATGAAACCCCGTCTCTGCTAAGACTACAAAAAAAATTAGCCGGGTATGGTAGCGTGCACCTGTAATCCCAGTTACTGGGGAGGCTGAGGCAGGAGAATCGCTTGAACCCGGGAGGCGGAGGTTGCAGTGAGCCGAGATTGTGCCACTGTACTCCAGCCTGGGAGACAGAGCCAGACTCCAGTTTAAAAAAAAAAAAAAAGTGCATTTGGTATCAAGTTTACAAAATGGCTGAAGTTTACTATGCGTTAGTGATGAGTTTTTTAAAATCAAAGAATGGCATTATTAATGAATGGTATTAATATTATCATGTATTACCTTTTTGATATTTTAGAGTGAATTTAAGAAGAAACTTCGCTCATACTTTTTTTTTTTTGAGACGGAGTCTCGCTGTGTCTCCCAGGTTGGACTGCAGTGCCGTGATCTCGGCTCACTGCAAGCTCTGCCTCCCTGGTTCACGCTATTCTTCCGCCTCAGCCTCCGGAGTAGCTGGGACTACAGGCTCCCACCATCACGCCCGGCTAATTTTGTTTTTGCATTTTTAGTAGAGACGGGGTTTCACCGTGTTAGCCAGGATGGTCTTGATTTCCACTCCTCGTGATCCGCCCGCCTTGGCTTCCCAAAGTGCTGGGATTACAGGCGTGAGCCACTGCGCCCGGCCTCGCTTACACATTTTGGATAACATATGTTAATAAGAAGTTAACTTGAGTATAAAATAATGGATGTAGAATATATAGTCTTAAAGTGTTTATATTAGGAAACAGAAGAGACTGGTAACTTTTGACTTCTTAGGTCATACTTTTAGGTTTCATTTGTATTCTGTCTACATCCTTAACTATAAGCAGTAATTCTGTTTTTCTACTGTAGGTGGCAGTGGAATATTGGCTTGCCAATGCACTGATAAAGTATGCTAGAAGCAACATCATGTTGAAATGTTCTTTCTCTGGAATGTTTCTAGTTCAGAAAATGCTCAAAAGTTGGCTACTCAACAATAAAAATTTATTATCCAAAAAGATGTCTAAATATTTGACTTGATATTTTTAATTTAGAAATACCATTTTCTGGAAAATTTAAAGTTCTATAAATATATTCCTTTTAGTTCTCTAGTTTTTAAGCGACTAAGTTTTGCTAATTTCACTGAACATTTTTGAGACTTTAGATGGTAATACATGAGACATATTATTCATTCTCTGAAGAATAGACAAATGACTGATGTTACTTTTTTATAACACTGGACGTCATATGATAAAGCAGCAATTGCAGATTACCCACCTGGGATTTGTAGAGTATTTTAATAGACTCAGGTGACCTGTAATGAGGCCAAATGTCCTGTAAATCTTTTTTCTTAGTTTAGGGCAAAACCCATTCAATTAATCTATTTTTGGTTTTCCTTTTCTCAAAGCAGCTATTCTGGGCCTGGAAACTTGACTTGGGTTAAAGGAGTGGCTGGGTAAGGAGATTTTAAAGGAAATGTTTATCTTTGATTTACCTATTAAATACATACTAAACCCCTAATATGCTGAACCTTGCTCTATACACAAGGTAAATGTCACTGTCCCTATCTTATATATGATAAATGCCATGAGAAAGGTATAAATGATGCAGTCTGGTGGAGTGGATCCTTAAACTGCAGAAATATGAAAAAAAATCATGATTTTTTTGTCTTAATAAAACACCCACATTTTTAGCTCTATCTTAATGTAGAATGCAGTTTTTATAAATTTGGACTTCTGTTATGTGGTTCATCTTTGACAAAAATTTATGTTTCAAGTAAATGTTTAAAACAATAATTTTAGAAATTTGGAGATGGTTTCTGTTACCTGTGCTTTATTTGTAAGATTAACTTTTTTTTTTCTTTTGAGATGGAGTTTTGCTCTTGTTGCCCAGGCTGGAGTGCAATGGTGTGATCTCGGCTCACCGAAGACTCTGCCTCTCAGGTTTAAGCGATTCTCCTGCCTCAGCCTCCCGTGTAGCTGGGATTACAGGCATGCGCCACCATGCCCAGCTAATTTTGGATTTTTAGTAGAGACAGGGTTTCTCCATGTTGCTTCAGGCTGGTCTCGAACTCCCAAGCTCAGGTGATGTGCCCGCCTCGGCCTCCCAAAGTGCTGGGATTACAGGCGGGAGCCACCGTGCCTGGGCTCGGCCTCTTTTTTTTGTTTTTGAGGCAGCGTCTTGTTCAGTCTCCCAGACTGGAGTGCAGTGGTGCCATCGCAGCTCACTGCAGCCTCTGCCGCCCGGGCTCAAGCGATCCTCCCACCTCAGCCTCTCAAGTAGCTGAGACTACAGGCATGCACTACTACACCTAACTAATTTTTGTATTTTTTTTTTTTGTAGAGACAGGGTTTTGCCATGTCGATCAGGCTTCATCGCGTTTTTTTTTTTTTTTCATTGAGTAGAGAACCAGTTTTTATCTATTCACAGACAGGTTGATTTGACAAGTTTTATATAGTTTAATTTGGCTCAGCTTTGTCTTTACAAATAGATTGTGAGGTAGGAACTGGTGCCCTGAGTTTTGCTTCTTTTAAATGCCTTTATAACAGAGAATTGTTTTGCTTTAAAGCTGCATAGCACATAACTAAATAAATTTGAATATTTTCCTCCCTAAGTTGTATACCTCTACTATTGTCTCGTCTTTTACAGCTTCTCCAATAGTTCTTTAAAGGTCTAGTACAGACTGGGTGCAATGACGCATGCCTATAATCCCAGCACTTTGGGAGGCTGAGGTGGGAGGATTGCTTGAGGCCAGGAGTTCGAGACCAGCCTGGGCAACATAGGGAGCCCCTGTCTCTACAAAAAAATAAAAAAAATCAGCCAGGCATACTAGCCCATGTCTGTGGTCCCAGCTACTCAGGAGGCAGGAGGCCAAGGATCACTTGAGCCCCAGAGGTTGAGGATGTGCAGGAGGATCACTTGAAAAAGATCTAGTACAGCTAGTGCAGTATTTTTCTGTCTTTTCTCTTTTTCTTTATTATTATGTCATTTAAATTTCCACAGGCTCAGGAATATTCTCCTGTTTAGACCTATGAATTTCAGCTGGTAGTAGGGCTATGGTTATAAGAGATGACCTCTAAGCAATTCTGATTCTTGAGCAGTAATTTTTTTTTACACAAAAATGTTAATTTTTACAATGAAGTTGGATACTATGCTAATCAAGTACTCTTTCCCAGGAGAAGGTTCAATGGACCATCAACAGTACTGCAGAGAGAGTTCTAAAAATAAAGAGGGAAAGAAAGAACATACTTTTTTTTTTTTTTAAACTTTGTAATTGCTTCTGGAGACTCTCCCACACTTACATTTCTGAGTTGGCCAAAAGTGTTCCTCTAAAAAAGGCTAAATTCTTTCCCCATGAAGTTAAAGGCTGAGGTGTTGCTTGGAGTGTTTAATAGGAAGAAATATATGTGGTGCTTCATTATGGGTAATTTTTACCCCTTGTTGATGAAGAAAGGAGTCCTATTCAAAAATGACAACTGAGATGGTAAGTTAGTTACTGGGTAAAAGTAACCTGGCAGAATAAAAGCCAGTAACAATGAGCTTCTAGTACTAAAGGGTGTAATTTAGAAGCATCTTGAACATTTAGTGCTCTGCTTGTGTCATAAATAGCCACTTGACAGTGGATCCAAATCTGTTTTGATTTTCCAGTGAGTGCAGAAGGAATCCTAACCCTTAAAGATTTTTACTAGAGAAAATCCTGGAGGTATATATGTTTATATATATATATAAATGTGTGTGTGTGTATATATATGTATGTGTATATGTATACATATACGTGTGTTTGTGTATATATATATGTGTGTATATATATATATATATTTTTTTTTTTTTTGAGACAGAGCCTTACTCTGTCACTGAGGCTGGAGTACAGAGGTGGGATCTCGGCTCACTGCAACCTTCACCTCCCGGGTTCAAATGATTCTCCTGCCTCAGCTTCCTGAGTAGCTGGTTCTACAGGTGCGTGCCTGGCCAAGTTTTGTATTTTTAGTAGAGACAAGGTTTTACCATATTGGCCAGGCTAATCTCGAACTCCTGACCTCAAGAGATCCACCCACCTTGGCTTCCCAAAATGCTGGGATTGCAGGTGTGAGCTAACATGCCTGGCCTAAAAAATATATTTTTTATCTTCAATCATAATACAATAGAAGTAAACATTTGTAACCATTTAAAATGTGTTAAATTCTTGGCTTTAGTCATTTACAGAAATATTGAATATTGAATCTGAATATATACTGTTGGTCATTGTTTCTGAGAACTAGACCAACCCAGTATTATTTTGTTTTTGTTTTTGTTTTTTTGAGACAGAGTCTTGCTCTGTTTCCCAGGCTGGAGTGCAGTGGCACGATTTCTGCTCACTGCAAGCTCAGCCTCCCTGGTTCATCCCATTCTCCTGCCTCAGCCTCCCGAGTAGCTGGGACTATAGGGGCCTGCCACCACACCCAGCTAATTTTTTGTATTTTTAGTAGAGACGGGGTTTCACCGTGTTAGCCAGGATGGTCTCGACCTCCTAATCTTGTGATCCACCCGCCTTGGCCTCCCAAAGTGCTGGGATTACAGGCGTGAGCCACCGTGCCCAGCCCAACCCAGTATTATTTTGGGGGAATGGTGATTGATAGTTTGCTTTCACCTTTCTTTAACTGCCTGTTTGCATGATTCAACAAAAAACAACCTTGATCTCTAAGAAACAGCCATTGTGTTTCTTAGAGGTGCAAACTGGAAGATTGGTTTTTTAAACTATTATTTAACTTTACAGTTATTCTTGTTCTTTATTTAAATTTTTTTTCCAGGACCACTAGTAAGAAGACTGTTTTCCTGTCGATGTATTCTGTAGAATATTTTGGATTTGAATATATTTGTTACCATTTTATTATAGTAACAGACTATACAAGAAAAATTGTAGAAAATGATCAGTTTTATAGCCCTTTTAATACAGAAAATGAGTAGGTCTTCGTTTTATAATGTTTTGTGTTATGATATTAGAAAACTTGGTGATTTTTGGCATTTAACTGTGATGTGGAATTATGTTTTGGAGAAATCTGGGCCAATGCAGGGAAGATTCTAAAGATTTACGCTAAAAGCGGACTTTTACCTTGTTAATCTGGTTTTGAAGATTGTGCTTCCATCCTATTTTTATAGGATTGTGGCAGTTTTTTTGTTTGTTTGTTTGTTTTGAGATGGAGTTTCACTTTTGTTGCCCAGGCTGGAATGCAATGGCACGATATTGGCTCACTGCAACCTCTGCCTTCTGGGTTCAAGCAATTCTCCTGCCTCAGCCTCCCAAGTAGCTGGGATTATAGGCGTGAGCTACTATGCCTGGCTAATTTTGTATTTTTAGTAGAGATGGGTTTCACCATGTTGGCCAGGCTGGTCTCAAACTCCTGACCTCAGGTGATCCACCCGCCTCGGCCTCTTAAAGTGCTGGGATTACAGGTGTGAGCCACCATGCCCGGCCTAGGATTGTGGTAGTTTTATTATAAAAATTTGCGAGGTTTATTTCTTTCCCCTTATGTAACTTTATGCAACTTGAAATTGATTAAAACAGACAAATGTGAAGTAATTTCACAGATGCTATTAGTTGTAATTACTTTAAAAGACCCCATACAGGCTTCTGGCCAAAGATTGTATATCCAGTATTTAGGAGAAAGATAAGAAAGGGGGACACACATCTGTTTGGAGGAAGACAGTTAAGTTGATTATCCATAGAACCACCATTGACTTTGCTTTACATGGTTTCTGGGTTAGCATGTAAATTTGTTCTGGAGTGACTAAAATTGTAGATCTTTTTGTTGAATAACAGTGTAATTTAATATAATCCTGATGTAATATTCTGTAATTAGACTTGGGTAATGTGGAAGGCAGCAAATTGCTTTTCAAGATATCTAGCCTCAAGAGATTTTGCTGAAGCAGATACTAAGCTGTTCTTTCAGGCATTTGGAGTATGAAGATTTTGAAGCTTACTTGATTAGTGGACTCAAAAACAGAAACTGCTACTTTTTATGGGATATCTATCAAGATTTTTAAATTATTAAATTATAAACCTTCAATATTTCATTAGATTAGGTGTAGTCATTAATTTTCTTCTGTCTAGGTGGGTAAACTAAATGATGGATGATGCAGAATTGTAATCCTTTTAGTCAGGTGATAAATAGTGCTTAATTCATTCCTATATACATTAAACTATGTGCAAAGTATTGTGCTAAGTATTGAGGGGAATATACAGATGAGGAAAACACTGTGTATTTCTCAACATCTAGCTAAATGATGAGAATTGAAAGCAAAATAAAAGCCTAATGAATGAGTTGTAATAGGATATAACAGTTACTAGAATATAACAGCTTTTAAGTTAGGAGTAGGAAATATTTCCACAAGCAGAATAAGGGGTTCTATATAGGAAGAACAACATTAAGACATGTAAGTATAGAAATGTGTGTTGAGTCCAAGGATACCAAGGTCACTGTGAACCATGTGAGATAAGATGATAAAGGGGACCTGATAGTCAAGAATGCTGACACATATGGGCTTTATTTTGTGGTGAGCAGGGAGCCAGTGAAAAAGTTTTAATTGGGCAAGTGACATAAGCTCAGATTTATATTTAGAAAGAGTTTTTTTGTTTGTTTGTTTTTTGTTTTGAGGCAAGGTCTGGCTCTATTGCCCAGGCTGGAGTGCAGTGTGGTGTGATCTGGGCTCATTGCAACTTCCTCCTCCCAGGCTGAAGCCATCCTCCCACCTCAGCCTCCTGAGTAGTTGAGAATACAGATGTGCACCAGCACACCCAGTGAATTTTTGTATTTTTTGTAGAGATGGGGTTTCGCCATGTTGCCCAGGCTGATCTTGAACTCATGTGCTCAAGCCATCCACCCGCCATGGCCTTCCAAAGTGCTGGGATTACAGGTGTGAGCCACAACGCCCAGTCTAGAAAGAGAATTTCTTTAATAGTGTGAAGCATGAACTGTTTCAGTGTAGCTGCCAAACCATGTCACTCTGCAGTGTTTCAGGTGGGTTTACTTACAGGTGAGGAGACCATATGGAGCCACCCACTCTTACCTCTGGTAAGGTTTGATTAAATTTCTGATTTCCTTAGCCAACTATACAGAATCTCTCTCTGAGGGAGAAGTGGACAGGAGAAAAATAGGAGGAAGCAAGGGAGTGGGCTGCTGGGCGTGTTGGGCTTGAGAACGAGTAAGGGGTGGTGGTAGGGAGGACTCAGAGTCGGAGGGGGGATGGTTGGAGAGGGGGGAAGAGAGAGGTAGAGTGGAGCAGAGGCATATGGTGGGGGGTCATGCTGTTCGGTGGAGGATTAGGATGTTGTCGAGGAGGGGAGAAATCAGCCAGATCAAAGGAGGAGAAGTCGTCGGCTAGGGCTGTTGGGGTGAGGGAAGCAGGAGGTGAGTCTGGTTTGGAGCGGGTGAGGAGAATTTGGAAAGTAGAACCAGACTGACAGAGGGAAGGGCAGTTACAGTGAGTGAAGAAAGCCTGAACATAAGGAATCTCAGACCATTTCCTATTGCGATGGCAAAAGTTGTAAAGTCCCGTTTCAGGCTATTGGGAGCCATTGTCCAGTTGGTATTGGGGCCATGCAGTATTGCAGTGAAAGATAAGCCTCTTAAAACAGATCTCTGAACGGAGGCCGAGAGCATTGAGATCACGGAATGGAGGAGCAGTGGGTAGAGGAAGAAGAGACTGTCGGTGACGAAGACTACAGGAGAGGGCGTCCCCTTTCCCGTGGAACTTGTCTGGAATAGAGGAGGTAACTGCTGTATCAGGCGTCCCTGAAGCAGAGGAACCAGAGGCCTGGAGGCCGGAGGAAGCCCTTGGCCGAGTGCTGGGTCTTTCAGAAATGGAGAGACAGACGGTCAAGGGTTCCGGGGGCAAGGCAACAGTCTCTTCACTCACCCTGGTGGAGGCTTTGATGCATTGATGGTGGATGAAGTCGCCAGCAATGGGAGAGTCTAGGAGATTCTCTGGGTCTTTGGCAGGTTTGGGGAAAGGGAGATTGGCAGGGAGAGGGGTGTTAGGGGAGGGAGAGAGTGGGGGAGAGAGAGAGTGAGAGTGAGTCCCGGCCAGAGTCTGTCTGCTTCCTGGGTTTTGGCACCATAATGTAAGGTTAGCAGAGAGAAAGGACGAGAGGGAGACCTGAGGTCAGGCGAGGAAGTTTACTAACCTGCCGGCTGCTCCATCACAGACAGAGGAGGCAGCACCAAGCTTATGGAATGAGGGGTTTATATTGGGGAGGGGAGTTTGAGGGAGTTCTTTGGTATGGCTGCATCCCGGGGTTGTTTGCTGGTTAATTTTGCCACATATCACCTTGTGACGTTTATTACAGGAGGGTGTAGGTAAAGTTTGTTTATGCTTCCTACGACCTCCCCCTGTGGGGTCTGGATGGTTTGTAATTGGGGTTTGCTTATCGCAGCAAGGTCTGATAAGTGAAGTCTGCTGGCTTCACCGTGGAGCCTAGACAAGGGCTTAGAAATGTAAAGAGGTTTGGGGGAAGGGTGGGCAGCACCAAGAAGCTTTCTTGGGGCAGTTTGTCCTTAACAGTAGGACTTGCCTGCTGTCTCATTTTAATGTCTCTCTGGGCCTCATAATTTAAAAGGACTCACATTCCTCAAAGTTATTTTCTTTTCTCAGTATTACTATTTTAAAATCTTGCTGTGTGGTAAAGTGTTAGTTACATTATTCTTTCAGGAAAACTATTTACATTAGGGATGTGTATTTAGATCCACTGACAATATATTACAAGAGTCCTGGATAGCTTAAAGGCAATGCCAATTGCAGAGTTAGTGTTTTTTTTTTGTTTTTTGTTTTTTGTTTTTGTTTTTGTTTTTGAGACGGACTCTTGCTCTTTTGCCCAGGCTGGAGTGCTGTGGCATGATCTCAGCTCACTGCAACCTCTGCCTCCTGGGTTCACGCCATTCTCCTGCCTCAGCCTCCCGAGTAGCTGGGACTACAGGTCCCTACCACCACGCCTGGCTAATTTTTTGTATTTTTTAGTAGAGACGGGGTTTCACTGTGTTAGCCAGAATGGTCTCCATCTCCTGACCTTGTGATCTGCCTGCCTCGGCCTCCTGAATTGTTGGGATTACAGGTGTGAGCCACTGCGTCTGGCGAGTTAGTGTTTTTTAAATTAAACATATTAATTTGCGTAAATAGTGTACAAGTAAGATTGTCCCCTTTGTGAGGTTAGATTTTAGTTATTTGTCTTTGAGAGCCATATCCAGCTACAGTGGAATATACTTTCAGACATAGTGATGATAATCTGTCAAAAGACAAAATTACAACTAATTTGGTTTAAAGATCTTAAGAAAGAAAAATAGAATCCTGGAACCCCAAACTCACTGTGCAAAGGGGAAAGTTAAACTTGGGATCTGAGGCATCATACAGTTTTCCTTTTGTTGCCAAATCAATAGCTATAATATCATAACCCCATGTCATAGCCTCATTTCTTCGACTCTCTTTTCATGTTTACTTTATCTTACGTAAAATGTCGACTTACTGAGCTTGAGACAATACAAAGTTGGCTTTTTCCTTTACTTCCTCTTTTCTCATGTAAAATATAGATTTTTCTGAGGCTAATTGGAGCTTCACAAGAACGTAACCATCTGCCTCACTGCCTACCTGTTCTTCCTTTTATTCCCCCCTCCTGCTTGCTCTTTCCTCTTTAAATACCAAAGTTCACAAAACCTCCTTTGGAAGAAGTATAGGCCACAGGTGCCTCTGTGATTTGTTTTTCCCTTGGGCACATCCTCAACCTTGGCTAAATAAACCTCTAATCTATTGAGACGTGCCTCAGTCACTTTTGGCTTAACAATCTCAATTGTGTATTTGCAACTCTAAAATTGGGCAACACTTCATTCAATAAAATAGAATAAATGTTCCCATGAATTGAGCAGAGGTGGTTGGTTTTATAGGCAGAAAGGGCTGAATAAAGCAGAAACAAAGAATAAAATGCAGATTGGTCATTTCAAAAAGTTACTTTCCTTGTAAGGCAGCGATGGGGAGATAGAACAATAGAAAAATAACTGACTACTTAACATCAGGTTACTTCAGGCTACCTTTTTTGTGTAAGGATTGAAGCAAAGGAAACCTCATTCTCATGCTAATTGAAGACTGTAACTGGCCTTTTGGGAAAATTGGCTGTTATGGCTCTGTCCTCATTCTTTGGAAGGTCAGATAACAACTTAGTTTTAGTAGTGGTGATGTGAACTTTAGCATGGGTGACTCCATTTTTTGTTTGTTTGTTTGTTTTTTAGATGGAGTCTCACTGTGCAGCCCAGGCTGGAGTGCAGTGGCGCGATGTCAGCTCACTGCACACTCCACCTCCCGGGTTCATGCCATTCTCCTGCCTCAGCCTTGCGAGTAGCTGGGACTACAGATGCCCGCCCGCCACCATGCCCGGCTAATTTTTTTTGTATTTTTAGTAGAGGCGGGATTTCACCATGTTAGCCAGGATGGTCTCGATCTCCTGACCTCGTGATCCACCTGCCTCGGCCTCCCAAAGTGCTGGGATTACAGGCGTGAGCCACCGCGCCTGGCTGGGTGACTCCATTTTGATTTGTAGCGTTGTCTGTTGAGACCTAGTGGAGTAGCTTAGTCCAAAACAGTGGCCTTCTGAAGGTTTTGTTTTGTTTTGAGACTGAGTTTCACTCTTGTTGCCCAGGCTGGAGTGCAATGGCTCACTGCAACTTCTGCCTCCTGGGTTCAAGTGATTTACCTGTCTCCGCCTCTCGAGTAGCTGGGATTACAGGCGCATGCCACCACGCCTGGCTAATTTTTATTTTTTTAGTAGAGATGGGGTTTCATCATATTGGTCAGGCTGGTTTCAAACTCCTGACCTCAGGTGATCTGCCCTCCTCAGCCTCCTGAAGTGCTTGGATTACAGGTGTTAGCCACTGTGCCTGGCCAGTTTTTTTTTTCTTAAAGACCAGTGTGATAGTAACCTTTTGTAATTTTTAATTAACAAATTATATAAAAAGTAAGCAATATAAAGCAGGGAGCTATTTATTTATTTATTTATTTTGAGACAGAGTTTCCCTCTGTTGCCTAGCCTGGAGTGCAGTGGTACAATCTCGGCACATTACGACCTCCGCCTCCTAAGTTCACAATTCTCGTGCCTCAGCCATCTGAGTAACTGGGATTACAGGCATGTGCTACCATGCCTGGCTAATTTTTGTATTTTTAGTAGAGACAGGGTTTCACTTCATTGCCCAGGCTGTTCTCAAACTCCTGGACTCAAGTGATCCGCCCACCTTAGCCTCCTAAAGTGCTGGGATTACAGGTGTGAACCACCATGCCCGGCCCAGGGAGCTATTTAATATCTATTTTCAGTATCCTAAAGAGCTAAGCGTACATTTTTCAGTTTCGGAAAAGGAATTTGTCACATATTGACATTCTCAGGAATACAACCTTTATAGGACATGCTACCCCAAAATGTTGTACCTTGACATATTTTTTTTATTTTTAAGGGTGGTCAAGTGAAGCAGTGGGAATGGAGAAGGAACAAATAAATTTGTAACTGGTTGTGATAAGCTATAAACCAGCCTTGAATATTTTTTAGGCTAAAGGCATTTGAGAAAATAGCCAAAGCAGTAAGGTCTCTCACACCTTTTCCTGCCCTAGTCCCCTGAAACAGGTCATAAAAACCTTTCAAGGATTTTCTGACCTCTTGAAGCAGGTCCCAAGATCCTCATCTGAAATGTCAATCTTAAAAAAAGGATACTAGAGAAAACTATGTCTATACATGTTGTGTTTACTCAGGAATAGAAATAAGGATTATAACCTGGAATGCAAGGAATGGCAAGCCACCAGTGCATTCCATGAGGGAAGGGTAAGGGAAGCTTTTATTAGCAAAAGAGATTTACATAAGCTGCTTAGGAGCGGAGTTCATTGGTTCCAGAGGTTCAAAGCCAGAGTTATTATCAGTTCATTGGTGGAGATGCCCTTACTGGGCAAGTGTTCTTCTGAAAACATTTTATCTGAATTACATGTCCGAGATAACTGTTTCCAGTTCAATAATTATTTGAATTACTGCAGTCCTAAAGAATGTCTAGTGATAAACCTTATCAAAGCAGGAGATGTGTGAAGGACACAGAATGACTTTCAGAAAGTCCTTGGAAACTGTTCTTATCTCACAAGCATGGGCCTCCTCTTCTTTGGGCGTTCCCGGCTCTATTTTGTCGGGGTCTAGCAAAAGTTAATTTCATCTTGCTATCTGCAACTTTCACAGAGAGGTGCCCTTCTTATACCTAGAAGAAAGGAACATCTCTCACTCTGAAGACACATAGACACCAAGAAGAGTCTCAGCAAATGGGCCTTAATACATTTCCCCTAGTTTATTACCATTATATCATACTCTTTTGCCCTATCATATTTCTCCACGACTCTCCTCTCTCCATCAAACCTAGCATAACAATATTCAGGTTCAACTGTTTCTTCAGGTCTACACTTCCTTATGAAAGCTCTTGTGTCATATACAACTTAAATTTGTAAGGCCAGGTGCACTGGCTCACACCTGTAATCCCAGCACTTTGGGAGCCCAAGGCAGGAGGATCACTTGAGCCCAGGAGTTCAAGACCAGCCTAAACAACATAATGAGACCTGGTCTTTACAAAAAATTAGTTGGGTATGGTGGTGCATGTCTGTAGTCCCAGCTTTTCTGGAGGCTAAGGTGGGAGGATCACCTGAGCCTGGGAGGACAAGGCTGTAGTGAGCTAGTGAGCTGTGATTGTACCACTGGACTCCAGCCTGGGTGACAGAGCCAGACCCTGTCTCAAAAAAAAAAAAAGTATGCTTTTCTTTTGTTCACCTGTTTTTTATCATAAGGGACTCAGCCATAAACCTAAGATGGGGGGAGGGAAAGATATTTTTCCTCCCCTACAACCTTTTCTGTGTAATTATGCCCAGATTTATGAAAAGTCCAGGTGACTGCTATTGAGGTTCAGTAAAAGGAGAAATTCTCTGAGAGGGGGAAGCCAGCTGACTGCCAGGACAGTCAGTCTTTGGTTGGCAGAACTTGTAAAGTGATCAGGATTCTGCATTGATACTTTATAAACCTCTTTTGCTCTGGCATCCAGAACTGATTAGTCTCTAAGAGAGTGATCCAAAGAGACTTCTAAGGCCGGTCATGGTGGCTCATGCCTGTAATACCAGCACTTTGGGAGGCCGAGGCAGGCGGATCATGAGGTCAGGAGTTCAAGACCAGCCTGGCCAACATGGTGAAACCCCATCTCTACTAAAAATACAAAAATTAGCCAGGCGTGGTGGCACGTGCCTGTAATCTCAGCTACTCAGGTGGCTGAGGCAGTAGAATTTCTTGAACCTGTGAGGCGGAGGTTGCAGTGAGCCGAGATAATGCCATTGCACTCTATCCTGGGTGACAGAGCAAGACTCCGTCTCGGAAAGAAAATAATAAAAAATAATGAGACTTCTAAGAGACTATTGGATAAACCACAGGGTTTTGTGTGTGTGTGTGTGTGTGTGTGTGTGTGTGTGTGTGTGAGTGAGTGTTTGAGCTCACCTATCCACCAGAATTATTTGTATCCATCATTTAAGATACCTTTTTTAGATGTTATGTCACCTGGAATACTAAGATAATAGTTGGAAGGTTGCTTGATAGGCATGGAATTGAAGCTGAGGCAACTGAGGTAGTGTGTGTCTTTGGGGCTCTTGGTGGAAGAAACAAGTTTCAGATATGATAAGTGTTAGATTAATTAGGTTCACACTGCCTAGGTATGCTAACTCAGACTGAAGCTGTGAGGTTTCTCAGTGGCTCCATAGCCAATTATATATGCTCGAACTCATGGCTTATTGTGACTGTCAAATATGTAATTAACATTCAGCTTATACACAGGCAGTAATTAAAGAAGGATAGGCTGGGTATGGGGGCTCGTGCCTGTAATCCTCGCACTTTGGGAGGCTGATGCAGGAGGATCACTTGTGGTTAGGAGTTCGAGACCAGCCTGGCCAACTTGATGAAACCCCATCTCTACAAAAAATAGAAAAATTAGCCGGGTGTGGTGGTGCGTGCCTGTAGTCCTAGCTACTCAGGAGGCTGAAGTGAGAGGGTCACTTGAACCCAGGAGGTAGAGGTTGCAGTGAGCCAAGATCATGCCACTGCACTCCAACCTGGGTAACAGAGTGAGACCTTGTCTCAAAAAAATAAATAAAAATAAAATAAGGGAGGGTAATGGACCACAGAGATGGCTTGGGAAACCAATATGCTGATAGACAAGTTGAATGGGTCTGGAAGTCCTTTGGATGCTGATCACATAGTAGCGTTGCTGCTGCTTTTTGGCAAAGCCTTCAGTGGCAGCCGCCAAAGTTGGAAGAAGACCTCAAAGTTCTCATGGGCAGAGCCTCTAAAGGTGTCTTGGACTAGCCTTATTCTTGCTGCTTTTATGATCCTCCTCAGATTGGTCTATTCTTCATTATCTCAGCCTTGTTTCACTTTTTATGAGTTCATTTCAGGTGTTGGATGGTAATGGGCAACAGCAGGTGCTATATTATTACCTTAGTCCATTACCTATATGTTTATGGCTTTGAGGGGGTGAACAGCTTTACTGTGGGCTCACTGCTACTTGACATAAGTGACTTCATTTTGAGACATTAGAATCACAAATTATGGTATATCAGTAAGGATATTGGAGACTTGGTTGACAATTGGGTAAAATTCCAGAAGGCTTAGTGAAAAATGTTAGTTTCCGTTAGGAAAGACAGCTTTGAGGAATGAGAATTTTGAGAAGATACGTACCAAAGGAACTTTGCATTTGAGGATGGTAGTTGCAGGATTTCTATCCCAGTTGTGTGCCTCTGAGACTTTGAAAGACTCCATGGTCTTTGTTGTTGTTTTTTCTGAGACAGGGTCTTGCTCTCTCACCAAGGCTGGAGTGCAGTGGCGTGATCTCAGCTCACTGCAGCCTCGATCTGCTGTCCTCAATTGACACCCCTACATTGGCCTCCCAAAGTGCTGGGATTACAGGCCTGAGCCACCGCGTCTGGCCTTTTCTTCCCTCTCTGCTTACATTCTTAATTATTCTCTAACAGTAATGTCTAAATCTGCAAAGTTCTTTGGATAAAATGTATACAAAAGGCACAAGTGGATTTATAAATCCAGTACTTCCATTCATGGCATTTCCTTGCTGTTATTTCAGTTGTCTGAATTGCCAAGAGATTCAGATACCACTTATGTTTTACAGACCCCTTGATAGTAAAACAGGCAGCTATATTCTGTGCTTGGAGCTCAAATGAGATGTGTAAATAAAAGAACCATTGGCTTTATATTCTTTTTTTGTTTTTTGTTTCTTTCATTTCTTGGTTCACCATATACATAGGAGAGGTTGACACTATGTCTAAGGAGTGAAGAAAGAAGAAGTGAATAAGTGCTATGGTTTGAGTGTGTTCTCCAGATTTCATATGTTGGAAACTTAATCCCCAGATTTATGTGTTGATTGGTGGTGGGGTCTTTGGGAGGTAATTAGGATTAGAAAAGGTCATGGTAAGATGGGATAATTCCCTTGACCCCCTTGCTGGACTTGTGACAGGGGTGTGGCTTGTTTACTTGGCTGCCGTGTGCCCAAACCCCTTGCATGAGGGAGCACATGAGCGAGTGCAGGAACGAGAGCAAATGAATGCTGGAAGCAGCCCAGTTGATCCTCTCTGGCAGGAGTAGGTTCTGTGTGGACCCCGTAGCAGCATCCAAGCGTGTTACAACCAGTGCTCTTTCAGCTCTCCTGTCCAGGGATGACCAAGTGCCAACCAGCTCAGTGGAGGGTCAGAGTGGCAGCTCCTGCCCTCTCGGCACCTGGGTTCTTGTCTGGCATCTGGGAAGAATCAGGTCACACAAACAGATTGAAGGGTAGTATATGTGGAGGATTTTACTGGGCAATGGAAGTGGCTCTCAGTGGGATGGGGAGTTGGAAAGGGGATTGTGTGGGAAGAAGGTGATGTTTCCCTGAAGCCCAGCTGTCTCTGGCTGGGCCCCTCTCCAAAGCTGCACATCTGAAATTAGCCGCATTTATCCATCGTCTCTGATGCTCAGTTTCTTCTCTGCTTGCCACTCAGCTGCTTGTATCCACAATGCTCAGCCGCTTGTATCCACATTGCTCAGCTGCTTGTATCCCCATTGCTTAGCCGCTTGTATCCCTGATGCTTAGCTGCTGGTATCCCTAACACTCAGCTGCTTGTGTTGCTCTGCCAGCTGAAGTGTTTTTTTCAGGGTGGCAGGGGTGTGGGGGGTAAGGACGTGGCAGGCCAAAAAGTCAACATTTGGGCAGAAAACTGGGTCAGCTGTTTTCACTTAGTGCAGAGGTTCCAGGCTTAAGGGTGGGGTTTAGCCGGAGCCCAGCCCTTATGTATCAATGTAGGGGTGAGCCATGATGGGCCTGGTGGCTTTATAAGAAGAGAAAGAGAGACCTGAGCTGCCATGCTTTTCCCACACGTGATACCCTCTGCCATGATATGACATAGTAGTAAGAAGGCTCTCACCAGGTACAGCCCCTCAACCTTGGACTTTGCAGCTTCCAAAACTGTGAGCTAAATACCCAGTCTCAGGTATTCAGTTATAGTAAAAGAAAATGAACAAAGACAACAAGCAACTTTTGTTTTTCTTTTTTTCTTTTTTTTGAGATGGAGTTTCGCTCTTGTTGCCAAGGCTGGAGTGCAATGGTGTGATCTTGGCTCACTGCAACTTCCACCTCCCGGGTTCAAGTGATTCTCCTGCCTCAGCCTCCTGAGTAGCTGGGATTACAGGCATGTGCCACAATACCTGGCTAATTTTTTGTATTTTTAGTAGAGATGGGGTTTCTCCATGTTGGTCAGGCTGGTCTCAAACTCCCAACCTCAGTTGATCTGCCCACCTCAGCCTCTCAAAGTGCTGGGATTACAGGTATGAGCCACTACGCCCGGCCTTTCTTTTTTGGTGTAATCCAAAATACCTAAATCCAGTTTAAACATCCAGAACTATATATGTTTAAATACAAAATGAATTTGAGATAGGGGTGTGTGTCAGGGGATGGTGGGGGAATGTGAGAGGTAGTACAGAATGAAAAATAAGTTCCAGTTATTAGTATCTCTTGAGTGGGACAGTTGGGACAGCTGTCCTGGAAGGGCCATGGGGATGGTTTTTCATAAAGAATGAACCATGGGATGTCCACAGTAAATGAATTTTGCCTTAGGCTTGAGGGAAAACTCATTTAGAGCCTTGAATGCTCATCTAGAGTATCAAAATGAAGGAAGAAACTTGTAAGTAAAACTTATTTTTGTCTTTTAAAAGGCTTAATGAGTGGCCCTGTGTGATGGCTCATACCTGTGATCCCAGCGCTTGGGGAGGCAGAGGCGAGAAGATCACCTGATCCCAAGAGTTTGAGACCAGTCTGAGCAACACAGGGAGACCCTGCCTCAAAAAAAAATTTTTTTTATAAAGGCTTAACAAGTTCAAGTTATAGAATGAAAAAATTTCAATTAATTCAATGGTAGGCTGTCATGAAAACAAAACAGATTTCAATTAAGAAAGGGATGTGAAATTGAGAGGCAAACAAAAAGGAAAAGGGGCTAGTTAGTACAGCAGTCACTGATTTGTCTGTATAGAGAGGGAAAACTGTTTTTCTCTCAACCCTCATTGGTTCTTTTCTTTTTTATTTAAATTGAGACAGGGTCTTGCTATGTTGTCCAGGCTGGTCTCATACCCCTAGGCTCAAGCAGTCCTCCTGCCTTGGCTTCCCAAATTGCTGAGATTACAGGCATGAGCTGCTGTGCCTGGCCGCCTCATAAATTCTTAATTGGAATAGATTCCTGTAACAAAAGACAGATTGACAAGAGAAGAACAAGGTTATTTCCTGGAGCAGAGCATGGAAGATGTGGGTGTTCAGTGAACTTCCCGAGTGGCCATAATGGTTGTATTAATAAGTTATTTTAGTTTATATCAAGTCATCCAGCTTCAGCTTGTAGGGCTTTGGGACAGGAGAAGCTAGAGTCTCAATAAAGATCCAGGCAGTCAGATTTTAGTTCCTAGTGACTTCAAGTCAGGAGGATGGGAGAAAAATTGGAAACATTAATTACCGACAAGATATGCAAGACAGCAGGATCCAATTTACAGAGTAGTGAAAAATAACTCAGAGACAAATAACAGAACTACAGTCTGATAACCCAGGAAGGGTAGGTTGTAGTTTTCTATTGAAACGTAAAATTTCTGGCTGGACGTGGTGGCTAACGCCTGTAATCCCAGCACTTTGGGAGGCTGAGGCGGGTGGATCACTTGAGGTTAGGAGTTCAAGACCAGCCTGGCCAACATGGTGAAACCCCATCTCTACAAAAATACAAAAATTAGCTGGGCATGATGGCAGGTGCCTGTAATCCTAGCTACTTGGGAGGCTGAGGCAAGAGAATTGCTTGAACCTGGGAGGTGGATGTTGCAGTGAGCCGACCGAGATCACACTGCTACACTTCAGCCTGGGCGACAGAGCAAGACTCTGTTTCAAAAAAAAAAAGGTAAAATTTCTCTGTACAGTCATCCTCTGTTTTCACTTAGTGCCGTGGTTCCAGTTTGATCAAAGATAAAATGAAGACCACTCTTGTTTCCAAATCTAATCTTATTAAATTTGGTCTAATCATTTATATAAGTGCAGCAAGAATGATAATTGGACATATGCTTGATCTTAGGTTATCGATTTTTTTTTTTTGAGACAGAGTCTCACTCTGTTGCCAAGGCTGGAGTGCAGTGGAGCTATCTCAGCTCACTGCAACTTCCTCCTCCAGGGTTCAAGCGATTCTCCTGCCTCAGCCTCCTAAGTAGCTGGGATTACAGGTGCATGCCACCATACCTGGCTAATTTTTTGTATTTTAGTAGAGATAGGGTTTCACCATGTTGCCCAGGCTGGTCTCAAACTCCTGAGCTTAGGGGGATTCGCCGGCCTTGGCCTCCCAAAGTGCTGAGACACCATGCCCGGCCCAGCCCAGTTTTTTTTGTTTTTTAAATTTTAATTTTCATTCCTATTTTACAGATGAGGGTTATCAGTTTTGATGCACCTATTAGCGTCTCTGGTAGGGTTCTGGAAATTCCTACCCAGTCCAGTGGTATGATTTCAAAGTTATGTAAGCAATGTCATGAGAAATCTATACCCCAGAGTACCTTTATAATTCTTTCTATGGGTCTCTGAGGCAGTCACTTATGTTGAATATGAAGCATTCCAGCTTGTAGCTGATTGTGAGCCTTCAGGGAAGCATTCGAATATAAGAGTAATTATATGTGAATGACAAAAGACCTAAAATGGCCATGGTTAAAGATTTTATTAGAGTTCATTATCAAAATAATGGAGTTGACAAGGAAATTTGGTCATTTCTGTGCCAAACAACATTTTAAGATAATAACTGGAATTATGATTGATAACATTATATCAGAATATATTATGGACAGTGAGTGCATTGACAAATTTCTAGAAACTTCATATAGTTCTTTTAAAAAGGAGACAGGGTCTTGCCTTATTGCCCAGGATGGTCTTGAACTCCTGGGCTCAAGCGATCCTCCTGCCTTGGCTGCTGAAGTGCTGGGGTTATAGACATGAGCCACCACACCTGGCCTTCCATACAGTTTTTGGAGTATTTATATTAATAACATTTTCTCATACAGATATGAACCCAAAATATGAGACTGGGTCTAAGTCAATTTGGAAAGTTTATTTTGCCAAGGTTAAGGACCTGCCCATGACATAATCTCAGGAGGTCCTGATGACATGTGCCCAGGGTAGTCTGGGTGTAGCTTGCTTTTATACAATTTAGGGAGACCTAATATATCAGTCAATACGTGTGAGATTTACATTGGTTTGATATGGAAGGGTGGGACAACTCGAAGTGGGGGCTTCCAGGTCATACGTAGATTTAAAAATATTCAGATTGGTAATTGGTTGAAAGATTTATTGTTAAAGAAAGGAATGTCTGGGTTAAGATAAGGGGTTGTAGACAGCAAGGTTTTATCCTGCAGATAAAGCCTCCAGGTAGCAGACTTTATAGAAAATAGATTATAAATGTTTCTTATCAGACTTACAGTCTGCATTAATATTAGGGCTGGAGGGGTATGATGATTACCCCCACTTCACTTTCATGGCCTGAACCAGTCTTTCTGGTTAAATTTTAGAGTGCCCCGGCCAATGAGGAAGTGCATTCAAATGGTTGTGAGAGCCTTCGAATTTTCCCCCTTTTGTCCAAGATTTGCCAGAGGCAACATCAGTGGCCACCAGATTTTAATTTTGTCCCATAGTATTGTTGGGATGGCATGGCTGGCCTGCCCCTGGTCCATCCTGTCCTTCAGTGGGACTCCGTATGGCCAAGGGACTTAGAGTAAACAAGACTTATAGCCAATTAATTATCCTAAGCCAGATAGGAATAGACATGGACAGGCATTCATTACCCCTTATAATTATTATTTATTTTGTTTTTTAAGTAGAAGATGAACAAACAAAAAGCCAAAGGTGAGGTTACAAAACTGACTTATTTTTAACTTCTATGCTACGCATTGAGCCATAGCTCAATCTTGTTTTTAGTTTTAGTATGTAATCTTGGTTTTGGTTACAGACTTATGGCAATTAGCTATACAAAACATACCCGTTCTGAAAAAATTTAAAATATGTATCTGTACAACTCATAACTGGGAGTATTATACCCAGGAGGCTTTGTCACAAGGTATCATTATTCCTGTCAGTAATTATTTTCTTCTTTTACCAGTTGTTCAGGCATCTTTGTACCCATCCTTGATTTGGAGGGTCTGACCTTGACCTAATTATATCCTTCAAAACTCGCCCTTACACTCTCATGCGACAGTCCCTGGGCTTAGAGGGAGGATGCCTGTATAGTCTTAGTAGCAAGGCATTTGCAGTGAAAAACAGATTGGGCCCAGTGGGATTGTTACAGGTAATTAGGCATGAGCTGGGCAGGAGAGAGGGCTCTCCTCTACCAACTAGAATGTCGGGTGATGGTTCAGCAATTATTGCATTGCCTGTCTAAAAATGATAATTTGGCAGCACCAGGGAGAGGCCATTTCCTGATGGTCCACACCTGTTAACATCATCAAACTGTTAATTGACTGCAGGCCCCACGGAGGAGCAGCTTCCTGGGCATGCGTATTAAGAGACCAAAAAAAAAAAAAAATGGTGAGGTATGATCTTCTGGGGGCACGCTCCACTGGAAAAGGGAAGGAAGCCTCAGATGGGCATGTTTATAACTCCCTAAATACATTGCGTGTGTTCAGTTCCAAAGGATAAGGAAAGCCCTGGGCGTGTGGAAAGTCTGCCCTAAAGGAAGAAACATGGGAAAGAGGCGAGCTTATAAAATTCCTAGGATCACGGTTAAACAAGGCACTTGACCTTTTCCCTTTAACCTTCACGTGCCCACTTGGGTCTCTTCCAAGCACACGTTCCTTGCTTTCATGTTCTAAGGCCTTTTCAGATAAACTTCTATTCCTGCTCTGGAACTTGCCTTGGTCTCTTTTTCTGCTTTATGCCCCTCAGTCAGATTCTTTCTTGTGGAGAGGCAAGGACTGAAGTTGCTGTGGACTCCTACGGATTTGCTGCCAGTAACTTGGATCTCTTCCACTGGTTAACAGGATGCCAAATGAGAGAGGTTGGCATCTCTGGTTTTAAGAATACCATAATTTTGGTTTCCTTGTAAGTAATGAGAAATAAATAACATTAATATTTTGACAATCAAAAGAGTATTTGTATGTCAGAACAGAAAAAGGAACCTCTTCCATTAGGGCACCAACTAAAGATATGAAGAAAAATTATAATCTGGTACTCTCTAGAGGATTATTGTAGCCAAGAAATAATTCATAATTCAATCTATACTCAAAAAAACAAAAGTTAGTGTCAAGTGTTACACTTTTCCTTTGAAACAATTTCTCTCTCTAGACTTCCTTTTCTATTAAAGAGAAATTATAGTAAGATCAATTTGTATGCAAATTAAGTTTTAGGCTTATTATACTTTGCCTGATTATTCACATAAAGTGCAGCAAGAATTGATTGGCTTGGCCGGGCGCGGTGGCTCACACCTGTAATCCCAGCGCTTTGGGAGGCTGAGGCGGGTGGGTCACAAGGTCAGGAGATCAAGACCACCCTGGCTAACACGGTGAAACCCAGTCTCTACTAAAAATACAAAAAAAAAAAAAAAAAAATTAGCTGGGCATGGTGGCAGGTGCCTGTGGTCCCAGCTACTCGGGAGGCTGAGGCAAGAGAATGGTGTGAACCCAGGAGGTGGAGCTTGCAGTGAGCCGAGATTGCGCCACTGCACTCCAGCCTGGGCGACAGAGCAAGACTCCGTCTCAGAAAAAAAAGAAAAAAAAAAAAGAATTGATTGGCTATGTAGGCTCCTTTCAAGTTGGCTTTGCTGGAACTTTACCTAAAAATATGCTATTTTAGTCAAAGTCTTGGTAAAATAACCAGTGTCTCCAGTTGTTTTGTTCTAAAAGACTCTTACTGAACTTATGCAAATAACTATATTGTCATAAAATCACAATTTGAATTTTGGACAACTCAGAAAGGTAAATTTGCTTACAAAAACATAGTTCACCCAAATGCTCTAAACTATAAATAACTATAAAAAAAATTTTTTGGACCGTTCTTTAACCAGAGCAGCAGCCTTCCAAACAAGGTGTTTGTTCACCTCAGAACTGCCATTCACAAGCCAAACAGGTCATGAGAGCTATCAGGCACTGTAGAATCTAGCAGCTCCTCAGATAACTAGAATCAGTCCTAGGGACAAAAAGAGGGTCCTTGCTTATGAGTATTTCCTTCTTGTATTCCCAGGTAGCAAGAGCCTGTGTAAACCATTTTAATTTTATCATGGAACTCTTTTGAACACCTTTATTTCCATTAGCATAGGGGTAGCTCAAGCCAATATTCCATAACAAGGCAGTAAATGTCCCTCAAGTAGAAATTCTCTAGTCCAGCAGTTGTTATTGGGAAGTGCTCACAGTTTTTTGTCATAAGTCCCAATACTCCACAAAAGGCTACAAAGTGGAGGATTTGTCCCATCTAGTACTCCAGCTTCTCCCCTATATTTTGTGGGCTAAGGCAATCTTTCTAGTTCCCATTTAGTAAGTTCAGTTAATATTTGTCAAAGGGCAGATTTACCTGCCTTCAGTTTTATAGTACTAGATAGGGAAAACATCCCCCAGTCACATACAGTACCCATTTTCATAAGACATTTAGGTAAAAGGAGTCACAACTACCTTACATAAAGTCTGTGTAAACATCTCAGATTTCATAATTCTGTTAAACTGTATGGTTTTATGTTCTGGTCCCAGGAACTTTTCTACCCCCAGACCATTCTACCTTTTCTGGTAAAAAAGGGTTTGGGTTCCCAGCAGGGAGTTGAGCCAAGGGACTCAGGCCTTTTCGTCAAATTTATATCTTAATTTGCCTCAGCATTGCCCCAGAAAATGTCAGCTTTCTCATGATAACCTTTGCTGCCTTAAAAAACATTTTCCAGTCTAGGGCAAATAGTGAATAACCATCCAAAAATTTCTATCACTCTTCTGGGATGAATTCTTTTTTTTTTTTTTGAGGCAGAGTCTCTGTCACCCAGGCTGGAGTGCAGTGGCGCGAACTCCTCGGCTCACTGCAAGCTCCGCCTCCTGGGTTCAGGCCATTCTCCTGCCTCAGCCTCCCGAGTAGCTAGGACTACAGGCGCCTGCCACCATGCCCGGGTAATTTTTTTTTATATATTAGTAGAGATGGGGTTTCACCGTGTTAGCCAGGATGGTCTCGATCTCCTGACCTCGTGATCCGCCCGCCTCGGCCTCCCAAAGTGCTGAGATTACAGGCGTGAGCCACTGCGCCCGGCTGGGGTGAATTCTTTCGCTCCCTTTTTCCTTTCCCTTTTTTTTGTTAATAACCCCCCCTTTTTTTTTGGGATGGAGTCTCGCCCAGGCTGGAGTGCGGTGGCGCGATCTTGGCTCACTGCAACCTCCGACTCCCGGGTTCAAGCAATTCTCCTGCCTCAGCCTCTCAAGTAGCTGGGATTACAGGCACTTGCCACCATGTCTGGCTAATTTTTGTATTTTCAGTAGAGATGGGGTTTCACCACGTTGGCCAGGCTGGTCTTGAGTTCCTGACCTTAGGTGATCCACCCGCCTCAGCCTCCCAAAGTGCTGGGATTACAGGCATAAGCCACCTTGCCTGGCCTACTCCAGTGTTTTATTAAGCATGTGTAAGACCATGAGGGACAGCAAATTTGATAAGGCTTCTCAGGCAATTATATGATTCTGTGGGAGGGGTACCCATGTAAAAGGGGCCCCTTTAGCCTTCAGATTTACCATGAACTGCGTTATGGACATATTAGGTAGGAGAATATCCTGGTCATTATAAAGCTAGTTCCATATGGCTTGCATATGAAGCATATCAACTGTTTCATCTGCGGTGCTCTACTTGGTATTTTATAGGGAGAGCAGGAAGTCCCGTTCTCAGGGCAAACCTTACAGTGGCATTTATTTGGTCCACTAGGCTGGTTGTTGTCTCAGGAATAACTTTCTGTGCATTTAGATCACATACATTCATCAGTGATTGTTTAATAGTGAGCTTTGGGTCCTGCATTAACCCAAACAAGCTCTTTCATTCTGTAGCATTTAAAATTAAGAATTTTGTCCTTAAAATGGTCATTTTTACAGTCCCTTACTATAAAAGTTTCTCCAGAATCTGATGATACCAATCTATGAAACAGAACAGTTCCTTTACATTATATCCTCTGATTTTAATAGTTACTTGGTTGTGCCCTTCCCCAACATTGACTATCTTCTTGGTAACCACAGGCCTCAGAGGTAACTTTATTTGTCCTGGCTTACTTTTTCTTTTTATCCATTTAGTTTTATTTGTACAGTTTTTCCTTTATTTTAAAGTGATGCTTAAATAGTCTCTTAACTAGGAAAAAAATTTACATTTTCTTCAGCAAAAAACACATCCTCGTGTTTGTTTATTTATTTTTGAGACAGTCTTGCTCTGTCGCCCAGGCTGGAGTGCAGTGGCATGATCTTGGCTCACTGCAACCTCCGCCTCCTAGGTTCAAGCGATTCTCCTGCCTCAGCCTCCCGAGTAGCTGGGATTACAGGCATGCGCCACCACGGCCAGCTAATTTTTGTATTTTTAGTAGAGATGGGGTTGCACCATGTTGTGCAGGCTGGTCTCGAACTCCTGACCTCAGGTGATCCACCCACCTCGGCCTCCCAAAGTGCTGGGATTATAGGCATGAGCCACCACGCCTGGCTGTTTGTTTGTTGGTTTGTTTATTTTTGAGACAGAGTCTTTCTCTGTCACCCAGGCTGGAGTGCAGTGGCACTCATGATCTGCCTGCTTTGGCCTCCCAAAGTGCTGGGATTACAGGGGTGAGCCACTGTGCCTGGCCTTTTTTTTTTTTTTTTTTTTTTGATGTCTCACTCTGTTGCCCAGGCTGAAGGGCAGTGGTGTGATCTTGGCTCATTGCAGCCTCCATCTCCCAGGTTCAAGTGATTCTCATACCTCAGCCTCCCAAGTAGTTGGGATTACAGGCACACATCATCACGCTCAGCTAACTTGTATTTTTAGTAGAGGCGGGGTTTCACCATGTTGGCCAGGCTGGTCTTGAACTTCTGACCTCAAGTGATCTGCCCGCCTCAGCCTCCCAAAGTGCTGGGATTACGGGCAGGAGCCACTGTGTCCGGCTGTTAATTTATGAGTACTCTTTACCTGTAAGTCAATCTGGTACCTTGTGGCCAAAAACACATAACAGAATATGTGTACATATACCTAAACACATATATATATATATACACTCATACAAAGTTCCTGTAGTTTATGCTTCAGAACTCTAGCCATGAGATATTAACAGAGACTTACCAGTTTGCAAACAATAGTAAAAAGAAACGGTTGGATGCAAACAGTGGATTTTATCTCAGTAGAAAAGTAACAGCAGACTTAAAGCAGGCTGAAAAGAAAGCAGAGAGATAGAGAACTTAGGAACTTTATAGTTGCAGATTGACTTTCGAGCTCTGAATTTTTCTTGATGTAATTTGCCCATCAGTTTAAAATGTGCGCAAGAACAGACCTATAATGTGTAACCAGCTGCAGTATTGGAAAACCTGGCATGCCCTTCCATTACACAACCACTTTCAAGTAGAGGGGTCATGAAACCAAACAGGGTGCCTGAGAGGGACCACTCTCCTTGTGTTTTTTCATTCCTAAATTATTTGTTTCCCACATTTTTTCTTAAAAGGAGGAACTGAGCTGTGCCTTAAGGTTTAGTGGAGTGGGTCAAAGTGTGCTGGTTGTGGGTGGGACTCCATAGTGTGTCACCAGTGAGTCATTTCTGCCCTTTTATGTGTCTCAGTTTCTCTTTCTGGAGGTCCAGCACCATGAGGAGGGCTCAAAGTGAGGAATGAGGCTGGGTGCCTTGGGTCACGCCTGTAATCTCAACACTTTGGGAGGCTGAGGCAGGTGGATCACTTGAGGTCAGGAGTTCGAGACCAACCTGGCCAATATGGTGAAAACCCGTCTCTACTAAAAATACAAAAATCAGCCGGGTGTGGTGGCACGCACCTGTAATCCCAGCTACTCGGGAGGCTTGGACAGGAGAATTGCTTGAACTCGGGAGGCAGAGCTTGCAGTGGGCCGAGATCCCGCCATTGCACTCCAGCCTTGGCGTCTCAGTGAGACTCTGTCTCAAAAAAAACAAAACAAAACAAAACAAAAAATGACCAGCTCCTGTATGCATTTCCTGGACAATAATTTTTTAAACTAATTTTCTCGAGAGTTCCCTGTAGGGCTGCTACACGTTGTAGGGGGTCAACCCTGCAGGCACTTCCACTTGGCCCCCAGTCACCCAGGGACGCCTTTTGGTTGGAAAGAGCAAAATGCCCTTTCTTTTTGGAGCTGAGGAAACTCAGCCTGTCATCTATGAAAATGATAGTTCAGTTCCTCACACAAATGTGCACATGAGCCAATCGAGATTAATTGCAGGAGGAAAGGCAATGAGAAGACTCTTTAGAATGCACCTCTGGGCCAGGTGTGGTGGCTTATGCCTATAATCCTAGCACTTTGGGAGGCCAAGGCAGGTGGATCACTTGAGCTCAGGAGTTCAAGACCAGCCTGGCCAACATAGCAAGACCCTGTCTCTACAAAAAGTACAAAAATGAGCTGGGTATGGTGGCACACATCTGTAGTCCCAACTACTCTGGAGGCTGAAGAGGAGGATTTCTGGAGCCTGGGAAGTTGAGACTGCAGTGAGCCATGATGGTGTCAGAGGACTCCAGCCTGGGTAACATAGCAAGACTCTGTCTCAAAAAAAAAGAAAAAAATATAATAATAATAGTAAGAATGCACCTCCGAACTAGAATTAGGATCCTAGACAACAACTTCCTAGGAGCTTAGCTAAACCAGCTAAGACCACTTCCTGTAAACTGTCCTCAGCCACTCTTAACTTTGTAGCTCTCATCTGCCATTACACATGCCAAGGCCAAATCCTCTCATGGTACAAGGTAATTTCTGGCATCTCCAAAAGTCAGAGTCAGGTAGTGCAATACAGGAAAGCAGAACTGTAGACCTAAAAGAATCTGCCCATCACTCGTGAAAACTCCATAAAGAAAACAGGACATCCCAAACAGTGGCAAGTGGTGCCTTTGTTCTGAGTTCTTTAAGGGGTTCGGGTCATTAGAAGGCTTCTCTAGATTTTTTTTTGGCAGCAAAGATGGGGAAGGGGAAGGGGAAGTAGGAGTAAGGTGGAAGAAAAGACAAGGAAGCAAAGACAGAAACCACGTGCATGGTTTTGTTTTGTTTTTCCTTTTTGCTGCTGCAAGGAATTTTAGCCAATTCGGAGGCCTTGTTCCCCATAATTGGAATTCTCATTCAGATTTGGCCAAGTCGGTTAGAGTTGGAGCTCGTCAAACCTGATGGGAGAAAGACCAGAACAACAACAAAAACCCAACAATATGATTACTGAGTGCTCCAATGGTAAGGTGAAATTAAGACCAGCTGATTGTTAATTGTAACTTTAGCCGAATGAAAGCCCAGTTCAGCTACTTACCTAGGAATGGGTCTCAGGTTGAAGACTGCTCTCTACTATGCTACAAGCAGGAAAAAACTCAAACTCCAGAAAGGAGTTAGCTGCCTTCCATCATTATGGAAGCAGGAAAACTTGCCTTCCTTGTTGGAGCAAGTAAAACTTCAGAAAAAGGAGTTGTACAACAAAATAAACTTTAGATCTTGACCAAATTTTGGGAGATCAGGGATTCTCTGGTGTGGGGCCTCCCAGGCCTCAGCCAATTATCCTCTTGGTTTGAGAGTAAAGATAGATCAAGCTGGTACCAAGCACCAGTAGGCGATTTGTCAAAGGTCAGGGGCACTTGCACTCAGAAGACCTTTCAGGTTGCCAAATGTAAACCCAAAATATTTGAGATAGGTTTCAGTGAATTTAGAAAGTTTATTTTGCTGGGGTTAAGGATGCAGCCACGACATAGCCTCAGGACGTCCTGATGACATGTGCCCAGGGTGGTCAGGGTACAGCTTGCTTTTATACAATTTAGGGAGACATAATACATCAATCAATATATGTAAGATTTACATTGGTTTAATGTGGAAGGGTCAGACAACTCGAAGTGGGGGCTTCCAGGTCATAGGCAGATTTAAAGACATTCTCATTGGCAGTTGGTTGAAAGTCACTGTCGGTAGAAAGGAATGTCTGGGTTAAGACAAGGGATTGTGGAGACCAAGGTTTTATGCTGCAGATTAAACTTCCAGGTAGCGGGTTTTAGAGAAAATAGATTGTAAATGTTTCTTATCAGACTTAAAGTCTGCATTAATGTTGATGCTAGAGGGGTGTGATGAGGCATGTCCTACCTCCACTTCCCTTCATGGCCTGAACCAGTCTTCCTGGTTAAATTTTAGAATGCCCTGGCCAAGGAAGGAGTGTATTCAGATGGTTGTGGGAGCCTTTGAATTTTTATTTTTGTTTTACACAGATATAACTTAAGAGAAGGTTAAGCATCACTTCTACAATGTTTCCCATGCAATTTAACATGTCAAATAAACCTAATTAAAAAAAATTAATCAGAGAGAAGTTCAGGAAAACCTAGTTATTTTTAACATCTCTCTTTTTAAAAGTTGAAAAAACAAACCCTTTGAGACTTTCAAGGGGCCCTCTGGAAAAATCTCAGTTTGAGATCAAGATTTTATTTAGGATTTGATTTTGAGAAGGCAAAATGTCAAAAGGTTCGAATGTTTGATTAAATAGGGTCCCAGGTCACTTTTTTAAAAGAAGACTTGGTTCTCTTAAATAAGGATATGATAAAGCACTGGAAATTATTCCAATAAGACACAGAATCTTTGTTTCCTAGGCAGATTACTTAAAAAGTAAAGAAAAATCTTTTACACAGTCTCTCATGAAGAGCAGACTAGTAGTCCAAGAAATTTAGTCCCTTGAGAGAGAAAATTGAACTCTAGTTTTACTACACTATTACTATTTACTACACTATTACTAGTTTTACTACACTATACATCAGTACACTATTGATATTAAAGCTTATTTTAAAACCTCGTAAATAAACCCATTCAGTCTTAGCCAGCTCGACCATATAAAATACTAGTTTTTTTCTCTTGTTTTTTTCTTCCACATTTCCTTTACAACTTCATATATTCCTTCAGGTTTTTGTCCTTTTCTCTTTCTCATTCTGGAACAACCTTTCAACAACCTCTTAAACAACTACAAAAACATATTTTGCATTCCTTGGATACTTTTCATACAGAGTTGTCTCCCTTCATGCTTATTGCTTCTAGTAGTTTTGTTTACGTATATAAATTATTTTTAACAATTAATCTTTATTTTACAGGGAAATCTAGGAAGTAGACAGTCGTGAATTGTCTGTCACATACCAGCATTTTTTTAGCAGATTAGTAAATTTTATGAATATAGCATCTCACATGTTCTAGAAATATAAACTTCTTCATAATAAAACTTCTCAATGTTGTCAAAAGTAGATGTTTACTAAGAGACCCAAATATCTTTAGTTTCTCTATAAAAATAAGTACTAAAAGCATATATAATTTAAACTTATGTTTAGTAACTGTTTCAGTATTTTATTTTACTTAGAACAATCTATATATTTAATGAATACCTGTCACTTAGTATAACTTAAGGTTTCAAATTACCAAACAGATTTTGGAAATGACTTTTTTTTTATTTTTTAAACAGCCTTTGAGCAAATAATTTTTTCTTTTAAAAAAATTTGTACTTTTAGGCCAGGCGCGGTGGCTTATGCCTGTAATCCCAGCACTTTGGGAGGCTGAGGTGGGCGGATCGCCTGATGGTCAGGAGTTTGAGACCAGCCTGGCCAACATGGTGAAACCCTGTCTCTACTAAAAATAAAAAATTAGCCTGGTGTGGTGGCGGGCGCCTGTAATCCCAGCTACTCGGGAGGCTGAGGCAGGAGAATTGCTTAAACCCAAGAGGCAGAGGTTGCAATGAGCCAAGATCGCGCCACTGCACTCCAGCATGGGCGACAGAGCGAGATTTGTCTCAAAAAACAACAAACAAAAAAAATTTTTTTTTGTACTTTTTTTTTTTTTTTTTGGAGAAGTGGGGTACTGTATGTTGCCCAGGCTGTTCTCAAAATTCCACCCTCAGGCAATCCTCCCGCCTCAGCCTCCTGAGGTAGCTGGGCTTATAGGCATGCACCAGGGCCTGTCTTATTTCTACTTTTAAGACTTATGAAACACAATTGTTGAAATAGTTTGTCAGAACAGAGACTCAATTTGATTAAAATCACATCTGTAAATTTATGATCTTAAACATCTAATAAATATATTAGCTTATTTTATCAGTAAGCCCAATAAATAAAATATGTAAATATAAATACAAATAAAATATCAATAAAGTATACATATAAAATAAATGTCTGCATTATACTTAATTTGGAAAACTCTGAAGACATTGAAGACATATCTTTTAATAAATCAACAATATTATTTTTGTTGTGTTTTTGTCACCTAGGCTGGAGTACAGTGGTGCAATCACCGCTTACTGCAGCCTTGACCTCCTGGGCTCAAGCAACCCTCCCACCTTTGCCTCCCAAGTAGCTGGGACTACAAGTGTGCACCATAACCTAGCTAATAAATCAACAATATTAAACTATTTTTTTCTTTTTTCTATGTCCTGCAGGCATTAACTCCAAAAACACATACATTTAAAAAATATTTAAGTTAGTTTTCTATATTTTTGAGAGTTTCGGGACTACTTAATTTATGTAAGTGCTTATTTTCTCTAAGCCCATTATTTAGAATGGAGCTCTTTTATTAATTGGGTAATACCATCTGGAGGTAGGAAAATATCACATGTGCATAATATATATACACATATACAGACAAAAGCAGAGAATATTATGACTTTCACTCTAAAAATTTAGTCTTTAGTCAGGCATAAATACAGTGATACAGAATTCACTAGTTTAAATATAAGAGTCTGTTCTTGTCTTTGCCTCACTTTATTTTTTTATCTGAAATATTTTTCTAGTGGATAGAACAAATTGCTCAATATGAGGGCTAAAACTTTTTACCAATATTTGCAGAGGAGACTTTTAAGACTTTGTTTTGTCTTGTTGTATTTATGGAGGATGTAGACTAAATTCTGTTCCCATTTATCATTTTTAGCCCCAGGTGGTTGCTTTCAAGGTCCCTGAGTCCCCTTCAAGATCTCCCTAGGGAAGGAGCAGAATGCCTAAAATTCCAGTGACTACAGGGACTTGAGGAGGTGGAGTCTGAAGGGATGGGTCTCAGAGGAGCCAGCTTGGGAGATATTTAGGTTTTCTCACAGAAGCCATTGAAGTGCTGGGCACGGTGTCTTTGCACCTATAATTCCAGTTACTCAGGAGGTGGAGGCAGGAGGATCACTTGAGTCCAAACCCAGAAGTTCGAGACCAGCCTGGGCAGCATAGCAAGACCCTGTCTCTTAAAGCAAAAATTTAAAAATGAAGCCATTGAAGTTCTAAATTATGCTTAGTAAAGTTATGCCAATAAGAAAGGAAGGGAAAGAGCTAGTGCTGCCGTGGCAGAGCATATAGTCAGCAGGGTTTTGACAAGGAAGGGTTTCAGTTGACTGAGAAATTCCCATGAGAAGAGCAGGGTGAAGTGTAGAGAACCGAGAAGCCTTGAAACAAAGAGCCAGGGAGAACTTCTAGCCTAAGAGGAGTACAGAGAGGCTCAAAACCAAAACTGGGAAGAAGAGTTCCAGCCCAACGAGTTCCTTCCAAACAAAGAAGCCTTAGATTCTAACCCAGCTTCAGAGAGCACAGTCATTCAAAATGTGACTGAAATAATAAGCCTTTTTATTTATGGCTTACCCATGGATGCAATAGGTGTTCCCAAAAAGTGTGTAGAAGATGGAGCCTCTGTTCCAAAGTCACTCCCAAAGATATCCAAAGAGAGAAGAAATAAAAATCTTTTTTGCTGCAGGCAATGAGAATAGTGTTTGTCAATTCCAGATCAAGGCAGATTCAGTTAAAATAAAAAAAAGAATGATGTTTGTGAAAACTTGTGTCCGTGGCCTCCAACAAAAGTGAGATACTTTTGACACTGGGTAGGTGATGCTGAAATGGGATTCCTCAGTACTAGCAAGGCGGCAAGGAAAGAGATGACGCAGGCCCTTATGGACTGAGATCTTTTATTTAGACAGACTCCCTTGAGAGCTGGCATGGTCCTTAGGAAAGTATCTCAGGCCCCCAGGCCACTGGCTGCCTGCCTGCAGACATAGACCCACTGGCAGGTAGAAAACCAATAACGAGAATGCAGTCACTGGATTCAAGCCAAGGTCTCAGGACACAAAATGAAACAAACAGGACACTATGGCTATCCCTGAGAAGGAAAGGATCTATTATAAGAGTACTTGAACCAAGAGTGACAGTACCCGAAGAACTAGTTCCTAAAGTGTTTCCTCCTATAAATCTAGATTTTGGAAAATCCCTTTTAGAAAAGGAAAGCAGAAGCTCTTAACATGCTTACTCAGCTGGACCCCGAGATTTAGGGTCTGACAGGTAATATGTTTATTTTCACTGGCTGGGTCATAGGTCCTGGGATTTCAGTTGCAGTTTCCAGAACAAGCAGGAAATCCCAGCCATCCCAACCTCACTGACAAATCTGTTGGGAGGAAAACTTTCCCTCCTCCAACCTGGGTTTAGTTGTTGGGGACCTGCACATTATCCGATAATAGGCAGGTTGATAGGAGAAAAGACAGGGTTTATTTATGTGTGTCATGGGAGTGCTCAGTGATGAGTAATTCACTCAATAGTCAGAGATAAAAGGTTTATACAGTAGTTCCCCCTAATCCCCTATGGATTAATATGGGATTCCTCTATGTTCCAAGACCCCAGTGGATGATCAAAACCATTGATAGTACTGAACCCTGGCCAAGGAATGCTAAGGTCACTTTTTCGCTTAAAGGAAGCACTTTATGGCTTCTCTTTGGCATATCCAAGTTGCCAGCATCGCTATTTTTGTGCTTTGGGAACATAACTAAGTAAAACAAAGGTTACTTTAACACAGGCACTGTGACACTGAAATAATTGACCTGATAACTGAGAAGGCTACTAAGTGACCTTGGGCAGCATATACAGCGTGGATACCCAGAACAAAGGAAGGATTCATGTCCAGGTCAGGAAGGAGTGGGAGGGTGCAAGACTTCATCACACTACTCAGATTGGCGCACAAGTTAAAACTTGTGAATTCTTTCTGGAATTCTCCAATTAATATTTTCAGTTCTTCACTGACCATGGGAAACTGAAATCAGGGAAAGCCAAACTGCAGATAAGGAGGAACTATTGTTTACCAACTTAAAATGGAGGAGAGGGGTTTAGGGCTTCAATTGGAAGGTGTAGATGGTTCTGTTGGCCTTTTTGCTGCCAATGGCAATGGGCAGACTCTCTATGGCAGCTGAATTCCAGGAAACTCCCACGGAGAGAGGGTTAATGACAGCTGGGCTTTCCAGAGGGAAGTTGGATAAGGGAAGTTCAGGTAATATGTCTTTCTGCGGCTGGGCACAGTGGCTTATATCTGTAATCCCAGCACTTCGGGAGGTGGAGGCGGGTGGATAGGTTGAGGCCAGGAGTTCAAGACCAGCCTGGCAAATGTGGCGAAACTTTGTCTCTACTAAAAATACAAAAATTAGGCATGGTGGCGCGTGCCTGTAGTCCTAGCTACTTGGGAGGCTGAGGTACGAGAATCACTTGAACCTGGGAGATAGAGATTGCAGTGAGCCGACATCGTGCCACAGCACTCCAGCCTCGGTAACAGAACGAGACTCTGTCTCAAAAAAAAAAAAAAAAATCTTTCTGCATCTTCAGTTCAAATTACTTTTATTTTAAAATAATCTTTATTCCAACTCTGTGGATCTAAGTAGGTGCCCTAATATTGAAATCTTTCTAAAATATATTAAAACTCTTACCTGGGACTTTCATTATTTTAACAGCTTTATTGCTGTATAATGGGGATATAGTAAACTGCACATATTTAAAGCATATAATTTGATAAAGGGACATATGAATGTATCCACGAAACTATCAACATGATATTCAACATGATAGCGAACATATCTATCACTCCCAAAAATTTCTCCAGTGTCCCTTTAAAAATTTCGCCCTTGATTCTCCCCAAACCATCCCTGTCAGGAAACCAGTGATCTTTTTGTCACTGTAGATTTGTTTACATATTCTAGAGTTTTATATAAATGGAATCATACAATACTCTTTTTTTGTCTAGCTACCTTCACTCAGCATAATTATTCTTGAGATTCATTCATGTTTCTTGTATCAATAGTTCATTCCTTTTTATTGCTGAGCATTAGTCCATTGTATGATATAATAAGGCTGGTATGACCATTTGCATATGTTTGTGAAACTGCCATGGCAAAATTGTGACGGTAAAAGAAGTTTGACATGGCTGACTCTGTCTTGGTTCTAACCTCAAAGCTATCTTTGCTCATTCCTGGGTATAGGCCAAGCTCATGATGGGAAGAATTTAGTTTATAGTTTAACCTGAAAGCAAGGATAATATTCCTTTCCTAAAACTTAACCCCTTCCTTGTTCAGGGACCGAAAACCACTTTTGTCAGACTAATGAAAGGCCACAAGATTAGGATTATGTGAGGGGTCTGAATTCTGCTAAAATATAGGCATAGTTTTTATAATCCTTTCCTGCTCAGGAGTCCTGTGGCCAGAGGTGACAGGATTTGTGACTTTCCCAAGTGCTCCTGTAGATGACATCACTAATGTAGAACCTAAGATTGGTCTTTTGAGATTTTTTTCAAACTTTCTGGCAACCGACTGATCCCCACCCAGAACCATGACTCTTGACTCAGCTGGTCCTGTGGCCCCACCCAGAGGCAGACTCAGCCCATAAGGAATGTTTTCCATACATATATGATTTCATCCTTAACCAGTCAGCAGCACTCATTCTCCAGCCCCCTGCCCATCAAATTTTCCAGGAAAACTCTGCCTAGCTTCTGAGTTCTTGGAGAGACTGATTTAAGTGATAACTCCAGTTTCCCTGTGTTGCTGGCCATGTATTAATTAAATTCTTTCTTTACTGGACTGCTGCAATCTCAGTGAATTGATTTTGTCTGTGCAGTGGGCAGGAAGGACCCACTGGGCGATTATGTTTCTATGGATGTATGCTTTCAGTTTTCTTAGGTAAATACCTAGGAGTGAAATGGTTGAACATAATGGAAAGTGTATGTTCAACTTTTAAAGAAACTGATAAACTGCAGGAGTGATGGTGATAACTGCACCATTTTGTGCTCCTACTAACAGTTCATAATAGTTTCAGTTCTTTGACCTCCTTGCCAACACTTGAAAAATATTGAGGTTAGTTTCTTTTTTTTGAGACGGAGTCTTGTTGTGTTGCCTAGGCTGGAGTGCAGTGGCATGATCTCAGCTCACTGAAACCTCCACCTCCTGAGTTTAAGTGATTCTCCTGCCTCAGCCTCCTGAGTAGCTGGGATTACAGGGGTGTGCCACCATGCCTAGCTAAGTTTTGTATTTTTAGTGGTGACGGGGTTTCACCTTGTGGGCCAGGCTGATCTCGAACTCCTGACCTCAGGTAATCTGCCAGCCTCGGCCTCCCAACGTGCTGCTGGGATTACAGGTGTGAGCCACCATACCCAGCCTAGTTTTTATATTTCTGAGAGTTTTAGGATTATTTATGTAAGTATTTCTTTTTCTTTTCTTTTTTTTTTTTTTTGAGACTGAGTCTCATTCTGTTGCCCAGGCTGGAGTGCAGTGGCGCAATCTCAGCTCACTGCAACCTCCACCTCCTGGGTTCAAGCAATACTCCTGCCTCAGCCTCACGAGTAGCTGGGACTACAGATGCACGCCACCATGCCACCTAATTTCTTTTGTATTTTAGTAGAGACAGGGTTTCACCATGTTCCCCAGGCTGGTCTTGAACACCTGAGCTCAGTCAATCTGCCCACCTCGGCTTCCCAAAGTGCTAGGATTACAGGTGTGAGCCACTGTGCCTGGCTGCATTTATTTTTCTTTGAGCTATTTAGAATAGAGCTCTTATTAATTGGTTAATACCATTTGGAGGTAGGAAAATACCACATATACATACTCTCTATACATACAAACCATTCAATAATTCTAATAGATGTGTAGTAGTACCTCATAGTTTTAAAATAATTTTTAATTTTTAATTTTTGTGGGTTACGTAGTAGGTGTATCATTATAGTTTTAATTTGCATTTCTCTAGCAACCTGAAATAATCAAAATCCACTTTAAAGAGTCTATTCAGGCCGGGTGCGGTGGCTCATGCCTGTAATCCCAGCACTTTGGGAGGCTAAGGTGGGCGAATAACAGGGTCAGGAGTTCGAGACCAGCCTGGCCAACATCGTGAAACCCCATCTCTACTAAAAATAAAAAAATTAGCTGGCAGATACCTGTAATCTCAGCTACTTGGGAGGCTGAGGCAGGAGAATCACTTGAACCCGGGAGGCAGAGGTTGCAATGAGCCGAGATTGCGCCACTGTACTCCACCCTGGGCGACAGAGTGAGACTCTGTCTCAAAAAAAAGAGAGTTTATTTAAGTGAAAAACTGGGAATAGCCATCCAGGAGACTCCAGAGAAATGGAGTCATTGCTCTGAAATAAGTTTTTGCTTATATAGGCAGAAAAGAAAGAAGTTTGGTAGGAGTATAACATTTTGTATACAAGGCTGGTTTATGAGTTATAGCAGATCAATTAGTTACATTTTGCATTTTTCCCTCCCATGGCTTGTTTTGTTTTCTTTATAGCTGGTTTTCATTTTCTTTCCAATTTAAAAGAATGTATTTAACATTCTGTCTTATTGTGATAGTCATGAAGTCTTTGTGTGAGAAAGGTAAGAGGGAAGTTAATCTATAATGAAGATTAACAGTGAAGAGAGGAGTCTTCCCTGGCATCTTTTAGTCATTTGCAACATTTTATAAAACTGTAGGTAAAGATAAAGGATAGTATTACTCTAGAGGGCAGGCTAAACCATTATGCTTCACTCTCTCTCTCTCTCTTTTTTTTTTTTGAGACAAAGTCTCGCTCTCTTGCCCAGGCTAGAGTGCAATGGCACGATCTTGGCTCATTGCAGCCTCCACCTTCCAGGTTAAAGCAATTCTCCTACCTCAGCCTCCTAAGTAGCTGGGATTACAAGGGTGGGATTACAATAGTTTTTCTATTTTTAGTAGAGACGGGGTTTCACCGTGTTGCCCAGGCTGGTCTCAAACTCCTGACCTCAAGCGATCCACCCGCCTCGGCCTTCCAAAGTGCTGGGATTACAGGCGTGAGCCACCATGCCCAGCCTGATAAAGGATAGTATAATCAAAGAAATAGGTTTGCAGCTGCCTAGGTTATAGCTACTTGTCATGTGACTTAAGCCCTATAAATCACGAGTTTAAGGCTCAAAATAATTTGGCGTTCCAACAGCTAAGATTTTGAATTACTTATTTCCACATCTCTAATGACTGAGTTCTGTTTATGTGCTTATTAATCATTCCCATATTTCTTTGGTGAAATGTCTATTTAAATGTTTTGCTGCTGGGTGTGGTGGCTCATGTCTGTAATCCCAGCACTTCGGAAGGCTGAGGCAGGAGGATTGCTAGAGCTGAGGTTGAGGATTGCCAGAAGTTCCTCTCTCTCTTTCTCTCTCTCTCTCTCTCTCTCTCTGTCTCTCTCGATGGATCCTCCCACCCCAGCCTCCCTGGTACCTAGTAGCTGGTACTAGAGGCATGTGCCACTGTACCTAGCTTGTCTTTGCATTTTTTAACTTCTTTTCTTTTGAACTGCGTAAGTTTTCAGTTTTGATGAAGCTCAGTTTATTAGTTTGTCCTTTTATTGGTTGTGCTTTCGGTGTTGTATCTAATAATTCTTTGCTAACCAAAGCTTTCAAAGAGTTCTCTTCTGTTTGTTTTTTTCTATAAGCTTTACAATTTTAGCTTTTACTTTTTGTCTTTGATTCATTTTGAGTTTGTGTGTGTGTGAATTACAATTTTAATGCATTCTCAATAGGGACAAGAATTGATATTTTTTTTGAGATGGAGTTTTGCTCTTGTCACCTGGGCTGGAGTGTGACGGCACGACCTCGGCTCACTGCAACCTCCGCCTCCTGGGTTCAAGTGATTCTCCTGCCTCAGCCTCCCTAGTAGCTGGGATTACAGGCGCCCACCACCACGCCAGGCTAATTTTTTGTATTTTTAGTAAAGACGGGGTTTCACCGTGTTAGCCAGGCTGGTCTTGAACTCCTGACCTCAGGTGATCTGCCCGCCTTGGCCTCCCAAAGTGCTGGGATCACAGGCATGAGCCACCATGCCTGGCCTGATTCTTAGGGAATGAAAGAATATTACTGTTTTTACATATAAAGCACGGGTATATGTAGCACATAAACAGATACACAGTTTATCTGTGGTATTACCGTTTCATGAGGGAAGGCACAATTAGGTTGAAAATGTCTAGAAAGGTTCCTTAGGGGTGCAACAATGAAAAGTTGAGAAACAAGGTCTAATTTATACTCTGAATGTTGGTACACAATTGTCCCAGTCCCATTTGTCCAAGAGACTATCCTTTCTCCCATTGAATTGCCTTATCAGCTTTGTTGAAAATCAGTTGGTTGTTTATTTCTGGACTGTGAATTCTGTTCCACAGATCTGTATCAGACAACTTGGTTATAATATCACATATAGTAGATAGAATAATTGTTCAGATGCATTAAATGTTAGCACCTCAAAATTAATTCCTTGTAAAATTTTTTTTTTTTTTGGAGATGGAGTCTCGCTCTGTTGCCCAGGCTGGAGTGCAGTGGCGTGATCTTGACTCACTGCAACCTCTGCCTCCCAGGTTCAAGCAATTTTCCTGCCTCAGCCTTGAGAGTAGCTGGGATTACAGGTGCGCACCACCACGCCTGGCTAATTTTTTGTATTTTTGGTAGAGATGGGGTTTCACCATGTTGGCCAGGCTGGTCTCAAACTCCTGACCTCGTGATCCGTCCATCTTGGCCTCCCAAAGTGCTGGGATTACAGGCATGAGCCACTGTGTTCAGCCCCATGTAACTTTTACTTGAAAGAAAGCGCATAGTTTTTTTTGTTTGTTTGTTTTGTTTTTTGCGATGGGGTCTCGCTCTGTCGCCAGGCTGGTATGCAGTGGTGCGATATCAGCTCACTGCAACCTTTGCCTCCCGAGTTCAAGCAATTTCCCTGCCTCAGCCTCCCAAGTAGCTGGGACCACAGATGCATGCCACCATGCCCAGCTAACTTTTTGTGTTTTAGTAGAGATGGGGTTTCACCAGGTTGGCCAGGATGGTCTCGAACTCCTGACCTCAAGTGATCCACCCGCCTCGGCCTCCCAAAGTGCTGGGATTATAGGCGTGAGCCACCACGCCCGGCAAGAAGGTGCATAGTTTTAATTGAAGGAAGATGGATGCGTGTGTGTGTGTGTGTGTGTGTGTGTGTGTGTGTAAAATCTTTTTAAGAGATGTGGTCTCGCTTGTTGCCCAAGAATGCAGTGGGGTGTTTATAGCTCACTGCAGCCTTGAACTCCCACCTCAGCCTTCTGAGTAGCAGGGATTACAGGTGTAGGTTTATAACCTGCTTCATAGGAGATTTTGGGGGTGGTTTGTGAGAGTGGTCTTTCTGCTTCTGTTTTCTAAAATGCCTAGATGACATATTTTGGGGTAGCACTTCCTGTACCCCATCAATTCCATGAAACTATATAGCTTTATAACTGTAAAATATTGCCATCTAATTTGAATAAAGTCCTATCTTTTCCATATAAGGATAGAATTTTCAGTCTTTTTTGTGACTGTGGTTTTCTGTTTTTTGCCAAAGATGCTTAACTCAGTTTTTGGATTGACCCCATTGCTGGTTAAGTTGGAATCTGCAGAAATTAACGTTAGCCGTAAAGTCTTTGTCTCCTTTTTTTCATTACAAAAAAAATTATGTGGCAATAGTCTATAAAATCTTTGTCTTAAAGACAAATCAACAAGAGGAAACTTATAAAGAAAGGAAAAGGACATGCCACCCGCTGGTGTTTTACTGAGTTTCTTTGACGTAAAAACACAAGCAAACTATTCTTTTTATTTTAGGAATTTGAGTTTATTGTTAAATCCATTCTCTAATAAACCAAACTCTTTTCTTCATTCCTGTTAAGAGTTGTAAATAAAGATTTGCAAAGCATTATTTGCCCTTGGAAAAGCAGAGAACTACTCATGGAATAACCCTAAGTGAGGGAAAGAGGAAAAAAAAATGTTTCTTGAGTGCCTACAGTGTGCTTAGTACTATTGCATGCTTTAGAATATTTTCTTATTTGAATCTTGTGACTGTCATTTAAGATTAGTATTATTAGCTGCTTTTGAAAACGGATGAAATGAAGGCTCATTTTAAGTTCAGGGGTACATGTGCAGGTTTGTTATATAGGTAAACTTGTGTCATGGGGGTTTGTTATACAGATTATTTCATCACCCAGGTATTAAGCCTAGTACCTTTTAGTTATTTTTCCTGATCCTCTTTCTCCTCCCACTCTCTACCCTCTGACAGGCCCCAGCATGCGTTGTTCCTTTCTTTGTGTCCACAAACCCCGTTTTCTGTATTGTGGTTTCTTTCTTTCCTTTTTTTTTTTTTTGAGATGAAGTTTTGCTCTTGTTGCCCAGGCTGGAGTGCAGGGGCGCGATCTCAGCTCACCACAACCTCTGCCTCCTGGGTTCAAGCTATTCTCCTGCCTCAGCCTCCCGAGTAGCTGGGATTACAGGCATGTGCCATCACGTCTGGCTAATTTTTGAATTTTTAGTAGAGACAAAGTTTCACCGTATTGGCCAGGCTGCTCTTGAACTCCTGACCTCAAATGATCCACCCGCCTTGGCCTCCCAAAGTGCTGGGATTACAGATGTGAGGTACCTTGCCTGGCCACAAATGTTTATTTTTATTTAATACACAGTCATAATGTATGAATTATCTGATTTTTGTACTCACATGTAGACAATTCTACCATAGATTTTCTGGGAACAGACCTTATTTTCATTATCCTGCTGTCAGAATGTGTTAGATCATAAATGTTTGGTTTTATAAATTTATATATTTTTATGTTTCTATAGTTTTAGTAGTTTTTTTAGAGAAAACTTTTTTCATAGTATTTATTTATAATGACTTTAATATTGTATAGTCATACCATATTGTTTAGTAGACAGTTGGATTGTTTCTAGACTTTCTTGTTGATAGTACTTCAGTTCGTGCTTTTGTACAGTTTTTGCATCTGTTGAGTTATTTATTCGGGCCTTTTCTCAGAGGTGGGGTTATTAGATTAAAGGCCGCGAACACTGATTTTATTTTGTCATGTTGCTTTCCATGCAGATTTTTTACTTTATACTTAACTCATTGTACTAGTTTTACTGCTCTTAGTTAGCATTGTTTGTTTATTTTTGCTCATTTAGTTATAAATAGTGACTTAAGAGTGTTTACATCTCCTTTTGTTTTATTACTGTTTACGATGGTTTCACCATGTGCTTATTATTTGTACATTCTCTCATGTGAATTGTCTTTTCGTATCATTTGCGTATGTATGCATGGAAATCTTGATATGTTATATAAAAATAATGATATTAGCCTTTTTTCAGTAACTTGTAAAGATTATCAGGAAAGGAAATAATGCTAGGACAAGGAAAGGAAGGTCCATGTTCAATGGAAACCTTAATAGTATATATAGCTATGAATACTGGAGAAAGAAAATTTTTATTTTTAGGAAATAATACGTGAGTAACAGGAATAAAAGGGGAGGCACTTAATATTTATTGAAACCCTAGTTAGTTTTAAACCTTAGGGCAGGCATTTTATAAATGTAATTTTATTTAATTTTTATAAGACTACTAGCTAGATATTTCCCCATTTTACAGATAAGTAAACTGAGACAGAAAAATTAAGCAACTTTTCCAAAGACACACATCTTGTTCATAAAAGCTCTATTACTGAATTGGCTAATTGCTTCATGGCTGTGACATATTACCCATAATCCACATATTTTGAATCTGGAAACTCATGTCCTTTAATTATGTTGGGAATGAAGTTTTTGGTGTTGCAAAAAAAGAATTAACGCCGTGACAAATGATCTCTCAGCAAGGTGAGCTTTACTTTTTGCAGAAAGGGTGCTACTCAAAGCTGTCCAGCCACGAGAGCACACCAAACAAAGGAGCCAGTTATTTATAACCTGACACGTCTACCCTACTGCTGTGTCCAGTTTCCATTGGCTGGAATAGGACCTCACATTTTACACTTTACCCGATTGGCTGTTAGTTTAAAACTTTTTTAATTGGGTAAGGGGAACAGAACAAAGAAAAGGAAGTTGCCCAGGGATAGTTAAGGAAGCTTCTCCAAATAAGGAATGGCATGGACTATGGACTGGGGCTTGTCTAGTTTTGTCCAGGCGTGCCAGAGCAAGCTAGGACAGCTGATTTGGAATATATGTGTGTGTGTGTGTGTGTGTACACACACACTGTAATAGTGGATAGCAATCTTATAGTAAGAAATTGTGACTTTTTATAATCTTTGAAGAAGAACTTTCCCATTTCTCACAATCCCTTCTCTTTTTACTTTATACTTCTTCTTCAAATTTGTTTAGCATGTTTTGACTTTGTTGTTTGGCCTGATCCTCTGGAAGGAGCAGTCTTTCTGAATACAGTGGCGGGGGAGTTGGGGATAGATTAGTAAGGGTAGTACTGACGAGTTTCTGCACTAACCTTCGAGTACAAGGTATAATACACCAACAAGAAGGAGTATACTTAATACAGTAGCTAAGGAGGTGAGAACTGAAGCGATAGTTTCCTTTCATCTGCCAAACTAACTCTTTTACCAGTTTGAAATGGGGTTACTAATGTCAGAATTTTTAGCTAATTCATCTGATAGGGCAGTAAGTCCTTGTAGAGCTTGGGTTATGCTCCCATTGGGGGCAGTGTTATTTGGAATAAATGTACAGCACTGGGTTTTAATCATTACACAGACACCTCCCTTTTTAGCTAACATCATGTCTAGGGCTTTCCTATTTTCCCAAGCCATTTGACTGGTAGACCCTAATTGCTCTGCAATTCCTTTCTTTCCCCCTCGGGAGGTAACCTTCCTCCCGTGCCTTTCCCTTCTGGAGGTTCTTTGCACTCGTTCAGCCCCGCTGCCAGAAGTAGACCACCAAGGAAGTAGTTTGTCACCCTTTGCAACATTTCCTACCTTGGCCCTCGGGCGAGGTTACCTGGTTGAGGCCCCTGATATCTGCGGCTTGGTAAGCCACTCCTTCTTTTTGGCGTTACTGAGAGTCCAGATAGATTGCTCGCACCAGGTGTGTCCTGGCTCTCTTCTCCCGGGGGCTGCCGCAAAGGGCAGTGGGGCGCCTCCCCACGAGGGAGGGCAAGAGACTGCCCTAGAGGGGAAAGGGAGCCCCACGTTGGAGCACCAAATTGTTGGAAATGAAGTTTTTGGTGTTGCCTAAAAAAGGAATTAATGTGGGAACAAATGATCTCTCAGCAAGGTGAGCTTTACTTTCTGCAGAAAAGGTGCTACTCAGTAGCTGTCCAGCCACCAAACAAAGGAGACAGAGTTATTTATAACCTGACACATCTACCCTGCTGCTGTGTCCAGTTTCCATTGGCTGGAATAGGACCTCACATTTTACACTTTACCTGATTGGCTGTTAGTTTAAAACTTTTTAAATTGGGCAAGGGGAACACAACAAAGAAAGAAAAGGAAGATGCCCAGGGATAGTTAAGGAAACATCTCCAAATACGGAATGGCATGGACTGTGGGCTGGGGCTTGTCTAGCTCTGTCCAGGCGTGCCAGAGCAAGCTAGGACAGCTGATTTGGAATATATATATACTAATAGTGGATAGCAATCTTATGGTAAAAAATTGTGACTTTTTATAATCTTTGAAAAAGAAGTTTCCCATTTCTCACAATTCTGAGAAATCTTTTTGTATAATTTATTGGATAATTTCCTCTATACCATATTTTTCCCTCTTCTAATTTTGAAACTCCTGTTATTCATGGTTGGACCTTCTTGCTTGATTTCTTTAATTTTCTTCCTTTTTTTCTTTTCTTCAATTTTTATCTTTTTGCCTTTTTGGCTATCATTATAGAAATTTTCTCAACTACCCTGCTGTGTTAATTTTTCATTTCTGCTATTTTATTTCCAGATATTAATTTCTCATTTGTCTTTAATGTTCCTTTAAACAAGTAGGGAGTTGGTACTTGTTATGTAGGTGGTCTCTTGTTTATTTCTGATAATGATAATTATAGGTCATATTTTGAATTTTAAAAAACTCCCTGAATTGTTTGTTCCTGTAAATTTCTATTTTTTTCTATTTATTTTGTTCTCTTTCACATTGGAGTTTTCTTCAAATATTTAATGCTTCTTTACTGTTATTTATATTTAAGAGTGATACACGAAGAGGTTGATTAGAGGCCTTGTGAGTATGGGCATAGCTGAAGGCCTACTGAACTTAGTCATATGATGCTGGGGTATATACCTTACAGTCAGTATCTGTTAAGTTTATTTTCCTGGTCGGATTGCTCCTCAGAGAGGAATTTTCCACTACTTCTGCTTGGAAGTCCTGCTGCCAGTGTTCTTGGAGCCTGTTGTATAATAAAGAATGTGGTTGGCCTTTGCCCCTGGTTCCTAGGACAGAGGCTTTAAATCCTGGAATTTCTTCCGTGATAGGAGTGTCTTTATTTTTGACACTAGGCCCCTCAGATCATACTTTATAGTTTTTGCCAACCAGGTGACTGATAGTGAGCCCCTAGATAGTTTATGCTAATGAATGACACAGGATGGGGATTGGTAACTCCAGAAAGACTGTGATTAAGGAGTTGGGGCTTTCACCCATGCAGTATCACCCTGACCTCCGGGGAGGATAAGGTGGGGCTGGAGATTGAGTTAAATCATGTGACCAGTTATTCAATCATTCATACCTACGTAATGCAGCCCCAGTAAGATCTCTGGACACTGAAGTTTGGGTGAGTTTCCCTGGTGAACAGTACTCTGTGGGAACCCCTGAATCCCTGGTGAACAGTACTCTGTGTATATTGTTATTGCACCTGTGTGATAGGTGGGTGATTTGTCCTGACTCCACAAGGAAAGGCTGCAGAAGCTTCACATTTGGGCCCCTCCCAGACCTTACCCCAGGTGTCTCTTATTTTCACTGGTCTTGATTTATGTCCTTTTTGCTATAATCAAACTATAATTGGGCCGGGTGTGGTAGCTCATGCCTGTGATCCCAGCACTTTGGGAGGCCAAGGCAGGTGGATTACTTGAGGTCAGGAATTTAAGACCAGCCTGGCCAACATGGTGAAACCCCATCTCTACTAAAAATACAAAATTAGCTGGGTGTGGTGGCACGCACCTATAATCTCAGCTACTCGGGAGGCTGAGGCAGGAGAATCACTTGAACCCAGGAGGCGGAGGTTACAGTGAGCCGAGATCATGCCACTGTGCTCTAGCCTGGGTGACAGAGTGAGACCCTGTCTCAAAAAAAAAAATATATATATATATATTATATACACACACACACACACACACACACACACACATATATACATATATACACACACACACACACATATATATTTGTAAGTATAGGACTTTCCTGAGTTCTATGTGTTGTTCCACCAAATTATTGAACCTGAGGGGGTAGTGGGAACCCCTGAATTTATAGCCAGTTTTTTGTTTTGTTTTGTTTTTTTGAGATGGAGTCTCACTCTGTTGTCCAGGCTGGAGTGCAATGACACCATCTCGGCTCACTGCAACCTGGGCCACCCCGGTTCAAACAATTCTCCTGTCTCAGCCTCCTGAGTGGTGCACACCACCATGCTCGGCTAATTTTTGTATTTTTAGTAGAGATGGGGTTTCACCATGTTGGTCAGGCTGGTCTTGAACTCCTGACCTCAGGTGATCTGCCCGCCTCGGCCTCCCAAAGTGCTAGGATTACAGGCGTGAGCCACCATGCCCAGCCTGGCCAGTTGTTTAGAAGTGAAGGTGGCTTGGGAACCCTCAAGCTTGTGATTAGTGTCAGAAATGGTATCCTCTTTTAGAAGGATAGTACCCTTAACTTGTAAAGTTAGGCCTAAGTCTTGGTAGTTTGTATCAGAATTGCCTTGCAGAGTCAAAGGAGAAAAGAGGCCTGGGCACCGTGCCGTCAGCATGTAGAATTGCACTTTACCTACCAGTTTTCAGAATAAGTCTCTTTCTCTCAGTTGTGCCTGAGATCCTTGAGTCCAGACCCCTCTGCTTCACTCTCCAGAATGGAAAACTACAGTCTTCCACCAGGGTTGGTGATGGGATGGTGGCTGGGCCAAGTAAGCCGATTTTCAACCTCTTCTTCGGTTTCCAACCTGTTTTCCAAAATCCAACAGATTTTTGATCTGTTTCCCTACTTTCAGTCGGAAGTAGATAGTGTTTCCCATTTCTTATTTCTCTGGAGTTATCCAGTGGGAATTGCTTGCTTCTTAGCTGCCATAGCAATCATATCACTTAAATGTTGCAAGAATTTGTTACTCTTTTCTGTTCTTTCTCTCATCTCATTCCCTATATTTTCTTTTTTCTTTTTTGAGACAGGGTCTTGCTCTGTTGCCTAGGCTGGAGTGCAATGGTGTGATCATGGCTCACTGCAGTCTTGATCTCTTGGGCTCTAGCAGTCCTCCCATCTCATACTCTCTAGTAACTGGGACTACAGGCATGGAGCCACCATGCCTAGCTAATTTTTTATAGAGATGTGGTTTCACCATGTTGCCCAGGCTAGTCTCAAATGCCTGGGCTTAAGCAATCCGCCCCATTTGGCCTCCCAAAGTGCTGGGATTATAGGCGTGAGGCACTACACCCTGGTCTTATATTTTTCATTTTTGTGTTTGTAATAAAGAATTGAGGCTGGGCGTGGTGGCTAACGCCTGTAATCCCAGCACTTTGGGAGGCCGAGGTGGGCAGATCACGAGGTTAGGAGTTCAAGACCAGCCTGACCAACATGGTGAAACCCCGTCTCTACTAAAAATACACCCCGGTCTTATATTTTTCATTTTTGTGTTTGTGATAAAGAATTGAGGCTGGGCATGGTGGCTCAGGCCTGTAATCCCAGCTACTCAGGAGGCTGAGGCAGGAGAATCGCTTGAACCTGGGAGGTGAAGGTTGCAGTAAGCTGGGATCATGCCACTGCACTCTAGCCTGGCCAACATGGTGAAACCCTGTCTCTAGTAATACAAAAATTAGCCAGGCATGGTGCTGCATGCCTGTAGTCCCAGCTGCTTGGGAGACTGAGGCGGAAGAATCGCTTGGACCTGGGAGGCGGAGGTTGCAGTGAGCCGAGATCGTGCCACTGTACTCCAGCCTGGGCAACAGAGCAAGACTCCGTCTCAAAAAAAATTAAAAAAAAAGAATTGAGGGATTGAGCACTTTTTCTGTACCCTTTGTTACCTGACTTTTATGTTTTTAGCTAGTTGACTTTAGAGTGTTTAAGATCTACATAAATATTCTGTTGATATTTAGAATAGCAGGTGGCTGAGTGCTATTCATTTTGCTATAGATGAGTTATAATTAAAAATTTTGAAATTACTGTGATCAGGTTTTAATATGGAAGCATAAACATGGAAATAAAATTTTATGTAAAATTTTTCTGAAATATTTTTTAATTTTGTAATTTCAAGATGGCAATTTCTGATAAAATATGTTATTTATTGGAGGAGACTGTTTGGATTAACAGTGTGATCTGTCTGCTAGGCCCAGATACCAAATAGGACCTTCAGAAAAACCAGAGCTAAAACTACTTCAAAAGAGAAAGTCGTAGATGTCATCTGTAGGCCTCCCACTAGACTGTAAGCACAGTAAGAGTGGGTATCCTCAGCATGGTATAGGGCTTTTTGGACACTTAGTAAAAATTCGGTGATCACGACCAACTCTTTCTAATCTGTATGAAATCTTGTACATGACCCAGAAAAACCTTAAGCAGTTAGAGTTAGGGATAAAGGTTTACAAATGTACCAGAGTGGTTACTAAATGTGCAAAAATGGTTGCTGCCAGGGGTTGAGTTATCAAGGGCAAAATAAATCTCAGGAGCAGGATTTGGAGCCTTAAAGTCCAGCTACCCTTCTCACATGGAGATTCTCCCTCAGTTGCCTTGTTTTAAGTTAATATTTTGTTAGTTCTTCGCTTTTAAGGAAAAAACTTTTTAAAGGATTTTCAGACGTACACAAAAGTATTACTGATATTGAAGTATCAAGGCTTGGTTTCATTAATGATGCAAGTTGATTCTATAAAGCTGCCTTGAATATGCTGTGAAGTTGGCTAGGTTTATAGCTAAGCATACCTCCTAGTATGCATGATTCAAATTTATGTCTGAGCACAGTCATTTTCTATACATCAGAGCTGTTCCCAATTGCTTGAGACTGTTTTGAAATTGTGAATGTTCAATCTTCAGTTGTCATAGGTGTTCTGTTACATGCTATGGATGTATTTAACCAGAGTCCACACCAAATCTAATACACTGTGTACTCTTTTTTTTCCCATTTCCACCTATCGCCAGATTTGGGGCTTGGTTTACTGTTAAACTGCCTGCCCCTCATAGGCCATTACAGCATTCAGTAAACTGGAAATTTCCTTGCATGATGATTATTACATAGTAGGTGTACATGAAGTCATTGAGCTTTGGAAGCCATCCAGAGGTGTTCTGGGTGAGTCTGTCCTTGGCCAGATTTTACTTACGAAACCAAATAAATTTCTTTTTTTTAAAATATGTAAATTTGTTAAATTAGCATGCAGAATATGGCAGTAATACCCAATTGAAACACTAGTTGGTTGTATATTAAATCTAATAATAGGAAATATGAATTTGCCTTTAAAATGTATTTCATTTCACTTCTATTTTTAGCTGTGCCAAATGAAACAAAGTTGGACTTCATGTATAAAGGCTCTAGTAATGTCCTAGGTCATCAGATAAATAGAAGCCTTATTATTTTATCACAGGTGGCAAAAAGAGGACTAATTACACAGACTTGTGAGAAATGAAGTTGCCTATCTACTCCATAACTCTTCTTTTGGCTACAGTTTCCTTCTCTTGGTATTTTCAAATTGTTAAATTGAAAATTGTTAAATGTAAGTTGGGAAATTAAAAGATTTAATTGTTAAATGTAAGTTGGGAAATTAAAAGTCTGTGTAATTAGTCCTGTTTTTGCCACCTGTGATAAAATAATAAGGCTTCTATTTATCTAAGAAGACCCGGGCATACACAACAGTGGTTTTTAAAAATTTACCGTCAACTTGAAGTATTTTCCTTTCTCTTCCATGAAGAGCAGTAACATTTTTTCTCTTTTCTTATTTTTAGTAACTTTTATCTTCCTGACTTCCATAGCCAGCATCTTATTTTCTTCTTGGTGTCCTTTTTCCCTTATCAAATGTAACCAGGATCTTTATTATAGTGGAAATGGGGCCAGTTGATGAAGTCTAATATGAAACGAATATTTTAACTTTCAAATGCAGAAGAGCTAAGTTGCAAAGATAGCAGAACTGTCCAATCTGTCTACCTTCACAGCAGTGCTTCTTACATTTAAGAAGCAGTCTGTTGAGGACCAGTTTTGTTTTTTAAAAAAATGTTCAATTCCTCACCAAAAATACATAAAAACATACAATCCGATTATTTTATTAGGTTAATTGACATAAAAATAGTCATTTTTCCATGAAAGTTTCTAAATATTTACTTTCAGTTTGTATAATTACCTCATGGTGGACTGGTAGTGAAGTTTGTGGTCTGGCACTGATATGTAGACCATACTTTGGGTAGCATTGCTCTAGATTTTCTAGCAAATCAGGAAAGCCAAGGATGTTGAGCTCTTGTTTACATAACCAGATTGAAAGCTCTTCAAAAGCAGGTCCATATGCTGTTCATCTTATTTGAAGGATTGGGACAGGGCCTGATACATAGTAGGCAGGTGGTGAAAACTATAACTTAGGCCACAGACTATAAGCTGATAATAAGTGGGATCATAAAGCTGAATGGGCTAGTACAAATTCTGCGAGTATTCCAAAATATGAATTGTGAAATATTAATAGTAATTTAGGAGGGTTTCCATATCAGAGTATCATCTTTTTCTTTGCTTTAAAAAATGTCTGATAAAGTGTATTCAGTCCTGAATGTCAATTGAGAACTGGCTCTCATCACTGGCTTTCATAATAATGTTAAACATTTTGCTCTATTTTAAGAAAATAGGCTGGGTGTGGTGGCTCATGCCTATAATCCCAGCACTTTGGAAGGCCAAGGCTGGCAGATCATCTGAGGTCAGGAGTTCGAGACCAGCCTGGCCAACACAATGAAACCCTATCTCTACTAAAAATACAAAAATTAGCCGGGCGTGGTGGCGTGTGCCTGTAATCCCAGCTACTTGGGAGGCTGAGGCAGGAGAACTGCTTGAACCCAGGAGGCAGAGGTTGCAGTGAGCCAAGATTGTGCCACTGCACTCCTGCCTGGGTGACACAGTGAGACTCCCTCTCAGAAAAAAAAAAGAAAACAAAAGCCGCTTGGTGCCAAACATAGTCTATAGGGGAAAATAAAATTTAAGAGATTTAGTAAGGTTGAACCATTTGAAATTAGCATACTTGTGAGTCCAAAACAGTTGAATACTGTTGTATTTATATGGCTCAACCTACAGATATAGCAATATGGAATGTAATTACTTGGGGGCACATGCAGCTCATATAGCAAATTCTCTTTGCTTAATTTTAGGGAAATTGAAGCCCAGAGAATACATTTGAAACAGTAAAACCATACTATAATTAATTGTACAGTAAATCACATTTCACAAATTTACTGAAGGTGAAAAGAAAGGACAAAATCAGTTTGCTTTTCTTTTTGGACTATATCTACTTAGAGTTTTGGACCATTTTCCTTTTCTTGATGGAGGGGAGGGAGGGAGGGTATCACTCTGTTGCTGGGCTGGAGTCCCATGGTATAATTTTGGCTCACTGCAGCCTTGGCCTTCTGGGCTCAAGTGATCCTCCTACCTCAGCCTTTCCAGTAGTTGTCACCACAGGTGCATGCCACCATGCCTGGCTCATTTTTTGTATTTTTTATATAGTTGAGATTTCTCCATGTTGCCCAGGCTGGTTTCAAATTCCTGAGCTCAAGCAGTCCATTTGCCTCTGCTTCACAAAGTGCTGGGATTACAGGCATGAACCACCGTGCCTGGCCTCAGTTTTTACTTAAAATAATGGCATAAACAATTTGAGATTTGATTCTCAGTAACGAAACCAGTTTCAAGGGAAATCTTTATTTAGTCTTTTTTTTTTTTTTTTTTTAAAGACAGGATCTTGCTGTGTTGCCCAGGATAGAGTGCAATGGGTATTCATAGGCACAATCATGGCACACCGTGGCCTTGAACTCCTGGGCTCAAGTGATTCTCCTGCCTCAGCCTCCTGAGCAGCTGGGACTACAGGTGCACACCACCACATCTGGCTTTTATATGTAGGTTTTTTTTGTTTGTTTGTTTTCAAACAAGAAAATGTTTAAGAGCTTTATAAAATACTTATTTACCTAAACTCTTTTGGACAGTTTCACTTGCTTTAGATCATTATGTAATTTTTATTCTGCAGGCTATAGAAATACAAGTTTTTTTGACGTGGCATTTGATCTTTAATTATATAAATTTATATTTTTCGAGGAAGAAATTCTGATGGCATAAATCAGGATTAAAAAAACATTCTCTTTAAGACTCATTACTAACAATAGTCACCAGAGGCAAATTGCTTTTACTTTCTCAAGGTCTTAATTTAATTGTGCTTTCAACTTGGCAGTGTTGTATATTTTATAAGCTCCACTAAAGAACACATCTACACATTATGACATAGCACGTTCTTGGAAACTTGACAGAACTGTTGACAAGTACAGATTTGTTTTTGGTTACTGTGAGTATTTTTTGTGGTAATTGAACTGTTGTTAGTTCTTGGTAGCTTTATGTGCTTGTCAGTCTGTTTTCTTCATAAGTGATGATTAATTTAAATCTGTGTGATGTGTTCCAGTTCACTTACTTGATGGAAATTGGAGAAGTGCATAGCTTTCTGATATTCTTAATTACTGGTTCCCATTAAGTGACTGGAGAAGCAAATATTTATGTCTCAGGTATTGTAGTATTGAATTTCCAGTCATTCTTTCTTCCTGGCTATAACTTAGTCACTGAAGAAATAACTATCCTTTATTCAAACAACTTCCTTGGTACAATCCAGCAATATGTTTTTTTTCTTGCAATATTAAAAACCTCCGATGTAAGTGGAAAAAGAGTTATTTCCAAGCAGAATGAGAATAATCATAGCGCTGGGCACAGTGGCTCACACCTGTAATCCCAGCACTCTGGGAGGCCAAGGTAGGTGGATCACCTGAGGTCAGGAGTTCGAGACCAGCCTGGCCAATATGATGAAACCCCATCTCTAGTAAAAATACAAAAAATTAGCTGGGTGTGGTGGTGGGCGCGTGTAATCTTAGCTACTTGGGAGACTGAGGCAGGGGAATCGCTTGAACCTGGGAGGTGGAGGTCTCAGTGAGCTGAGATCACACCGCTGCATTCCATCCAGCCTGGGCAACAAGAGGGAAACTCCACCTCAAAAAAAAAAAAAAAGAATAATGATAAATATATTATTTGTGGATAAGAGTTTTCTGCATTTTAAAAAATTATTAAAAAGGATATACAGTTGTCCCTTGGTGTCCATGGGGAATTAGTTCTAGGATCTCGAAAATCCTCAGATGCTCAAGTCTCTGATATAAAATAGTGTGGTATTTGCATATAACCAAAATACACTCTCCCATATACTTTAAATAATCTCTAGATTACTTATAATACGTAAAACAACAAATGCTACATAAGTACTTGTTATACTGTATTGTTTAGGGAATAATGATAAAAAAAAGTTTGGTACATGTTTATTATAGACACAGATTTTTATTTTGAATATTTGGCCCTCAGATGGTTGAATTCCTAGATGTGGAATTCACAGATGCAGAGGGCCAACTGTATATGACTTACTAGAAATACCATGATAAAGAATATTTCCTATGATTAATTTTTTTTCTTTCTTGGAAAAATTGGATTACTTAAACTCCAGGTTGTCTTGTATTTGGATCAATAAGATATTCTAGAAGTTATTTCCTTGACAATATTTTATCTAGTTTGTTAAAAAAGAGTTGCAAGTTATTAGGCTGCATTAATTTATCTGTTATATTTGGTCATAGAATTCATGTCCCCAGTATTTGTTTTTTTTGTTTGTCTGTTTCTGACAGGGTCCCTGTTGCCCAGGCTTCAGTACAGTGGTGCGATCACTGCTCACTGTGGCCCCCTGTCTCCTGGGCTCAAGCAATCCTTCCACCTCAGCCTCCGGAGTAGCTGGGACTACAAGCATGTGCCGCCATGCCCGGCTAATTTTTGCATTTTTTGTAAAGACAGAGTTTTGCTATATTGTTGTTAGGGATAGCGCTCAAAATCCTAAGGAAATTGAACACTCGAACAAAGGATTTTTAGCAAAACAATTTTACTTCTGCGCAGAGGGGTGCCTCCTTGGCTGGTTGCCGTGAGAGCACACCTGAATAAAGGGGCGTGAGAGCCTTTATTCCTGATGCAAGTCCTGCCCCTGCACCCTTTCCTCATTTGCTACGGTTGGGTTGTACAATCTAAACTAATCCCGGTTGGCTAAACGTTTGATTTTTTAAGATAAGATGGGCACGTAAAAGAAAGTGGAGAGGAATGGGAAGGGTGTCTGTAATGAGCTAGAAAGTTAGTCCTCTTTCCAAATAAGGAAAGGAATGTGAGCTGGTACTGATAATGCCTGGTACTGTGGCGTGCCTGGGCATCTAACAAAGGCAAAAAGGAAAAAAGAGAAAAAGGAGAAAAAAGGTGTGTGTGTGGGGTACTATGAATTAAAGAATAAAAGATTAATCAGATTATTTGAAGAGAAGCCTCATGATATCCCACAGTTGTCCAGGCTAGTCTTGAACTCCTGGGCTCAAGTGATCCTTTTGCCTTGGCCTCCCAAAGTGCTGGGATTACAGGCATGTGTCACTGTGCTCAGCTCCCTGCATTTATTCTTGATCTTAAGAATCAAGGTTTTTCAAAATAAGCTAAATTTATTATATTAGATTAGCAAGTTTTCTTTACTTTTTTGACATGGAGTAAAATTGGAGAGAGAGGCCAGGAGCGGTGGCTCATGCCTGTAATCCCAGCACTTTGGTTGGCCAAGCAGGGAGGATTGCTTGAGTCCAGGAGTTCGAGACCAGCCTTGGCAATATAGTGAGACTTCATCTCTACAGAAAATTTTAAAAATTTAGCCAAGTGTGGTGGCACATGTCTTTAGTTCCAGCTGCTCAGGAGGCTAAGGTAAGAAGATTGCTTGAGCCCGGGAGGCAGAGGTGGTGAACAGAGATTGTGCCACTGCACGCCAGCCTGGGTGACAGAACAAGACTCTGTTTAAAAAAACAAACAAAAAAACTGGTGAGATAAATAATTCTAAGGTTATAATAACTGTAGACATAGTTTAAACAAATCTCATTATCTAAGTAGAAAATTCTCATTAAAGAAAATTTGGGGAATGATGAAAAATGAAGAAAATAAAAATGATCTCTAATTATACTGCTGCTATTATTTTTCTTTCCCTTTTTGTGTGGAGGTGGGAAACAAGACTCAGATCACTTTTGCTTGTTTTAATATATTATAGACCTGTACAAAATAATTTCAAATAATTTATGTAGATACTTTGCCTCCAAGGAGGTGTCGCATAACTCTCTATTCTTATGGGTGAGTTGTGTGTAATGACTTCCTTCTAAGAAGTAGGGTATGGAAAGGGGAAAAAAGCAATTTTACAGCAGAGAAACCTGACAGGCACTACCTCAGCCAGGTGATCAAGATTAACATTAACAACCACAAGCCATGTTGATAGCACATACCCTTGATATGGTGGGATGAGAATGGCACTTTATCTCTGCGTTCTTTCTCCCCAAAACACATAACCTTTGTCTAACCAGGAGGCAAACATCAGGCAAATCTCAACTGAGGGACCTTCTACAAAATACCTGGTCAGCACTCCTCAAAACTGTCATGAATTAGGTGCTTATCAATCTCATGCATAATGTCACATATTTGTTATGTATGTGTTTTTAGTATTTTTCATCTTATAAAATTTCTGTTTTGTTTGTTTGTTTTTTAGTAGAGACTGGGTTTCAGCAAGTTGGCCAGGCTGGTCCCAAACTCCTAACCTCAAGTGATCCGCCCGCTTCGGCCACCCAAAGTGTTGGGATTACAGGTGTGAGCCTCCGCACCTGGCCCTTATAAAATTTCATATAAGTAGTATACTTATATGAAATACTACTTTATATATTTGTCTGCAATTTGCTTTTTTTGTTATTATTGTTCAATTTTGGTGTTTGTGCTTTATCCATGCTGATAGATACAGTTCTGATTTGTTTACCATATTCTAGTCCATTGTTTGGCTGTCACTATTCACTTTTTTATTTCAGACATTTGGGTTAATTCTAATTTGTTGCTGTTATCAACATTGCTGCAATAACCATTTTTGTACAGGAACTCCTAGTCCCTAGGTACAAGGGTTCCTGTAAGGTTTTTACGTTGCAGAGGAGTTGCTTTGGTCTAAAATACATAAATCTTAAATTTTTATAGATAATGCCAAAATTTCATAGATAATCTCCAAAATGTTACATTTCCAACAACAGTATTTGAGAGATGCTGGTGAGGATGTGGAGAAACTGTATTCACTATCGTGGGGCATTTTATTTTTGCCAGTATAATGGAAGGGAAATGGTATTAATTGTCATTGTCTTGATTATTAGGTTGAACTAATAAATATTTTCGCTTATTTATCATTTGGGTTTCCTCCTCTGTGAATTGTCTGTTCATATTTTTGGTCAGGTTTTTATGTTGTTTTTCAGTTTGAAGGAGTCGTTATATATTTTTCATACTGCTATTTTGTTAGTAGTATGCTTTGCATGTCAGTAGTATGTCAGTATGTAATAGTACGTAGTATGTCAGTAGTATTTTGCTTTTCAAAATCTCAGTCTTTGATCTGAATTTAAAGAATAGTATTTTTTTGTGTAAGAGGTTATTTTTATCTTTTGCTATTTAAAAAATCAAGTGCCATTTGTATATGATAGTACTTAAGTCTTCAGTTTGAATTCTAAAAATGTGTATACCTATATAATCCACACACCTGTCATCCCATCATCCTATCAACACCCCTGAAAATTCCCTTGTGCCTCTTCCTAGTCAACCCCACCACTGCCTCAAGTAAGTACTCTTCTGATTTCTGTTCTCATAGATTAGTTTCACTTGCTCTAGAACATCATATAATGGGGCTGGGCGCGATGGCTCACGCCAGTAATCCCAGCACTTGGGAGGCTGAGGTGGGCAGATCACTTGAGGTCAGGAGTTTGAGACCAGCCTGGCAAACATGGTGAAACCCTGTCTCTACTAAAAATGCAAAAATTAACCTGGTGTGGTGGCATGCCTTTGTAATCCCAGCTACTCAGGAGTCCAAGGCACGAGAATCGCTTGAACCTGGGAGACAGAGGTTGCACTGAGCTGCTGCACTCCAGCCTGGGCAACAGAGTGAGACTGTCTAAGAAAAAAGAAGTTTATATGATGGAATTATACAGTAAATAATCTGTATCTATTTTCATTTAGCATTGTATCTATGAAATTCATGCATGTTTTATCTATTAATATTTTTTTTGGCCGGGCTCGGTGGCTCACGCCTGTAATCCCAGCACTTTTGGAGGCTGAGGCAGGTGGATCACTAGGTCAGGAGTTCAAGACCAGCCTAGGCAAAGATGGTGAAACCCCATCTCTACTAAAAATACAAAAATTAGCTGGGCATGGTGGCAGGCGCCTGTAATCCCAGCTACTCAGGAGGCTGAGGCAGAGAATTGCTTGAACCTGGGAGGCAGAGGTTGCAGCAAGCTGAGATCGTGCCACTGCACTCCAGCCTGGGCGACAGAGCGAGACTCCATCTCAAAAAAAAAAAAAAAAAAAAGTTTGTTTTAAATAGGATATTTTTTAGAGCAATTTTAGGTTTATAGAAAAAACTGAAGGGAAAATACAGAGAGCTCCCATAAACCCTCTCACCTTCCTCCCCCTTGCAGTTTCCCCTATTAATATCTTGCATTGATGTGGTAGATTAATTGCAATTGATGACCCAATATTGATGTTATTATTAATTAAAGTCCATTGTTTACATTAGCGTTCACTCTGCTTCAGCTATTTATCTTTCTCTCCCTCCTCCTTCCTGAACCCCTGGCAATCACTGATCTCTTTACCGTCTTCACAGTTTTACCTTTTTTAGATTGTCATCTAGGTGGAATCATACAATATATAGCCTTTTTAGAATGGCTTCTTTCACTGAATTATATGTATTTAAGATTCTTTCCTGGCCTTTCATGGCTCGATAGCTCATTTCTTTCTTTTTTTTTTTTTTTTTTTTTTGTATTTTAATTATTTGACTCTAATTTTCCTCTTTGGGAACTCTTAGATAAGCTCATTTCTTTTTAGTACTAAATAATATTTCTTTGTCTAGATATACTCCGGTTTTATTTATCTGTTCACCTACTGAAGGACATTTTGGTTGCTTCTAACTTTTGGCAATTATGAATAAAACTGCTATAAAAAACCACATACGTGTTTTTGTGTGGATGTAATTTTTCAATTCATTTGGGGAGGTATCAAGGAGAGTGATTGCTGGATTTTATGCATATGGCAAGAGTATGTTTAGTTTCTTAAGAAACTGCCAAAGTTTTATCCAAAGTGGCTATTCCATTTTCCACTCCCACCAGCAGTGGATGAGAGTTCCAGTTGTTCCACATTTTTGTCAACATTTGGTGTTGCTTTTTCTGCATCTATTGATAGAATTATATGATTTTTTTATATGATCTTTCTGTAAATTTCTTTATAAGCACTGCTTTTGATGCATTTTACAATTTAGGTTGTATTTTCATTAAAATATTTCATTAAAACATTTAAATTATTTCACTAAAATATTTAAAAATTTCTCTAGACTTCTTCTTTGACCTTTATATTATTTTAAAATGTGTTGTTTAATCTCCAAGTATTGTGGGGTTTTTCAGCCATCTTTCTGTTTTTGATTTCTAGTTTAATTTCATTGAGGTCTAAGAGCATACTTCGTATAATTTCTATTCTTTTACAATTGTTAAGTTGTGTTTTATGGCCCAGAATGTGGTCTGTCTTGGTCGTTGTTCCATGTGAGTTTGAGAAGAATGCATCTTCTGCTACTGTTGGATGAAGTATTTTGTAAATATGAATTAGATCCAGGTGATTAGTAGTGGTGTTCATTTCAGCTGTGTTCTGCCTACTGGATCTGTCAGTTACTGATAGAAGGGTATTGAATTCTCCAACTATAAAAGTGGATTTGTCAATTTTACTTTGCAGTTCTATCGGTTTTTGCGTCTCATATGTTTTATACCAGTTAAAATGCATACTAGGGTAGCTTTAAAAAAAAGGAAAATCAGTCAGTTAATAGAGTAACTAAAAAAAAAAAAAGAAAAAAATACATACTGTCAGAGTGAATCAAAAGACAAATACCCAACTAACTATATGTTGTCTATAAAAAACCCATTTTAAATACAAAGAACATAAATATAAAAAAGATAAAGATACACCATGCTGACACTAACCAAGTGAAAGTGGGAGTAGCTACATTAATTTCAGACTGAACAGACTTCAGAGCAAGAAAAGTTATTAGGGATCAAAGAAGAGTATTACACAATGATAAAGAGGTCAGTTCTCCAAAAAAACATGTCTTTAATGTGTATATTCTTAACAATAAGCATCAAAATATCTGAGGAAAAAACTGATAGAACTGCAAGGAGAAATAGATGAATCCACTATTTATAGTTGAAGTCTTCAGCACTCCTATCAGTAATGGACAAATGTAGCAGGCAAAAAATCACCAAGGATATAGCTGAAGTGAACAGGATCATTAATCAACTAAATCTAAGTAACATTTATGTACTACTACAGTGGGAGAAAAAGGGAGAGATGAAGAGGTGGAACACAGAATTTTTAGTAGTAAACCATAATATAAACTATAGACTTTGGTAGATAATGATATGTCATTATTGGTTCATGCATTGTAACAAATGTACCACAGTGATGTGGGATTTTTTTTTTTTTTTGAGACGGAGTCTCACTCTGTTGTCCAGGCTGGGGTACAGTGGTGTGGTCTCGGCTCACTGGAACCTCTGCCTCCTAGGTTGAAGCAATTCTTCTGCCTCAGCCTCCGGAGTAGCTGGGATTACAGGTGCGTACCACCACCAGCTAATTTTTTGTATTTGTAGAGATGGGGTTTCACCATGTTGGCCAGGCTGGTCTCGAACTCCTGACCTCGTGATCTGCCCACCTCGGCCTCCCAAAGTGCTGGGATTACAGGCATGAGCCACCATGCCTGGCCATGATGTGGGATATTAATGGTGGGGTAAGCTTTGTTTGTGTGGGAGGGTCTTCTGGAACTCTGTAGTTTTAAGCTCAATTTTGTTATGAATCTAAAACTGCTGTAAAAAATAAAGTTTGCTTTTTTTTTTTTTTTTTTTTTTGAGACAGTTTCACTCTTGTTGCCCAGGCTGGAGTGCAGTGGCACGATCTCGGCTCACTGCAACCTCCGCCTCCTGGGTTCAAGCAATTCTCCTGCCTCAGCCTCCTGAGTAGCTGGGATTACAGGCATGTGCCACAGCACCTGGCTAATTTTGTATTTTTAGCATAGATGGGGTTTCTTCATGTTGGTTAGGCTGGTCTCGAACTCCCAACCTCAGGTGATGTGCCCGCCTCGGCCTCCCAAAGTGCTGGGATTACAGGCATGAGCTGCCGCGCCTGGCCAGTCTGCTAATTTTTAAAAATGCATTTGGAACCCAATTGTTTCTAAAGGTATTCTATGGTTTCTTTTTTGTAGAAGTATTTCCATTAGATCTGTATTATTGATGTATTACTACTAGGTAAAAATATAGAATTGTTTTGCTCTGATATTAAAGTTGACATTGGGCCCAGTGTGGTGGCTCATGCCTGTAATCCCAGCACTTTGGGAGGCCGAGACAGGCCGATCACTTGAGGCCCACAGTTTGAGACCAGCCTGGCCCATGTGGTGAAACCCCATCTCTACTAAAAATACAAAAATTAGCCCAGGGGGTGGTGGTGTGTGCCTGTAATCCCGGCTACTAAGGAGGCTGAGGCTCAAGAGTTGCTTGAACCTGGGAGGCAGAGGTTGCAGTGAGCCGAGATAGTGCTGCTGCACTCCAGTCTGGGCAACACAGGGAGATTCTGTCTGAAAAAAAAAAAAAAGTTGACATTGAGCCAGGCATGGTGGATCATTCCATATAGTCCCAGAGCTTTGAGAGGCTGACGCAGGAGGATCACTTGAGGCCAGGAGTTTGAGACCAGCCTGTGAAACATAGTGAAACCCCACCTCTAAAAAAATAAAGTTGACATTATTTGAAAGTATATTTATTGCTAGATGCCATTTATCCACGTTTGTTTGTTGTAATCACCAAGCCTTGTTTTGAAATACTACTCTAATAAACTAAAAGCTTAGTGGAAAAAGCTATGTTTTACCTACCAAAGAGTATCAGGAACTGACTTTCTGTGGTTTATTTTTAGTGCCAACTTTAAATACTCTTCAAGCAGCAAGAATAAATTAATGGTTGTACAAATGTGAAATTTTAGGGGACTTATTTGGGACTAAAAGACAGGCTTTGGGGTTGATTAATATCAAGGTTTTTTCCTTCAAATATTGAGCTCCCAATTTCAGTTACTTAATTAGCAATTTACTAAAAAATGGTATCATTATCTTGAGGTTCATTCTATTTATTTATTTTAAAATAACAGTCATTTTGCTCTTGAATCTGAACTGTAGGCAGTGCTAAGAGGAAAAGTTCCTCTCCTTAAGGTGTTTGCTTGACTAGGGGCTGAAGGATCTACTTCTAACATGTCTCATTCATCTGACTGGCAGTTTAATGCTTGCTATTGACTGGGAGCTCAGCCAAGACTGAGGGGTGAAGGACAGAGTTCTTTTGACATGGTTCTTCATAAGCTGTTTTTAGCACAGTGCCTAGGTTCTAAGAGAGACAAAGGGGAAGTTGTCAGTTTCCTAAGACTTGAGCCAGAAAATTGGCATAGCATCACTTCTGCTATAATTTTTTAAAATGTGGATGGATATTTTGATATAGGCATTCAATGTCTAATAATCATATCAGGGGAAATGGGATATCCATCACCTCAAGTATTTATCCTTTGTGTTAGAAACAATCAATTACACTCTTTTAGTTACTGTAAAATATACAATTAAATTATTACTGACTATAGCCACCCTGTCATGCTATCAAGTACTACGTCTTATTTATTCTTTCTATATTTTTGTACCCATTAGTGATCCCCACTTCCACTGCCCCCACCTCCCACTATCCTTCCCAGCCTCTGGTAACCATCTGTCTACCCTCTTTCTCCCTGAGTTCAATTGTTTTAATTTCTAGCTCCCACAAGTAAGTGAGAATAGGCCAGAATGTAATCCCAGCACTTTGGGAGGCTGAGGCGGGTGGATCACGAGGTCAGGGGTTCGAGATCAGCCTGTCCAACATGGTGAAACCCCGTCTCTACTAAAAATACAAAAATTAGCCAGGCATGGTGGCAGGTACCTGTAACCCCAGCTACTCAGGAGGCTGAGGCAGGAGAATCACTTGAACCTGGGAGGCAGAGATTGCAGTGAGCCGAGATCACGCCACTGCACTCTAGCCTGGGCAACAGAGCAAGACTCCATCTCAAAAAAACAAACTAAAAATAGAGCTAGCATATAATTCAGCAATCCCACTGCTAGGTATATTCCCAAAAGAAACAAAATCAGGATATCGAAGAGATATCTGCACTCCCATGTGAGCCACCGCGCCCGGCCTATTTTTAGTTTTTTGAGGAACTCCAAACTGTTTTCCATAGTGGTTGTACTAATTTACCTTCCCACCAACAGTGTACAAGGGTTCCCTTTTCTCTGTATCCTCACCAGAATTTGTTATTGCCTGTCTTTTGGATATAAGTCATTTTTTTTTTTTTATTATACTCTAAGTTTTAGGGTACATGTGCACATTGTGCAGGTTAGTTACATATGTATACATGTGCCATGCTGGTGCGCTGCACCCACTAATGTGTCATCTAGCATTAGGTATATCTCCCAATGCTATCCCTCCCCCCTCCCCCGACCCCACCACAGTCCCCAGAGTGTGATATTCCCCTTCCTGTGTCCATGTGATCTCATTGTTCAATTCCCACCTATGAGTGAGAATATGCGGTGTTTGGTTTTTTGTTCTTGCGATAGTTTACTGAGAATGATGGTTTCCAATTTCATCCATGTCCCTACAAAGGATATGAACTCATCATTTTTTATGGCTGCATAGTATTCCATGGTGTATATGTGCCACATTTTCTTAATCCAGTCTATCATTGTTGGACATTTGGGTTGGTTCCAAGTCTTTGCTATTGTGAATAGTGCCGCAATAAACATACGTGTGCATGTGTCTTTATAGCAGCATGATTTATACTCATTTGGGTATATACCCAGTAATGGGATGGCTGGGTCAAATGGTATTTCTAGTTCTAGATCCCTGAGGAATCGCCACACTGACTTCCACAATGGTTGAACTAGTTTACAGTCCCACCAACAGTGTAAAAGTGTTCCTATTTCTCCACATCCTCTCCAGCACCTGTTGTTTCCTGACTTTTTAATGATTGCCATTCTAACTGGTGTGAGATGATATCTCATAGTGGTTTTGATTTGCATTTCTCTGATGGCCAGTGATGATGAGCATTTCTTCATGTGTTTTTTAGCTGCATAAATGTCTTCTTTTGAGAAGTGTCTGTTCATGTCCTTCGCCCACTTTTTGATGGGGTTGTTTGTTTTTTTGTTGTAAATTTGTTTGAGTTCATTGTAGATTCTGGATATTAGCCCTTTGTCAGATGAGTAGGTTGCGAAAATTTTCTCCCATGTTGTAGGTTGCCTGTTCACTCTGATGGTAGTTTCTTTTGCTGTGCAGAAGCTCTTTAGTTTAATTAGATCCCATTTGTCAATTTTGTCTTCTGTTGCCATTGCTTTTGGTGTTTTGGACATGAAGTCCTTGCCCACGCCTATGGATATAAGTCATTTTAACTGGGGTAGGATGATGTCTCACTATAGTTTTGATTTGCATTTCTTTGATGATCAATGATGTTGAGCATCTTTTCATGTATGTTTGCCTTTTTTATTTCTTTTTTTGAGAAATGTCTGTTCAGCTTTTTTTGCCCATTTTAAAATTGGGTTATTAGATTTGTCCTGTAGAGTTGTTTGAGCCCCTTTTATCCTGGTTATTAATCTCTTGTCAGATGGATAGTTTACAAATATTTTCTCCCATTCTGTGGATTGTCTCTTCCCTTTGTTGATGGCTTCCTTTGCTGTGCAGAAGCCTTTTAACTTAATGTGATCCCATTTGTCCACTTTTGCTTTGGTTACCTGTACTTGTGGGGTATTTACTCAAGGAATCTTTGCCCAGTCCAATGGCCTGAAGAGTTTCCCCAATGTTTTCTTGTAGTTTCATAGTTTGAGGTCCTAGATTTAAGTCTCTCATCCATTTTGATTTGATTTTTGTACATGGCGAGAGATAGGGGTCTAGTTTCAGATCTTCTGCATGTTGATATCCAGTTTGCCTAGCACCACTTATTGAAGAGACTGTCTTTTCTCTGTTTTGGCACTTTTGTCGAAAATGAGTTCACTGTACATGGATGGATTTGTTTCTGGGTTCTCTATTCTGTTCCACTGGTCTGTGTGTCTGTTTTTATGCCAGTACCATGTTGTTTTGGTTACTGTATTAGTCCATTTTCACACTGCTGATAAAGACATACCCGAGACTGGAAAGAGAAAGAGGTTTTAATGAACTTACAGTTCCACGTGGCTGGGGAGGCCTCACAGTCATGGCGGAAGGTGAAAGGCACATCTCACATGAAGGTAGACAAGAGAAGAATGAGAGCTTGTGCAGGGAAACTCCTTTATAAAACCATCAGATCTTATGAGATGTATTCACTATTACGAGAACAGCATGGGAAAGACTTGCCCCCATGATTCAATTACCTGCCACTGGGTCCCTCCCACAACCCATGGGAATTCAAGATGAGATTTGGATGGGGACACAGCCAAACCATATCAGTTACTATAGCTCTGTAGTATAATTTGAAGTCAGGTAATGTGATTCCACCAGTTTTGTTCTTTTTGCTCAGGATAGCTTTGGCGATTCTGGGTCTTTTATGGTTCATTATACATTTTAGGATTGTTTTTCTGTTTCTGTGAAGAATGTCATTGGTATTTTGATAGGGATTGCATTGAATCTGTAGATTGCTTTGCATAGTATAGACATTTCAACAATATTGATTCTTCCAATCCATGAACATGGAATATCTTTTCATTTTTTTTGGTGTTACCTTCAATTTCTTTCACTATTGTTTTAAAATAGTTTTCATTATAGAGCGCTTTCACTTCTTTGGTTAAGATAATTCCTAGGTATTTAATTTTATTTGTAGCTGTTGTAAATGGGATTACTTTCTTGATTTCTTTTTCAGATTGTTCACCCTTGGCATATAGAAATACTGCTGATTTTCGTATGTTAATTTTGTATCATGCAACTTTACTGAATGTATCAGTTGTAATGGTTTTTTTGGTAGAGTAGGTTTTTCCAAATACAAGATTATATCATCTGCAAAAAAGAACAGTTTGACTTCTTCCTTTCCAATTTGGATGCCCTTTATTTCTCTCTTGTTTGATTGCTTTAGCTAAGACTTTCAGTATTATGTTGAATAATTGTGGTGTAAGTGGGCATACTTGTGGTGTTCCAGATATTAGAGGAAAGTCTTTTAGTTTTCCTCTATTCAGTACGATACTAGCTATGGATCTGTCATATATGGCTTTTATTATAGTGAGGTATGTTCTTTCTATCCTGTTTGTTTGTGTGTTTTTTCAGTTAGCACTAGCCATCTCATCCCCGGTTTTTTTTGACAGTTTTCATCATGAAGGGATGTTGAATTTTATCAAATGTCTTTTCACCATCAATTGAAATGATCGTATGGTTTTTATCTGTTGATGTGATGTTTCACATTGATTGATTTGTGTATTTTGAACCATCCTAGCATTCCTGGGATAAATCCTACTTGGTCATGATGAATGATCTTAACATATTATTGAATTCGGTTTACTGGTATTTTGTTGAGGATTTTTGCATTAATGTTCATCAGAGATATTGGCATGTAGGTTTCCTTTTTAAAAATTTTTAATGTATCTTTGGTTTTGGTGTCAGGGCAATACTGGCCTTGTAGAATAAATTTGGAAGTATTTTCACCTCCTCAATTTTTTGGAATAGTTTGAGTAGGATTGGTATTAATTCTTCTTTAAATGTTTGATAAAAGTCAGCAGCAAAGCCCTGAGGTCCTGGGCTCTTCTTTGATGGGAGACTTTTTATCATGGCATTTTTTTTTTTTTTTTTTGAGATGGAGTCTCCCTCTGTCGCCCAGGTTGGAGTGCAGTGGCGCAATCTTGGCTTACTGCAACCTCCGCATCCTGGGTTCAAGTGATTCTCCTGCCTCAGCCTCCTGAGTAGTTAGGACTACAGGCACGTGCCACCACGCCTGGCTAATTTTTTTGTATTATTAGTAGAGATGGGGTTTACCGTGTTAGCCAGGATGGTGTCAATCTCCTTGACCTCGTGATCCGACCGCCTCGGCCTCCCAAAGTGCTAGGATTACAAGCATGAGCCACTGCTCCCGGCCTATAATGGCTTTTAATGCATGTTCATCTTGTTACTTGTTATTGGTCTGTTCAGGTTTTGGATTTCTTCATTGTTCAATCTTGGTTGGTTGTATGTGTCTAGGAATTTATCCATTTCTTCTAGATTGTCCAGTTTGTTGGCATATAGTTGTTCATGGTAGCCTCTAATCCTTCAGTTTCTGCGGTATCAGTTGTAATGTTTTCTTTTTTTATCTCTAATTTTATTTATTTGAATCTTGTATTTTCTTAGTTTGGCTAAAGGCTTGTCAATTTTGTTTATCTTTTCAAAAAACCAACTGCATTTTGTTGATCTTTGGTATAGTTTTCTACATTTCAACTTCATTATTTTTGCTCTGATCTTTATTATTTCTTTGCTTCTACTGACTTTGGGTTTGGTTTGCTCTTGTTTTTCTAATTCTTTAAGATGCATCATTATGTTGTTTATTTGAAGTTTTTCCTCTTTTTGACATGGGGACTTATAGCTATAAACTTCTTCCTTAGTACTGCTTTCACTGTAGCCAGTAGGTTTTGGTTTGTTGTTGTTGCTGTTGTTTGAGACAGAGTCTCGCTCTGTCACCCAGGCTGGAGTACAGCGGCATGATCTCGGCTCAACTGCAACCTCTGCCTCCCAGGTTCAAGCGATTCTCCCACCTCAGCCTCCTGAGTGGCTGGGATTACAGGCGTGTGCCACCACACCCAGCTAATTTTTTGTGTTTTTAGTAGAGATGGGGTTTCTCAGTGTTGGCCAGGTTGGTCTCGAACTCCTGACCTCAGGTGATCCACCTGCCTTGGCATCCCAAAGTGTTGGGATTACAGGCATGAGCCACCGCGCTCAACCTGTTGTTTTTCCATTATTGTTTCAATAAATTTTTTAATTTCCTTCTTAATCTCTTTATTGACCATTCAGTAATGGTCATTACAGTACCGTATTGGTCATTCAGCAGCATATTGTTTAATTTCCATATGTTTGCATAGTTTCCAAAATTCTTCTTGTTGCCGATTTCTAGTTGTATTCCATTGTGTTTAAAGAAGATACTTAATATTATTTCAATTTTTTGAATATTTTTTAGACTTGGCTTGTAGCCTAACATATGATCTGTCCTGGAGACTGATTCATGTGCTAAGGAAAAGAGTATGTATTCTGTAGCCATTGGAGGAAATGTTCTGTAAAGTCTATTAGGTCCATTTGGTCTATAGTGCAGATGAAGTTAAATGTTTCTTTGTTGAATTTTGTCTAGATGATCTGTCTAATACTGAAAATGGGATGTTGAAGTCTCCAGCTATTATTGTATTGGGGTCTGTCTCTTTAGCTCTAATAATATTTGCTTTATATATCTGGGTGCTCTAGTGTCAGTGCATATATATTTAAAATTGTTTTATTGTTTTGCTGAATTGGCTCTTTTATCATATAATGACTTTTTTTTTTGGTCTCTTTTGTAGTTTTTATCTTGAAATCCATTTTATCTGATATAAGTATAGCTACTCCTGCTCCTTTTGGTTTCTATTTGCCTGGAATATCTTTTCCTATTCCTTTATTTTTAGTCTATGTGTGTCTTTTTTTTTTTTTTTTTAATTTTTTTTGAGACGGAGTCTCGCTCTGTCGCCCAGGCTGGAGTGCGGTGGCACGATCTCGGCTCACTGCAAGCTCCGCCTCCCAGGTTAATGCCATTCTCCTGCCTCAGCCTCCCGAGTAGCTGGGACTACAGGCGCCCACCACCACGCCTGGCTAATTTTTTGTATTTTTAGTAGAGACGGGGTTTCACCGTGTTAGCCAGGATGGTCTCGATCTCCTGACCTGGTGATCCGCCCGCCTTGGCCTCCCAAAGTGCTGGGATTACAGGCATGAGCCACCGCACCCGGCCCTATGTGTGTCTTTATAGGTGAAGTGTGTTTCTTTTAGGCTACAGATCATTGGATCTTGTTTTTTTATCCATTCAGCCACTCTGTGTCTTTTGATTGGAGAGTTTGGTTCATTTACATTCAATGTTATTATTGATAAGTAAGGACTTACTCCTGCCACTTTGTTATTTGTTTTCTGGTTGTTTTGTGGTCTTCTCTCCCTTCTTTTCTTCCTCCTTGTCTTCTTTTTAGTGCATGTGATTTTATTTGGTGGTATGTTTTAATATCTTTTTATTTTTTCTGTATCCTTTATATCACAGTTTTTAGATTTGAGGTTACCATGAGCTTGCAAATAATATATCCCATTATTTTAAACTGATGACAACTTAACATTGGTAGCATACATAAACAAACAAGCAAAAAGAAAACTAGTAAAAACTCTAACTTTGTCTCCCTGCTTTTTAACTGTTTTTTGTTTCTATTTTATATTTTATTGTACTATGTCTTGAAATGTCATTGTAGTTATTGTTTTTGATCAGTTCATCTTTTAGTCTTTCTACTCACAATATGAGTAGTTCACACACCCCAATACAGTATTAGAATATTCTGTGTTTTTTCATATATCTACTATTACCAGTGAATTTTTTACCTTCAGATGATTTCTTATTGCTCATTAACATCCTTTCCTCTCAGACTGAAGAATTCCCTTTAGCATTTCTTGTAGGACAGGTCTGGTGTTGATGAAATCCCACAGCTTTTGATTGGGAAAATCTATTTCCTCTTCATGTTTGATGGATATTTTCTCCAGATTACTATTCTGGTATAAAGTTTTTTTTTTTTTCCTTCAGCACTTTAAATATGTCATGCCAATCTCACCTGGCATGAGATTATAAGGGTTCCACTGAAAAGCCTGCTGCCAGATGAATTGGAGCTCCATTGCATGTTATTTGTTTCTTTTCTCTTGCTACTTTTAGGATCCTTTCTTTATTCTTGACTTTCAGGAGTGTAATTATTAAATGCCTTGAGACAGTCTTCTTTGCATTAAATCTGTTTGATGTTCTGTAACCTTCTTGTTCTTGAATAATGATGTCTTTCTCTAGGTTGGGGATGTTCTGTGCTGTTATCCCTTTGAATAAACTTTCTACACCTGTGTCTCTGTTTACCTTATCTTTAAGGCCAATAACTCTTAGAGAAGCCCTTTTGAGGCTGTTTTCTAAATAATCTCGTAGGCATCATTCTTTTTTTTTTTTTTTTTTTTTGGAGTCAGAGTCTTGCTCTGCTGCCCAGGCTGGAGTGCAGTGGCATGATCTCAGCTTGCTGCAACCTCTGCCTCCTGGGTTCAAGGAATTCTCATGCTTCAGCCTCCCAAATAGCTGGGACTGCAGGCAAGCGCCACCATGCCTGGCTAATTTTTGTATTTTTATTAGAGACCAGGTTTTGCCATGTTGCCCAGGCTGGTCTTGAACTCCAGAGCTCAGGCAATCTGCCTGCCTTGGCCTCCCAAAGTGCTAGGATTACAGGTATGAGCCCCTGTGCCCAGCCTCTTTTTCTTTTTTGTTTCCTTTGACTGTGTGTTTTCAAATAGCCTGTCTTCAAGCTCACTAATTCTTTCTTTTGCTTGATCAAGTCTGCTTTTAAGATACTCTGATCCATTCTTCATTATGTCAATTGCATTTTTCAGCTCCAGAATTTCCTTTTGCTTCTTCTTAATTATTTCCATTTTGTTGTTAAATTCATCTGAAAGATTCTGAATTCCTTCTCTATGTTCTCTTGAATTTCTTCAAGTTTTCCCAAAACAGCTATTTTGAATTTTCTGTCTGAAGGATCACATATCTCTGCCTTTCTTTGATTGTTCCCCGGAGCTTTATTTAGTTCATTTTGGGAGCTCACGTTTTCCTGGATGGTCTCGATGCTTGTGGATTCTCGTTAGTGTCTAGGCATTAAAGAATTAGATGCTTATTATAGTCTTCACCATCTAGTACATCTTGTTTTTACTCATCCTCTTTGGGAAGGCTTTCCAGGTATTTGAAAGGATGGGGGTGTTGTGATCTAAGTTGTATCTGCATTAAAGGGCACCCCAAGTCCAACATCATTGAAGTTCTTGCAGACTTGTAGAGGTACCACCTTGGTGGTCTTGGATAAGATCTGGAAGAATTCTTTCTATTGCCAGGCAGAGACTCTTGTTCTCTTCCCTTTTTCCCAAATAAACAGAGTCACTTTCTCTGTGCTGGACTACCTGGAGCTGAGGGACGGGTGACACAAGGACCCCTGTGGCCACTACCACTGGCACTGTGCTGGATCAGACCTGAAGTCAGCATGGTACTGGGTCTTGCCCAAGGCCCACTGTAACCACTACCTGGCTACCGCTCAAGGCCTAGGACTCTACAATCAGCAGATGGTGAAGCCAGTCAGGCTTGTGACCTTCCATTCAGGGGATTGAGTTCTCCTGAGCCCTAGTAGTTTTAGAGATGCTGTCTGGGAGCCAGGGCCTGGTTTGTAAACCTTAGGAATCTACCTGGTCCTCTGTTCTGCTGTAGCTAAGCTGGCACCGAAACCACAAGACAAAGTCTTTCCCACTCTTTCCTCCCCTTCTCCCAGGCAGGAGAGCCTCTGCCTGTATCTGCCACCATCAAAGGCCCATAGGAAGTATTGCCAATGTTCACTTAAGTCCTAAGGGCTTTTCAGTCAGCTTGTGGTGAATGCTTCCAAATCTGCAACTCACCCTTCCTGGCATTGGGCTCCTTTCTGGGCCAGGATAGGTCCAAAAATGTCATCTAAGAGCCAAGGCCTGAAATTGAGGCTCCAGAGTCTGTTTGGTGCTCTTCCCCACTGTGGTAGAGCTGGTACCTAAGCTGGAAGATAAAGTCCCCTTTATTTTTCCTTCTACTTTTTTCAAGCAGGAGTCTCTCCCCATAACCACATAGGTAGGAATGTGGTAGGTCACACCTGAAGCCAGCATGTTTCATAGTCTCACTCAAGGCCCACAGCATGTTCTACCTGGTTACCACTGCTGATTATTCAGGGCTGAAAGGCCCTTTAGTCAGGAGGTGATGAATCCCGCCAGCAGTGGATCCTTCCCTTCATAGCAACTGGTTCCCATCTGGCCCAGGGTTTGTCTAGAAATGTTGTCCAGGAGCTAGGGCCTGGAATGGGGGCCTCATGACTCTCCTTGGTGCACTGTCTTACTTTGGCTGAGCTGGTGTCCAAGTTGCATAACAAAGTCTTCTCTACTGTTTTCTCTCCTCTCAAGTTGAAGGAAGGAGTCTCTTTTGGAGCTGTGAGCTGTGCTGCCTGGGGTTGGTGGAGGGGTGATGCAGGCACTCCCTTAGCTACCCCAGCTGGTGACTCACTATGTCATGTGTCCCCTGAGTCCGCTGGCTCTGATCCTAGCACAGCTTTTAGACTTTCCTGTAAGTTTCAGTCCTTGTGGCCTAGAGTGCCTTTTGTTTATTGAGGACCCCACAGCTCTTTAGCTTTCTGTGGTGAGGCTTGCCGAACTCAAGTTCTGGCTTCTGAGATGAGCAATCCCACTTTGGCTAGAGCTGATCTAAATGTTCCCTCTGTGGACATTGGCTGAGTTCTGCCTGGTGTTGGCAGCACCAAGTTCCAATGTAAAGTCCCACAATTGCTGCACTCTCCCTCTCCCAAACACACAGATTCTCTCTACTTGGCTGCTGCTAGCGGATGGGGGAAGGGTGGTGTCGGAAATTAAAGGGCCTTTCCTACCCACTTCAGTTTGTTTTTCTGCAGTATGAAGTTAAAACCAGGTATTGTGATCACTCACCTGATTTTTGGTTCTTGTGAAAGTGCTTTTTTATGTAGGTGTCATATTTGGTGTTCTGACAGGGAGGAAGATTGGTAGAGGCTTCTGTTTGGCCATCTTGCTCTGCCTCCCAGGGCCTAGATGGTAATTTGTTAAACAATGGATGAACCAAAATTGGCACATGATTACTATCCAAAGTCTGTAATTTATCTTAGGGTTCACGCTTGATATTGTAACTTCTATGGGTTTTGACGTGTATAATGACATGCATCTGGCATATAGTATCATGCAGATTGGTTTCAATGTCCAAAAATCTCTGGGATCCACCTATTAATCCCTCCATTCCCTCGCCCCCAAACCCTGGCAAATATTGATTTTTTTTTTTTTTTTTGAGACAGAGTTTCACTCGGTCGCCCAGGCTGGAGTGCAGTTGCACAATCTGGGCTCACTGCAACCTCCACCTCCTGGGTTCAAGCAATTCTGCCTCAGCCTCCCAAGTAGCTGGGATTACAGGCATGTGCCACCATGCCTGGCTAATTTTTTGTGTGTTTTTTTAATAGAGTTGGGTTTCACCATGTTGGCCAGCAGGTCTCGAAACTCCCAACCTCAAGTGATCCGCCCACGTCGGCCTCCCAAAGTGCTGGGATTACAGGAGTGAGCCACCACACCCAGGCAACTATTGATCTTTTCACTGTATTCCATAGTTTTGCTTTCCCTTCAACATGTGTTTGTAGAGCGCCTACTGTGTTCCAGTTTTGCAGACCTTGGGGATTAAATATTAAGTAAGAAGCAGTGGCCTTTGGAGCAAGATATAGGCCTGGCAGTTACCCTGCATTTTAATAAATACCACTAGTTTACTAGGCAGTCTAGAAAGACCCCCGTCCCAGATTTGGGAGTTAAGGAAAGACTTCATGGAAAAAGTTAGATCTACATCGAAGCCTGAAGAAAGAGGTGGTATCAACAAGGTAAGGCGATAAAGGAATAGCAACTAAGATTTTCTAGGCAGAGAGAATAGCCTAGGCAAAAGCCAAGAGGATAGAGATAGAATATACACTTAAGAGCTAAAAGGAGCTCAAAAGCAATGGTAGGAAGAACAAATGATTGGAAGATTGTAAGAGGTAGGGGGATATGAAGAGAAATGAAGCTAGAGAAGGGGAGAAGTTTCCTGACTGTGATTTGCCTTGTAAGCCATATTGAAGACTTAGAATTTAAATCTAGAGGTCAGAGAAGTTCTTATAGATTTTTTTCTTTAATTAAGCTTTGTATTTAGAGATAATTATAGTTTGACATAGAGTTGCAAGAAATAATTCAGAGAGACTGGGCACACTGCCTGACACCTGTAATCCCAGCATTTTGGGAGGCTGAGGCGGAAGGACTGCTTTGAGTCCAGGAGTTCAAGACCAGCCTGGGCAACATAGTGAGCCCCTATGGATTAGTCAATTTTCATGCTGCTGATAAAGACATAGCCGAGACTGGGCAATTTACAAAAGAAAGAGGTTTATTTGACTTACAGTTCCATGTGGCCGGAGAGGCCTCACAATCATGGTGGAAGGTGAAAGTCATGTCTCACATGGTGGCAGACAAGAGAAGAGTTTGTGCAGGGAAACTCCCATTTTTAAAACCATCAAATCTTGTGAGACTTATTCACTATCGTGGCATGGGAAAGACCCGCCCCCATGAATCAGTTATCTCCTGGTGGGTCCCTCTCACAACATATGGGAATTATGGGAGCTACAAGATGAGATTTAGGTGGGGACACAAAGCCAAACCATATCACTCTGTCTTTACAAAAAAAAAAAAAAATATATATATATACACACACACACACACACACACACACACACACACACATAATGCCAGGCATGGTGGTGCATGCTTGTAGTCCCAGCTACTCAGAAGACTGAGGTGGAAGGATTGCTTGAGCCCAGGAGGACAAGGCTGTAGTGAGCCGTGATTGTGCCACTGCACTCCAGCTGGGTGAGAGAGGAAGATCCTGTCTCAAAAGAAAAAAAAAAGTGATGAATTACATTTTCATTTTTCATTCAAATTCTTTTTTTTCTTTAGTATCGTAGCCTAATTTTTAAATTTGTTTTGGCTCTGAGCCCCTTGCTAATTTGCTAGGCTAGATTAGGCAAACAGAAATCAGCACCCTGAATTATTTTCTACTCTTATCTTAAAGAAGTTTATGGTTTGTGAATGTGTGTGAGAGAATTTTATAAAGCAAGAAGTTGGTAGCTTTAAAGAATTCTGGACTTAATGTTGATCTGCAACATTTAGAATTTTTTATTTGAAATGTTATTGATACAGTATGAATGCTTGTTGGAATATGAATTCTACTTCAAGGTGTTAGATGATGTATTTGCAGAGATACATAGACCCTGCTCTCAAAGTTTAGACTCTGTTGGGTCAAATAGACTTTTTGACATAATTTCATTTCATTGAGGTAAGTGCAGGGATAGAGATATTAGGGCATTTTTGGAAGAGAAAGGGGCACTTACCTTACTAGGAGAGGAGGAGTATTGGGGAAGCCATACTTGAACTGAGTCTTGAATGGTGAATAGAAATTAATCTGTTGAAGGTGATGATAAGACATTTCAGAACATTTAGAATAGCACGAACAGAGACACATAGAAGAAGCATCATATTGGGATTGCTAGTTGGGGAATTACAAACAGGTTAGTGCTGTTTGAGTGTCAAGTGCGGGAGGCAGGAAGTTGTAAGACACTAAAAGATAAGCAGGGCCTGTTGTGTTGAGTTTGAACTTCATGCTCAGTGATTCTCAAACATATCCAGCCCAGTGTTTCTTTTTTTGTAGTAAATATTTTCTAATGCTCCTTTATGATCCTTAAAAGGAATTCTTATAATTCACATATAATAAAATTAAAACATAATTTCTAATATGATGTCATAAATGTAGTACAAAGGAAAAGTATAAGAAATCTAAACATGATTTGAAATATATATTTTAAAATATAAATGCTTAAGCATTATATCATTAGAACACATAATGAATTAATCAGATGCTTGTACCTATACATGGTATTACTGTGAATGCACAGCAACAAATGCAGGTATATAAAATGTGTTGTATTGGTAGGTAAGATATTTTAAATGGTATTGTCACTGGTAATGAGATTTTTCAAAATACTTAACATCCTATTTGTAAAGTTCTGACCAAGTCAAAGTACAAGTTGTATTAATTGCATTCCTGGAAAACTTGGTGTTTATTAAAACCGTGAAAAAATACTTTTTTATGTAAAACAAAATACTTAATTTTTAGGCTGAAGTAATTATAAACAGGTTTTTCCACACAATGTCAGATGGGACATTGCAAAGTCATGTGAGACACAGGTCTTTTTGTCCTGTGGGATGTTCTTGGTCAGGGGTCTGCAAACATCAGCCCACAGGTGGTCACACTGCCTGTATTTATATAGCCCATGAGCTAAAAATGGTTTTTACATTTTTAAAGAGTTGTACGAAAAAGGGAAGAATATGCAGCAGAGGGTTACAACTTTTACAGAAAACTTGCCAACTCCCGTTTCTTGGGTATTGAAGGATGCCGAACATCCCTAGCTCATGCTCACTTAATGCGAACAGCACTCCCTCCAATCACTGTGAAACCAAATGTAGCCTCCACCATTTCTCAGGTGCCTTTGGGAGGGCAATACTACCTGGTTGAGAACCACTGTTTTGGTTTATCAGTTTTCAAATTTTTATTCCTCTGCGACACATTTAACAGATAGTAATACATGCATAATATAGTTCTATGCAGAGTTCCTGTGTTTTTAATTTTCTTTTTTTCTTCCATTCAAGTAAACAATTAAAATGAGGGAGGTAATTGTTTAATATAAGGATACTTTGAAAACCCTCTGATTTATACTTATAAAAATCTTTACAAACATTAATACTTGTACTACTACTACTGCTAACTATATTATGTACAACTTACCTTATACCTCATAGGAGAGTGCTTCACACCATCCTGCCTGACCACCACTGAAGCAAGTAATAGTCAGCCATGGGATAACTTTAAACAAGCAAGTGCCAGCATCCTATATTTATATTATAGATAGATCACTTTGATAGTGGTATAGAAGATAGACTTGAGGGAGTCCACACTTAGTTTAGGTTCAAGATAGTGAGGGCTTCTACCAGCTAGTAGGGACAGATCAGAGGGGACATATTATTAGAGAATTATTTCAGATGTAACAATCAGTAGAACTTGACAACTGAAAGTTACAGGCATTTGTTTTTCTTTTTCTTTTCGAACTCATTTTACTGCCAGAGGCATTTGTTTTTAACACTTTGTTGCCTGCCAGAATCACTTTGGAAGCTTTTTAACAATACCAGTGCCTAGGCTTTACTCCATAATTCCTGGAAATCAGAATTTCTGGGATAATAGCTGGGCGCTGATATTTTAAAATTGTACTTCAGGATTCTAATGTGCAGCCAGTGTTGAAAACCACTGATTCAAGATGTGGAAGAGAGAGAAGAATAAAGGATGAGTACCAGGCTGTCAGCCTAGGCTGCCAGTAGATGGAAGTAGTGTGCTGTGAACAGTATCTGTTTTATGGTAGCTATTCAAATATTTCTTAAGTGAAAATTGATGACTTTGAACCTAAACCAAAATCAATTTCTCATTTAATTTTTGATTGTTCTAAATTTGGATGAATTGACCCTAGTTCAAGATATTATTGACTGGAACCCAACCAAAATAACTTTTGTCACAGATGAAATTATATCAGAATGGATATCTCTTGATATTATTTGAGAAGAAGAATGATACAAATTACCTGAGTTGTGACATAATATTGTGAAGCAAGGTGTCAGTGGAAATAATTTGACTTAATTATAGTATATTATACAAAATAATTCCTTCCTTCCTTCCTTCCTTCTTTCCTTCTTTCTTTCTTTCTTGGCGGAGTCTCGCTCTGTCACCCAGGCTGAAGTGCAGTGGCGCAATCTTGGCTCACTGCAACCTTCGCCTCCCGGGTTCAAGCGATTCTCCTGCATCGGCCTCTCGAGTAGGTGGGATTACAGGCACCTGCCACCACCCCCGGCTAATTTTTGTATTGTTAGTGGAGATGGGATTTCTCCATGTTGGTCAGTCTGGTCATGAACTCCTGACCTCAGATGACCTGCCCACCTCAGCCTCCCAAAGTGCTGGATTACAGGTGTGAGCCACCACGCCCAGCCTGTATTTGTATTGATTGGCATAGCCAGAGGTTTGGGGTCCTGCTATCTGGTAAATAGGCAGATATTCAGTAAATGTTTATTGAATTGTAATGTGAAATATCTTTAATGTACCAGAAAGTTGTAATATTTACCATATAATTTTTTATATTAATGAAGAAATGAAAGACAGCTTGTTTTTCTTTCAGCTCCAGTCTCACTTGCTCTGCCTGTGTTCTACTTGGTGTTGTTACCTTTACATTCTTCTGTTCCCACTGCCACCACCCTCTTTTAGTCAAGACTCTTGGTTCCAAATGATAGGAATACAGCTTAAATTGAATAGTTGATGGAATTTTGGGTTGTCTGTAGGAAGGATGCTGAGATAGCATTATAGAATTGCAGGAAGGCCTGCAGGAACTAGGGTCTTGGGAACTATAAAACAGGGATATCACCCCATTAAAATCCACTCTCACTTCATTCTATTTTCTTGCAGACATGCTTTTGCCAAAAGGTCCAAGAAAATGCTGTCTGTAACTCCAGCCTCATGTCCTTCTTATACTATGACCCAAAAAGACAAGATCATTTCTCCTGCCCTAAATTGGGACCAGTCAGTGCGCCCAGAGAAAGGAGGATATTGTGATCTGTCTGGTTTGGAGCTTATGCCAGTCCCCATGGCCACTAGCAGATAGGGGCATAGCAAAGAAGAGGCAAGGGGAGGCTTACCCTGGGGACTAAGTTATTAACTGCTGCTGTCCTCTCCTAGGCTCCATTGCCCTAGCCCTCTGAAAATTTTTCACTTCAGTCCAACTACTTACTGTTATCAGATTCAGCTTAAAATTTTTTTTTCATTAAAAACATTTTTAAAAGAGAGACAGGGTTTTGCTGTGTTTTCCAGGCTGGTCATTGTCAACCTCCAGGGCTTGAACAATACTCCTGCCTCAGCCTCTGGAGTAGCTGGGACTGCAGGCGTGTGACACCACACTGGCCAGATTCAGCGTTCTAAACCACACGTTGCATCATGATTTCCCAGTTACCTAGCCTTTAGTGGCCCCTCATTACGTATATATAACAATGTCTAAACTTGATGTACTTTAATCTGGCTCCAGACTGCCTTCTCAATCTTATCTCTCAGTTTTTCTATTCACTGTTAAACTGAGCTAGTTGGCCTTCTAAGTTCTGAGAACACTTACATATTCCTCACTCAGTCATCTAAACTTTAAGTAAAAAATTTGTGGTAATACTCTTCAAATCATTGTTTGATGTCTCAGGATCTCTGAAGGCCAGCAACTGAAGCATTGTAGCTACTCATTAGGGACTGGCATCTCTGTATCATTGTTGACAGAATGTACCAGTTTACATTTTTTTCAGTGGTAGTGATACCGAGTCTACTTCTCTGTGTAGTCACTTGTGACAGCTAATCAGAGGGAAACCTGGCTTAACTGTTGAGGCTTTGGCCCTGCACTTATCTCATGGTGCTTTCAGAAAAATCAGTTGACTGCTTGAAGCTTCAGTTTCCTTTTCTGTAAGTTGAGAGTGAAGAGCACTATAATACTATCATCTACCTCATTGCCTTTGAAAATTGATTATGAGGGTCAAGTGCAGTAATACAGACATACCTCGGAAATACCTTGGGTTTGGTTCCAGGTGGCCACAATAAAGTGAATAATGCAATTAAGCGAGTCACATGAATTTTTTTGTTTCCTAGTGCATTAAAGTTGTGTTTATACTATACCATACCATATCATACTACACTATATTAAGTGTGTAAGAACACTGTGTCTTTAAAAGCAGTATACATACTTTAATTAAGGGATACTTTATTACTATTCAAGAGGCTGAAGTCAGAGGATTACTTGAGCCCAGGAGTTTGAGGCTGCAGTGAGCTATGGTTGTGCTCCTGCACTCCAGCCTGAGTAACAGAGACCCCATCTCCCAAAAAAAACCTAAAAACTTTATTGCTAAAAAATGCTAATGATTACCTGAGCCTTCATCTAGTCATATTCTTTTTGCTGGTGGAGGGTCTTGCCTTGATGTCTTGTTTTTGTTTTCTAAATGTGTGTGTGTGTGTGTGTGTGTGTGTGTGTGTGTGTGTGTGTCAGAAGTGGGATTTGAATTGCCTTGATGTCAGTGGCTGCTTACTGATCAGAGTGGTGATTGCTGAAAGTTGGGGTGGCTGTGGCAATTTCTTAAATAACACAACAATGAGATTGTTGCATCCGTGGACTCTCCCTTTCATGAAAGATTTCTCTGTAGCATGTGATGCTGTTTGATAGCATTTTACCCACAGTAGAACCTCTTTCCAAATTGGAGTCAGTTCTCTCCAACCCTGCTGCTGCTTTATCAACTAAGTTTCTGTAATGTTCTAAGTCCTTTGTTGTCACTTCAACAATGTTCACAACATCTTTACTAGGACTAGATACCAAGAAACCACTTTGTTTACTCCTCCATAAGGAGTAACTTCTTATCCATTCAAGTTTGATCATAAGATTGCAGCAATTCAATCACATCTTCAGATTTCACTTCTAATTCTTGTTCTCTTGCTGTTTTCACCACATATGCAGTTACTTCCTCCACTGAAATCTTGGACTCCTCGAAGTCATCCATGAGGGATGGAATCAACTTCTTCCAAACTCCCTTTAATGTGGATATTTTGACATTCTTCTATGAATCGTGAATGTTCTTAATGGCACTTAGAATGGTGAATCCTTTCCTGAAGGTTTTCAGTTTATTCTGCCTGGATCCATTAGAGTAATCACTGTCTATGGCAGCTATAGCCTTACAAAATGTATTTCTTTCTTTTTTTTTTTTTTTCTTTTTAGACAGGGTCTTGCTGTGTCACCCAGGCAGGAGTGCAATGGTGCCATCTTGGCTTATGCAGCCTTGACCCCCTGTGTTCACAGTGATCCTCCCACCTCAGCCTTCTAAGTAGCTGGGACCACAGATGCGTACTACCCCGCTTGGCTAGTTTTTTTGTATTTTTTGTAAAAACGTGGTCTTGCCATGTTGCCCAGAATGGTCTTGAACTCCCAGGCTCAAGCAATCTGCCCACCTCGGCCTCCCAAGTGCTGAGATTATAGGCTTGAGCCACTATGCCTGGTCACAAAATGTATTTCTTAAAAAAAAAAAAGACTTTACGGTCAAAATTACTTCTTGATCCGTGGTCTGCAGAATGAATGCTGTGTTAGCAGTCATGAAAATAACATCTCCTTGTACGTCTCCATCAGAGCTCTTGAGTGACTACGTGCATTGTTAGTGAGTAGTAATATTCTGAAAGGAATCTTTTTTCTGAGCAGTAGTTTTACGTAAAATATTAAGCGCACTGTGAATATTTTAAATTCAGCTGAGTATTTTAAATTCAGCAGGCCATGCTGTAAACAGATATGCTGTTTAGGCTTTGTTGTTCCATTTATAGAGCACGGGCAGAGTAGATTTAACATCATTCTTAAGGGCCCTAGAGTTTTCTGAATGGTAAATGAGCATTGGCTTCAACTTCAAGTCACCAGCTGCGTTAGCCCCTAACAAGAGAGTCAGCCTGTCCTTTGAAGCTAGGCATTGACTTCTCTCTAGCTGTGAAAGTCCTATTTTATGAGAACTCACAAACAAAAAATAAAGTCCTAGATGGTATCTTTTTCCGATATATGGCTATTTCATCTATATTGAAAACCTTTTGTTTAGTGTAACCACGTTCATCAAATAGCTAGATTTTCTGGATAACTTGCTGCAGCTCATACGTCAGCACTTGCTGCTTCATCTTGTGCTTTTGTGTTAATGGAGACAACTTCTTTCTTTAAACCTCATGAACCAACCTTGCTTCAAACTTTTCTTCTGTAAACTTTCTCACCTCTCTCAACCTACATATAATTAAAGAAAGTTAGGGCCTTGCCCTCGATTAGGTTTTGGCTTATGGGAATGTGGTGGCTGGTTTGATCTTTTGTCCAGACCACCAAAACCTTCTCCATATCAGCAATAAGGCTGTTGTGCTTTCTTTTTTTTTTTTTTTTTTTTGTTTGAGAGAGAGTCTCACTCTGTCCTCCAGGCTGAGGCTGGAAGTGCAGTCGTACTATCTTGGCTCACTGCAACCTCTGCCTCCTGGATTCATGCATTTCTCCTGCCTCAGCCTCCTGAGTAGTTGGGATTACAGGCGTGCGCCACTACGCCCAGCTAATTTTTGTATTTTTAGTAGAGACAGGGTTTCACCATGTTGTCCAGGCTGGTCTCGAACTCCGGACCTCAAGTGATCTGCCCAATTCGGCCTCCCAAAGTGCTGGGATTACAGGCGTGAACCACTGCGCCCGGCTGTGTTTTGCTTTCTTGTCATTTGTGTGTGCACTGGAGTAGCACTTTTAATTTCTTTGAAGAACTTCTCCTTGGCGTTCACAACTTGGCTAGCTGTCTGGCACAGGAGGCCTAGCTTTCAGCCTATCTTGGCTTCCTCTCTAAGCTTAAACATTTCTAGCTTTTGATTTAAAATCAGATATGTGTGACTTTTTCACTTGAATACTTAGAGGCCATCGTAGGGTTATTAGTTGGCCTAATTTCAATATTGTGTGTCTCAGGTCATAGGGAGGCCTGCAGAGAGGGAAAGAGAAGGAATGGCCAGTGGTTGGAGCAGTCAGAACACAAGACATTTATCAATTAGTTAGTTTATCTGTCTTCTATGGGCATGTTTCATGGCGCCCTGAAAGAATTCCACTAGTAACATTGAAGATCTCTGATCACAGATCACCATAACAGATATAAATAATAGTGAAAAAGTTTGAAATATGAGAATTTTCAAAATGTGACACAGAGACACAAGGTGAGCATATGCTATTTGAAAAATGGCACCAATAGACTTGCTTAATATAGGGTTGCCACAGACCTTCAATTTGTAAAAAATGCAGTATCTGTGAATTATAATAAAGTGAAGTGCAATAAAGTGATGCACAATAAAATGAAGTATGCCTGTAGATGTGAAAATGCTATGGTATGCTAAAGATTACTGTGCAAATTTAAGGCATGTTACTATGCTTGAGCTTATATTTAGTTACTGTGTCTTCTTGGATGCTGGAATAGAGAACCCAGATTCAATGGCAATTAACTTTTGAAAATTTATGGGAAAGTATAAAGTAGTATATAATTTCACAGTAGTATTATTGTGAATGAGCTGTTTGGCTGAAGATGGGCTTCAAAGCTAAGATAAATACATTCACTTAACAATAATTTACTTAGTGCATCACATGGATAAGGCATTATACAGTTGAAGTATATCAAACCAAGCCTGGCTATAAGGCATTGTGAAATTATGTAAGATTTTATCAAACAACCAATTAATTTTATTCTTTTGTTTTATTGTTATTATTATTATTTTAGAGACAGGGTCTTGCTGTGTTGCCCAGGCTGGACTCGAACTCCTGGGCTCCAGCTGTCCTCCTGCCTCAGCTTCCCAAGTAGCTGGGACTACAGGCACACACCACCACACCTGGCTTGTTTTATTACTTCAAAAAAAATTTCATTTTATCTCCCCGCCATAGAACTGGATATTTAAAAATTATATTCTAGTTATTGATACCGAATTGAGTGACATGGAATTTTTAACAGTAGCTTTTCTGATATTTGATGTTTCCAAAGGGAGTATTTTTGTTATAAAGAGCTTATTCTCATTACTGTCTGCCCCCTCCCCCACCCACTTTTTTTTTTTTGAGTGCAGTCTTGCTCTGTCGCTCAGGCTGGAGTATAGTGGTGTGATCTGAGCTACTGCTACCTCTGCCTCCCGGGTTCAAGCGATTCTCCTGCCTCAGCCTCCCGAGTAGCTGGGACTACAGGTGTGCGCAACTACACCCGGCCAATTTTGTATTTTTAGTGGAAAAACAGGGTTTCACCATTTTGGCCAGGTTGGTCTCAAATTTCTGACCTCAAGCAATCTGCCCACCTCAGCTTTGCAAAGTGCTGGGATTACAGGTGTGAGCCACTGTACCTGGCCTCTTTACTGTCCCTTGATGACCTTTTATTAAAATTTATTTCAGTGAATTTTTTTTTTTTTTTTTTTTGAGACAGGGTCTCTCTCTGTCACCCAGGCTGGAGTGCAGTGGCGCAATTTTGGCTCACTGCAGTCCCTGCCTCCCGGTTGAAGCGATTCTTGTGTCTCAGCCTCCTGAGTAGCTGAGATTACTGAGATTGCTGTTATTGCATATATACCACGCACAACCATGCCTGGCTAATTTTTGTAGTTTTAGTAGAGACAGGGTTTCACCATGTTGGCCAGTTTGGTCTCTAACTCCTAACCTCAAGTGATCTCACCTCTGCCTCCCAAAGTGCTGAGATTACAGGTGTGAGCCATTGTGTCTGGGCTATTTCAGTGATTTAAGAGTCACTCAAAATATAATCTGTAGTTAAGAAGCTATCTTTTTCTAATTACCTATTTAATTCAAATTTTTTGCTTTTTCTGTCATCTTTATAGTCTATTGCGTCTGCAGACATGGATTTCAACCAGCTGGAGGCATTCTTGACTGCTCAAACCAAAAAGCAAGGTGGGATCACATCTGACCAAGCTGCTGTCATTTCCAAATTCTGGAAGAGCCACAAGACAAAAATCCGTGAGAGCCTCATGAACCAGAGCCGCTGGAATAGCGGGCTTCGGGGCCTGAGCTGGAGAGTTGATGGCAAGTCTCAGTCAAGGCACTCAGCTCAAATACACACACCTGTTGCCATTATAGAGCTGGAATTAGGCAAATATGGACAGGTGAGTTAAACTTAAGTCAATTTTCCTTTGTAAACTGTATTTTTCACTACATGTTAGCTTGTCTATTCAGCTTGATTTTATGCAATAACAGCAACAGGAAAAGACACTGTTTCCTAGAATCCTTTTTCAGAGGTAGAATCATCTGAAAATTTGGATACTCTCACTTGTGGACAGAGTCTGGAAACTAGCCTCAGGGTCCTGGCAGCTGTCTCAGAAGAACAGAATGGGCCAATAATGTGATTGCTCAGAAGCTGACCACTACTGCATTTGGTTAGATCTCAAAATCCTTGGCATTTGTTCAGAATTTCCAAGGCAATGATAGAGATAATAAATAAAGACCAAGAATTTGGATTAAACAACACAATCTCATCCAGTCATCTTTAATAATCAGTCAGGTATAGGAGGCAGTGTATCTTAATTTACATTAATACATTGTTCGTAAAGACCCCTAAATGTGCTATCTCTGTCCTTGAGGTCACAAATAATTCTCAGTTTAATCTTATGTACAGTGCTTCTTTTCCCAACAGTTACAGCAGTCATTATAGCAGATAATTTTAATGTCTATATGGTTTTTCTTGAAGTCATTCACTTTGTGTTCCAGATGACTGCCAGCTCAGACTTTTAATGATCTGGCTTATGTCTTTGGGGAAAAAAAAAGAAACTGGTAATTAGGAAGAGAAAACCCAGGTCAATGAATTAGCTAATCACATTTATTTTCAGATAAATAATCAAATAAGTGCTTCTATTATATCCTACAATAGAAATTTATTTCTTACTTGATGAGCTGTCAGATTTTCTTACATATTTTCTTTTATAGTTTCTTTAGATTTTTCAGTGTTTGCAGTTCTGTACTGACTTTAATTTTAATTTAAAAGATAATTCAGGGCCTGGCACAGTGGCTCATGCCTGTAATCCCAGTTTATGCCTGTAACCCCAGCACTTTGGGAGGCTGAGGTGGGCGGATCACCTGAGGTCAGGAGTTCGAGGCCAACCTGACCAACAGAGACCAGAAACCCCGCCTCTGCTAAAAATACAAAATTAGCTGGGCATGGTGGCACATGCCTGTAATCCTAGCTACTTGGGAGGCTGAGGCACGAGAATCGCTTGAACCTGGGAGGTGGAGGTTGCAGTGAGCCGAGATCATGCCATTGCACTCCAGCCTGGGCAATAAGAGCGAAACTCTGTCTCAAGAAAAAAATTTTTTTTAAATAATAAAAGATAATTCAGCCTGAGCACAGTGGCTCACACCTGTAATCCCAACACTTTGGGAGGCCAGGGTGGGTGGATCACCTGAGGTCAGGACTTTGAGACCAGCCTGGCCAACATGGTGAAACCTTGTCTCTACTAAAAACACAAAAATTAGTCAGGCATGGTGGCAGGCGCCTATAATCCCAGCTACTTGGGAGGCTGAGGCAGGAGAATCGCTTGAATCCGGGAGGTGGAGGTTGCAGTGAGCCGAGATTGAGCCACTGCACTCCAGCCTGGGTGACAAGAGCGAGATTCCACCAGAAAAAAAAAAAAAAAAAAAAAAAAAAAAAAAAAGATAATTCATTAAAAATTTTTGGCCAGGCGCAGTGGCTCATCTCTGTAATCCCAGCACTTTGGAAGGCCAAGGCAGGTGGATCACTTGAGGTCAGGAGTTCAAGACCAACCTGGCCAACATGGTAAAGCCCCATCTCTTCTACTAAAAATACAAAAACAAAACAAAACAACAACAACAACAAATTGCCGGGCATGGTGGCGGGCACCTGTAATCCCAGTTACTCAGGAGGCTGAGGCAGGAGAATTGCTTCATCCTGGGAGGTGGAGGTTGCAGTGAGCAGGGATCACATCACTGTACTCCAGGCTGGGTGGGAGACCCTGTTGCAAAAAAAAAATTTAAATATGGAATACCTTTTATTCAGTTATTATAAAGTAGTGCTACTTGTACTTGTTGACTAGTTTGTCTGATCCTAAAGTCAGTTCTCTTGCTGGGCACAGTGGCTCACGCCTGTAATCCCAGCACTTTGGGAGGCTGAGGCAGGTGTATCATCTGAGGTCAGGAGATCAAGACCAGCCTGGCCAACATGGGGAAACCCCATCTCTACTAAAAATACAAAAATTAGCTGGGCATGGTGGCAGGCACCTGTAATCCTAGCTACTTGGGAGGCTGAGGCAGGAGAATCACTTGAACCTGGGAGGCAGAGGTTGCTGTCAGCCGAGATGGTGCCACTGCACTCCAGTCTGGGCAACAGTGAGGCGCTGTCTCAAAAAAAAAAAACAAAACAAAACAAAACAGGCCGGGTGTGGTGGCTCATGCCTGTAATCTCAACACTTTGGGAGGCCAAGGCAGGTGGATCACGAGATCAGGAGATCGAGACCATCCTGGCTAACACAGTGAAACCCGTCTCTACTAAAAACACAAAAAAATTAGCCGGGCGTGGTGGCGGGCGCCTGTAATCCCAGCTACTGGGGAGTCTGAGGCAGGAGAATGGTGTGAACCCAGGAGGTGGAGCTTGCAGTGAGCCGAGATTGTGCCACCGCACTCCAGCCTGGGCGACAGAGTGAGACTCCGTCTCAAAAAAAAAAAACAAAAAAAACTTGTCTGTTCTCTTAACCATTACGTTATGTGACAGATATTTTTACACACACACACACACACACACACACACACACACACCCAACAGATTAGAAAAGTTTAATAAGTACACTTGGATATCTAAGTTTTACCAGCTATTTATATCGGCTATTTAGTTTTCATCCTGCCAGCAGTGCTTATTTCATTTTGTCTATATTTAACATTTGGTCAGGAATATGAAAACATAATCTGTTTTAAGACTCCTAGAAAGCTATGATATTATTTCGTTAATACTATCATAGGTTTCTAGGTTACAGGTTGCTCGCTTCTGTAATCTCAGTACTTTGGGAAGCTGAGGCAGGCAGATCACTTGAGGTCAGGAGTTTGAGACCAGCCTGGCCAACATGGTGAAACCCTGTCTCTACTAAAAATACAAAAATTAGCCGTGTGTGGTGGTGTGTGTCTGTAGTTCCAGCTACTCAGGAGGCTGAGGCACAAAAATCACTTGAGCCCGGAAGGCGGAGGTTGCAGCAAGCCAAGATCGGATCACTTCACTTTAGCCTTGGTGACAGAGTGAGACTGTGTCTCAGAAAAAAAGAAAAAGAAAAAGAAAAAAAGTGTGACAATGATTGTATACATATGTCAAAACTTATAAAATTGTACACTTTATTATTTACAGTTTATTGTACATCACATACTTCAAAGTAGTAAAGAAATAGTCACAATGAAAATGATTGATATTGCACTTTAGCCCATAAAATCCTTTTTATTTGTTTTTTGAGATGGAGTCTCACTCTGTCACCCAGGCTGGAGTGCAGTGGCACAATCTCGGCTCACTGCAGCCTCCACCCTCCGAGTTCAAGTGGTTCTCTTGCCTCAGCCTCCCCGAGTAGCTGGGATTACAGGTGCCTGCCACTGTGCCTGGCTTATTTTTTGTATTTTTAGTAGAGATGGGGGTTTCACCATCTTGGCCAGGCTGGTCTTGAACTCCTGACCTCGTGATCCACCCACCTCGGCCTCCCAAAGTGCTGGGATTACAGGCTTGAGCCACCGCGCCCGGCCTATAAAATCCTTTTTAATACAAATATATGAAGTCAAGAAAAGTTGTAAAGAATAAAGTAAACAATAATAGAACCTAGACTGGCAGTAAAATATATAGCCCACATCCTACAGGAAATGTTTTTGTGAGAACTGGATCCTTGGTTAGTACTTATGCCAGCTTCTAGGTTAGTGTTATTTATGAAATACTCTACTAAATCAAGTACCCAATTTTTAGAACACCTATAGGCACCCACATCAAAGTTGTTTTCACACTGCTGACATTGGATGAGCTTGTGAGAGAATTAACGATCCTAGGATATCAAGAAGTTGCTTCCAAGAAGGGTGACCAGGTTTTTGTTGAACTCTGGTGTGTGTGTTTATGTCTATCTGTGTACCCCAGGGCAACTAAAGTACTGTCTTCAGTTTATATCATTTTAAAGCAGTAGTTCTCAACCATGGTCACACATAAGAATCACATTCAGAGCTTTAAACATGTTGATGCTCAGACCTTACCCCCAGCCAATTACATAAGAATCTGTGGGGATGGAACATAGGTATCGTTATTCTTTAAAGCTGCCCAGATGATTTCAGTATCCAGGGTTGAGAACCACTGTGTTAAAGGTAGCCAAAATAATTGGATTTGATGTGTTAATAGAACTTGGTATCATATTTTTACAACAAGAATTCAATATATGTTGGCATATTGCTTGTACTTGATGTAATTTGTAGAGTGCTTGAGATTGTTTATTCAGGAACTAGTGAAGGTGGGTTTCTTTCATTTCCCTCACTCCCTATTTAAATTTCTCTCTCCTGTTCAGTTTGTCTGTATTACTTTTCTTTGGTCTAAAAAGTAACATTTGAAAATTGGAAGCCAAAGGGCTAATATCCAGAATCTACAATGAACTCAAACAAATTTACAAGAAAAAAACAACCCCATCAAAAAGTGGGCAAAGGATATGAACAGACACTTCTCAAAAGAAGACATTTATGTAGCCAAAAGACACATGAAAAAATGCTCATCATCACTGGCCATCCAGAGAAATGCAAATCAAAACCACAATGAGATACCATCTCACACCAGTTAGAATGGCAATCATTAAAAAGTCAGGAAACAACAGGTGCTGGAGAGGATGTGGAGAAATAGGAACACTTTTACACCGTTGGTGGGACTGTAAACTAGTTCAACCATTGTGGAAGTCAGTGTGGCGATTCCTCAGGGATCTAGAACTAGAAATACCATTTGACCCAGCCATCCCATTACTGGGTATATACCCAAAGGACTATAAATCATGCTGCTATAAAGACACATGCACACGTATGTTTACTGCGGCACTATTCACAATAGCAAAGACTTGGAACCAACCCAAATGTCCAACAATGATAGACTGGATTAAGAAAATGTGGCACATACACACCACGGAATACTATGCAGCCATAAAAAATGATGAGTTCATGTCCTTTGTAGGGACATGGATGAAATTGGAAATCATCATTCTCAGTAAACTATCGCAAGGACAAAAAACCAAACACCGCATGTTCTCACTCATAGGTGGGAATTGAACAATGAGAACACATGGACACAGGAAGGGGAACATCATACTCTGGGGACTGTTGTGGGGTGGGGGGAGGGGGGGAGGGATAGCATTAGGAGATATACCTAATGCTAAATGACAAGATAATGGGTGCAGCACACCAGCATGGCACGTGTATATATATGTAACTAACCTACACATTGTGCACATGTACCCTAAAACTTAAAGTATAATAATAATTAAAAAAAAAAAGAAAATTGGAAGCCAAGTACATACATAACCTTGTTTTCTAAATCACAGTATATATTGCGATATCCTTTGAGATATGAGGAAGCCAGAGTAATAGAAGGCATTATACCTTAATGGAAATCTGCAAAGCTAGAGAAAATGAGTAGGAACTACTGACCCAATTACTTTGCTTGTAGTGAATGTTTTTTCCAACAGAAGTAAAAATTTTGCAAAAATAAAACATGATTCAATTGTAAAAACATGCAGAAAGCTTTAAGGTGAATATTTTATATCCAAAAGATGAACATCAAGTGCTTTGCTTATGAGACTGAAATCCTGTCATATTTGGCCATAAATCACTGTGAGATCTGAGCCATGAGGACTGTAGGAATCTGGCATATGTCTTTAGAAATGTTTTATATTTATTCACCTAACACCTTTGTTGTGTTTTCCTTTCCTGGAACTTCAGTAGAGATTATGATAGAAGTGTTTTCTTTTTTTAAACACTAACTGGGGAGAAGGGATGGTAATTTATACCTTCAGTGGAGTCTCATTTATGGTTATTTCTTCTTTTTAGGCTTGAATTTGGGTATTTTATAAAGATGTATTAGGTTTTCTTTTATGACTTCTTGTCCTTCAAGGCCAAAAGGACATTTTGTGAGGAAACATTTAGACTTAGTCTCAGTACTGAACCATTTAGTACTGAATTGTTCTTGCACATAGATTTTAAGATGCCCTGCATGTAGAGATCCCAAAATATAAAACTCTTTTCTTTGTTGTTTTTTAATTTATTTATTAATGGCTAATGTTATTGCCTTTTCTCAAGTAAGTTTTAGTTTAAGCACTTGTCTAGTTTTGGGTTGAGTTTTTAGCAGACCTATAGAGGAAGACAGATTTTTATATTTTCTGATCTAGTTGTTTTTTTAACCAACTCATATGCTCACTCCTGTCATTTATAAGCAATTAGATGAGGGGGATATTCACTGACCATACATTACAGAATCAAAATAGGTTGGGTTCTGTATTAAAAACTCAGCAATTTTGTCTGAAACATAGATAAACCTCTAATCTCGAGGGAAAGTATTCATTTATTTTTAATTTCTAAATTTCTTTTGAAATAAACTAAATACAATCATGCTCTGCATAATGACATTTCAGTCACTGATGGATCACATATACGATAGTTGTCCCATAAGATGATAATACTGTATTTTAAAGGTAACTTTTCTATATTTAGATATGTTTAGTTACACAAATATAATACTTATCATTGTGTTGCAGTTGCCTACAGTATTCAGTACAGTAATGCCCTGTACAGGTTTATAGCCTAGAAGCAATAGGCTATACCATATAACCTAGGTGTATAGCAGGCTACACCATCTAGGTTTGTGTAAGTACACTCTATCATGTTCACACAATGAATCACCTAATGGCACATTTCTCAGAAGGTATCCTCATCGTTAAGCTATGCATAACTATACACTGATCTGCTTTTGTAATTCTAGCTAGTAAATAAGGAGTAAGAATCTGCTAAAACATATAATTAATAATCCGTTTATGTCTGGGCGCAGTGGCTCACACCTGTAATACCAGCACTTTGAGAGGTTGAGGGAGGCAGATTACTTGAGCCCAGGTGTTTGAGACCAGCTTGATCAACATGGCGAGACCCCATCTCTACAAAAAATATGAAAATTAGCCAGATGTGATACTGCATGTCTGTAATCCAAGCTACTCGATAGAGTGAGGATCCCTTGTGCCCAGGAGGTCGAGGCTGCAGTGAGCTGTGATTGCGCCACTACCCTCCAGCCTGGGTGACAGAGTGAAAGTGAGACCTTGTCTCTAAATAAATAAATAAGTAAATAAATAAAATCAGTTTATACTGAGCTTGGTCATGTACCACTGTAGCTTCACAAGCCTGAGGAATAGTCACCACAGCTATCTGCTTTGTGTCATAGGGGAAGCAGCAAAGTTGCGTGCACATGCACACAGACCCACAATCTTTCATACACACACACAGACAGACACACACACACACACACACACACACACATATATATTTGTTTATACCTGTGTATGTGTGTAAATACATAGAGGGATTTGTAAGGATAGGATATAGGGATTAAATAAAATGCCATTTTATTTTATCAACGTTCAGTCACCATTTTGAGATTATGTTGTCTTACTCCAAATAGCT